>NC_000016.10:52441288-52744318 GCF_000001405.40 Homo sapiens
CTCAGAGATACCAAATTGAAGTTTTCACAATTTTAGAAATGTTTTAGTTCATCAACTATTTTTGAAGATTTGTAGAATTTATCAAAGGAGTCATAGATAAGGGGAAAATGTTCAACTTCATGGGACCAAATCACCTGTTAAAAGATAAACAGCAGATCTAGGGCTGAACATAGAGAGAAACTATCTATTACATTTTGTACTAAAAACACTTCACTGCCTCTACAAAAAGAAATTCTTCCACTAATGCAACAGTGATTGGAATGATTCATTCCAGAGACGATTTTTTCCTTGTATTTTTCATTTGATTAGGATGTTTTTGGGGGTGTGTTGTAGGGGCACCTAGGAGACATCAAACAGCCATCCATTATCTTCAATAATTTTATATTTCTAAATTTTTATGACTCCGATTTATAAAATCCTGCTGTTGGAAACAAACTGAGATGTAACCTCATATAGAGAGTCATCCAGTGTAGGAAAAGCCATCTCTGATGTTTTCTGTTTGAACACATGTCATCATTATAAGGCACTCCCCTTCAGTGGGCAGCTCTCCACATTACAAAACTCAGTGGGGCTGCATGTTCCTGAACCGTCATGTTCTAAGGTCTTAGGGTAAGAAGCAGCCTATAAATATTCAAATTTGTCTTCAAAAAACCATTAAATCACCCATAAAGTTGAATACACACAATAAACATGTACATAATTCTTATATACTCTAGTAGTTAAAAATTAACAAGCTGTCTTAAAGAAAAAAACACAAAGAAAGTCTGTATTTCAACACCTGGGCAGCTCAGTTGCACTATTGTGCCTTTAAGATGCTGCCTTAACGGTAAATGGAGATGGGTGGATGATTGCACAGAGTTCTTCCTTGCCTGCCTTCTTGTTCCTTTATGGCTTAATAGTAAGCTTCCATGAATTTCTTTGGTTATTGTAAAGATTAAAAGTGATAGCAGAGTCGTATCTTAAGGGGGGAGGTCTGAGGCTCTGCGTGCAGAGGCATAAGTTAAATGTGCATATGATGCAACCCTATTGATATTTCTGATGCTGGGGCTGAACTCTCACTCCCTGTAAGCTCACCCCTTGGATGAGTTCTCCTCTCTTGGGCACAAAGATCGACTTCATTTCCCTTATATAACGGCCCTTATATTTGAGGACTAAGATCATATGCCTCCAAGTCCTTGCCTCCCTGATTCTTTCAGTTATTCTAACATGATGTGATTTTCAGTCCTCACTATCGTGGAGGCAATGCTCTAGAGAGACATCAATTGATTGTCATCTCTCTTTAAACTGTGGGATCCAAAACAGAACCAATTCTTTAGAAGCGGTCTAATAATCACTGTACAATTCAATGCTGCTTCCTGTGCGATCACTATATTAGCAGCTACTTCACAGTTTGGGTTCAGGCTGAAATTATTCTAAACTTATACCTAAAGGACTATATTAGTTGCCTCACAGTTCTTTGAATAGAGATTTAGGATCCTCTCAAAGTGCATTTACTGAATTAAAAAACAAACAAACCAAACCCTAGTATTTTAAATTTATTCCTTCTAAATTCTATCCTATTGATTTTTTTTCTCTTTTTTGGTGTCATTGAATTCTACCTGGAAGTATTTCTGAATCCTGATTCTAGTATGCAATGTGTAAGTTTTAAGTTATCCCCTCTAAGTCAGTCACAGGCTTCATGAGCCCAATCATGGTTAATATTCCCTGAATGCCTTTTGAGATACCGGATCTTGGTTTAAATCCATATACGGTCAATTATTCATGCTTTAATGCACAAAATCACCTATACCTGCTCTGGATAAATGAATGAATAAATGATTCACTTAAGAAGTACATGCACACTGTTACTCTATTCACTTCACTCCATCTAGTTAACCAACTATACTTTAATTCTTAACATCTGCAGCCCACACAGTCAGCTGTTTTCTGCCAATGTGCAAGTCTGAGTACAACATCAGTATATCTTCCAGTATGTGTCTTCCAGAGTCTGAGAAAGAGGTTTTGCTATTGACCTGATAAATGTTTTATCTATCTAATGAAGTGGGAAGTGTCCTAATAGCTGTCAGCAAAGAGAGGAGGACCTCTGTTGATCTGATTCTGAGCAGCTGCAAATGGTAGATCTTGATACAAATACTTAATACAGATAATATAAAGAAGAAGCAACTCAGGTGAAAAGAGAAAAAAAGGAATGAACCCTTTTTAAATGGCTTTGAGACCCTAGGTTGTACTTGAGACAGCAACAGTGACAATGAAATTGTATCCCTACTTGTCAGAAAAAATTTGTCTAGAGCAAAAATATATTAGATCAAATTATCCTTTCCAAAACCTCTAAAATCTAGAAAGGCAAGAGAAAAAGCTAATTAAATGTTAATATCATGTATTAGCTCATATTCCTTTGGATTCATTTGCTAGAGTGACATTTGCTTGGGATATTGGGATATTTTATAACACACCAGGGTCCACTGTATACTCTCTATATAATACATGTAGGTTTTGTTTAGTACTTGGAGTATAATTTCATTTTAAATGATCATGAGGTTTATTTATTTATATGATATGGAACAGTTTGGTCAAAAATGCAATGCCCCCCAATTGTAGTAATATAACCACAGGAGAATTTATAATATGATGTCCAAAAATGCCTGACAAACATACCTCCCAGTTTAAACAGAGGACACTAGCACAGGTCCCAATCCCTGACCAGAAGAAAGCATAAGAGCCTATTTAAAATTTATGTATATAGCTACATACACATATATAAAGATCAGGGAAATCTTTCAGAAACAACTTAGACTCAGCTGCTTAAATTAACTCATATTTTCAGATCATCACTTGGGTAATCTCTAATGGAAACGCCTAAGTTTACAAGTTGTTCAAGATGCCTTTCCATCAACTTTTAGGGGAGCTACAAGTATGTTTTCAATGCTTGAGGGCTGTTTTCCACGCTGTGACTATTTTGGAGCCTGGCCGCCCCTGCCCAGGTTTACCTTAGAAACGAGGCTGGCCCTGTATGCCGCCAGGGCCTTCAGGTATTCTTTTTTGGCAGCTTCTGTTTTCCTTTTATATACCTATTAAAAGACCACAATTAGCACCACCTTTAGCGTATAAATTCTCAGCTATAAAATAGCTGCTGCACAAATTAGGTCACATAAACACAACTCACATAAAAAGGTTGGTCTCCTTGGCTTTGATTTTTAAATGTTAGCGCATGCACACACACACACACACACACACACACACACACACGGATATTAAAACAAAACAGAACCCTGCCACCCTCACTGGAGCACAATTTTTATATTTACTATTGCAAATAAGAAAAAGATTTCTGGATGCAATACAGATTACTTGAGAATCACTTTTTCTTGAGAACAGCTGAAAACCTCATGCTAAGGCAATAAATAAGGTAGCAAGAAGAATAAGCTTTGCTGCAAATGGCTTACTTTAGAGAAAATAATGAGTTTCTCCATCAATGTCTTCTTTCCCTCAGATACCTTTCTAAACTATACCAAACAAGAGGATAAAAACAACAGGTAAAATGATGAAGACAGAAGAGAAAAGAGCAAAGCATTTCAATGTTGGTTTTCTTTTGGAGCAAAATTAAAAGTCAGAAATCATCCAAGCTAGGAGATTTCCATTAGTGACCCCACTGAGTTACATAAATAAAATTCCAGCATATTAAACATGATTTGGGCTTCTCCTTTTCCTAAGTGGTCTGATGGCTGGGTGTTCAGTCAACATGCATCTTTCTCTCCAGAGTTTAAAAGTTAGGTGCAGCACTTTTCCAGTCCCTCAGAATTATATTTCTGGGACAGAAAATCAGTCTGCTATCTACAGTAATAAACTCAGTGCAAACTAAAAAGAAATTTCTAATGTTGCACCTTCCCAACAAAACAAGCTTCTAGGAATGAGTTCCTGAAATAAGTTCATGATTTGTAAACAAAATCAAGGACTTTCCACTCTTCATTCTTGAAAACAATTATTCTATTTTATCACTCATAGGAGTTGATCTATTCTTCTGTGGATATGTAAAAGTTAACTTCTTTTAATGGTAATTGGAGTTTCATGCAAGGAGTAAGGGGGGGATCGACCCCCAAGGAACCCATTCTTCCCTTCATTTGTGTGGAGGAGTTGCAAGGGGAAGGAGAGGAGACGAAGCCCCTAAGGAAGTATCTCCCACAAGCATGGCTAATTTCTGAATACCTCTCATACTGCCTTGCTTTAAAATGAACTTGGAATAAAATTTCAAATGCCCGGTGACAATAATGAGACACGCAGAGGCAGCTTCAAAGTTTGGAAACCCACCAGGACAGCACAAGGGTTCAGAAAGATGATCAATGGAAAGGCAAGCAGGATGGACCTAATCCCTTTGTAGTGCCCTTTTTGAACAAAGGGGAAAAAATTCCACATTATTTAAAATGAAAAGATTATCATCAAAAGTTTATGCTTGCAGGATACTGCCTGGATTTCTTCCAACCTTCCTCTGAATGGGTTCTGAACATGCACCCATAAGCTGACAGAGAAATCAATATAACTGGAGAGTTGTTTAGATTTATATGTCTGGGTTTTTAAATTCCATTGCTTAGAAAAGGATTTCAAAAGAAGCAATCATATTAAGTGAACACATGCACTTGGAAAAGGTGTGAGGAATATTTTAAATGATCATGAGGTTTATTGATGGAGCCTTGATGGGTCTTTGTCTCACCTGCTTTTGTTCTTCTCCAAGGCTGTCCCACATAGATGCTACAATTTTTGAGACCTCTCCAAAGGTTGCATTGGGGTTTTGACCTTTAATTGCAGCCTGTGTGTCTCTGAAAAACAGGGCATATGCTGACACTGGCTTCTGTGGCTCATTGGGATCTTTCTTTTTCTTTTTCTTTGGAGTCTTGGGCTTCTTGCCAGAGTCTGGAGCAGCTCTTTTCTCTCCAATGGCCTGCAAAGCAGGAAGAAAATTCACTGCCTAGAATGTACTTGCAGAGAATGCAACAAGACTTAACTCAGATCCATAATTGTTCTTTGAAGGTTTTGTTAGGCATCATCAACAGATGAATCACCACCAAAAGCGGGGGAGGGGTAAACTTGCTTGGAGTTAACTAGACAGCAGAGATTAGCATTTAGAACATCGATTAATGAGACCCAGAAGTATCTTCAATACGTTCACAACATATGCTCGAAATAGCAATTATGAGTAATGAAAAACAGAACACTCTGTACCAGGCAATGCTATATATATGCTATACTACACATACATACATCAGCAAAATATTTTATATCTTCAGAGGTTTTAGAAGTAAAACCTAAATAATATTCAGGATGTTGATCATATTCAAATATTTTAAATGAGGTCCCTAGCCATAGTCACATGCCATATGTGTGATCTGTCTGAATTGATTTTTTTTTTTGAGGCTGATTTTTTAATTTTACCAGAATGTTACTTTGCTAATGGCTCTCCAGAAATTCAAATGGAAGTTAGCTCCAATTTCTATACTTGCAGCATTAGGAAAAGGTCATCTTTATTTTCTAAAAATAATTTTCTGAAGATTAACAGCAAATGTAAAAATGTCAAAACTACTTTAAGTGGAGATAAAAGGGAAATTGATACTCTCCGTAAAATTAAAAACGTGTAAAAAAAAGAGCAATAGTTGATACTTAAAAATCACTAAGAAGACTAAAAAGAAGATGTTTGTTATTTATGGCAAGTAACCCTGCTCACAAGAATACTCCATAGAGACTCACACACATTGACCATATGAACTCTGAGAGATCAGAACCACAAACTGATATGGGTATAGTTTCCCAATTTAAAGATGACTAAGCTCCATACTCACCAGCTACCACCATCTAAGTTCACTGATCATTTAACATACTTATCAGAGAAGCAGGGAAATGATTTGTAAACCTTGTTTTATTCCCCTAGATTACAATATCGAAGATAATTTTGCAGTTAACTTCATCAAGAATCCTGCAATGTTTGACAAAATCTGTTTTCAAAGCCAGCCTTGGGCAAGATCAACCAAGATAGATTCAAGTTACTAACAGATAGGCTTTTAATGACTTGAATTCTAATTCAAATTTTCCTAGAGTATTATTTACTTTCTAAATGAGGGTCATTTGGAACTTTCACTAAATTTTTACCATTTACTAAAATTCTTAGGGAGGAAACGGATAAGGAACTTTTCTTAGAGAGCTCTGAACACTCAAAGTGTTAAGAAACCACTGGCCTACCTCTAGGTGAGCCTACTGTTTGCACTATTTAAGTGATAACAGCATCCACACTTTATCTGAGTAGTTTACAAGCTTCAGATGGTTTTAAGTCATATCTCACTTCTCCTCCAAAATGCCATCTTTCATAACTCACACAATTGATTCAATAATTCTCTAGAGCCCATAGTCTTTTTTCTAAATTTTCAAAATAAGTGACACTTGTTTAATTCTACTTAATGAATGTGAATTTCCAAGAGAGTCAGATGCCTTTCAGTTAGAGCTTCACCTGGAGCCAAGTTTTCCTTCAATGAAAAACATTATTTAAACAAGAAAAACTATATACAGACACACATATTTTTCTAGTTGAGTCAAACAACTATATTCTTCTCCTGGAAGAAAATCTGGCACTGTTAGTGCCACAATACCCTGACCAATGGCAAGTTGCTATTACTTTCCAGAGTAGCTTTTTTTCCAAATAAGAGGAGTTCAATTTCATTCTCTGTAAAACAATATTCAAATGTCGACCACCTTTGACGCCTTTCTTGGATAACCATGATGTGCCCTAATCATTATTATTTTTTAAGAATAAACAAGAAATGTGGAGTCTCACATTTTAAACAAAAATTCAGAATTAATTCTCCTAAGGAAATTTTTGTGTCATTGACTTAAAAGGGTTGAGACAGAAAGCTGGAGAAAAAGATTTACCCCAAAGAGACATAATCAATGATAGTTTTAATCTTCCTTTCTCAGCTAAGATTCAATGAAGATACATTGGCTGTATTGCCTTTACACAAAACCTAGACCCTCGCTTAAAATGGAGCAAGCTAGGAGTCCCATAAGAGGTCCTCTTTAAGACATGACAATTTCAGTATGGTACAGTGGCAAGTATGAAGATCAGCGGACGTGTGATTGGAGGGAAAGGAATCCCTCTCAACTGTAATGGCTAAGCTGTTACCTAACCCCATCTGATCATATCCCTCAAGAGTCTTTAACCATTACTTCTCAATCCTCTGGACTGAAGTTCTGTGACTGTGAGAAGACTGTCAGTGTATTTACCATTCCTGGGCCCAATGGGGGTGCTAACATGATGTTATAGAATAAACCCTTCATCTTGAAACCCCTTCAATTTCTGCAGCATCACTTGAACCTCCCTTCTCTGTTCCTCATCACTCTTAATCTTCTCTAGCTCCTCTTCTTCCTTTTGCTACTTAGAAATAGATGATGCTCAGGGTTCTGTCCTTGACTTACTCCTTAATACTCTCTGAGAAGTCCTGATTACTTTCACATCTTCTCATCCACGTGCTGATGGTCCCAAAATCTATAGTTCCAGTTCCCCATGACTGAGTTCTAGACTCCAATGTAAGCACGTCAAATTCAACTCTAACATCCCAAACTCTCATGTTCCCCATGGGGGAGAACACTCCTCTCTTTGTGGGTTGCTCCTCTCATTTGCTGATAGCCATTCTGGCTCTCAAACTAAAACCCAATTTGTCTCTTCTTCAAATTCCAGTGGATCACCAAATCCTTAAAATCTTTATGATTTTCACTCCTAAAATGCCTGCTAATCTGGTACCTTCTGTTCATTCCCTCCCTTGATGAAAGGAAACATAACAAAAGAGTCTTCTAATTAATTTCCTTTTCTTTGGTCCCTCCCTTTATAAGGCATTCTCTATATAGCCAAAGTTGTCTCTCTAAAGCATAAATTACTTATGCCATTCCTCGATGCAAATAATTAATCAGCTCTCAGCTACCAACAGAAGAAAGACCACCACATTTAAGCCATTTCGTTCTTCAACTTCTATTTCTCTCTTCCCCCATATCGAACTTCACTATACCCATAAATAGCATGTACTTCCACTGTTCCTCACTAGCCCCCAACCAAAATGCTGGCCTCTGTCTTCTGCCTCACAAACTTTTATTCATCCTCTTAGACCTAATTCAAATATCACTTTCTCAGTAAAGTCTTCCTCAAATCACTCTCCCAAGCAGAATCGATTAGAATCTCAGCACACCAGATACATCAATTATATCACTAATCACATATGGAGCTAGTTTTAAACATTGCTATTCATCCCCAAAGGGGAATCTCATTAGCAGTAATTCTCTTATAAATCTTTGTATCACAAGAACCAAACAAAATGCCAAGCACAGAGTAGGTATACAGCACATAATTAATAAGTGACTAATGAGTAATTATGTACTATTACAGTACTCTTTTTCATCATTCTAAGCATTTGGAAAAGTCATACTGGAACACAGTTTTTATTTCAAACTTTGTATCATTTCAAATTATACATTTCCCATGACAAAGGCAAAAATGTAAGATGAAGAGAATGAACTCAGCGATAAACATCACCGAAGCCGCAAGGCTGTCAAATGTGGCAGCAGCTTGACCAACACACTGGATGAAACTTGCTCACATGGACATTAACTTAGAACCAGAGCAGTTTAGAATTTCTGGAATGTCTAGAATTTCTGGAAATTTGTAGCAGGGAGTCCAAGCCTTCCTTTTGCAGATTAGAAAAATTGGGCCTACAAGAATTAAATAACATGTCCAATGCCTTACAGCTATAGTAGGAGAAGCCAGATCTCTCAATTTCCAGTCCAATATACTTTCTACAGAAAATAAATGAAAGAGTGAAGAAAAACAACAAACCATCATACATTTAAATGCTACTCCAAATCCATGAAGACAAACAAGATAACACCATGAATGAAATTCAAACAGCATGGGGTAATCCCATATTCTCTGGCAGGTTACACACTAAGGCAGTTCTAACTTACTCTGTTGGCTTCATCAGCATCCTCTTCATTGATGGAGCTGGAAGGGGAGGGAGTGGCTGATTTGCTTGCTGGAGGTGAAGGAGATGTGTGAGGCATACTGGCACCTCCCAAATTCAACCCCAACTGGGCGCTGAGCTGAGACTGGTTGATGGTGGTGAGCTGGGCAGGAGGCATGACCCCAGAACGCGCAGCATCGGTCATGTGGACGATGGACCGCATGATCAGGGAGGGATCCTGCCGGTACTGGGACACTTGTGTGTGGCTCTGATCCTAGAAAGGCAGCAACAAAGGGGGAAAATATTTCAGCTTTTCCAGATATCAGTGAACTTATCAGGTTAGCATCTCCTTAGATAGGTTTGAACTGTTGCAATGTTGATAGGTCTGACCTATTGCAGGATGATGGTCTCCGTTCATTTATTAAATATAAGGACCCATGCCAAGAAGTTGAAAGTTGAGAAGCACAAAATCCAAATATCCAGAACAGAATATTTCATTATAGAACTGTCAGTGGATGTGGAAGGAAGGAAGGAAGGAAGGAAGGAAGGAAGGAAGGAAGGAAGGAAGGAAGGAAGGAAGGAAGGAAAAAAAGAAGAAAGGAAATTAGAAAAACTAAATATAATCTTTCATCTCTTGTTTCTTATTGAGTAAACTGGTGGCAGGGAAAGGGCTGAAGCAGAGACCGCACCCATTTAGGCTCATCCATTAGTTTACCATCCTTCTCAAACATGTAGCTGTTATGAGAGAAGGCGAAGCCATTCTTTATTTTATTCTCCCAGAAATGCACAGGGCACGCAGAGGATGGGCCAGCAAAGCATAGAGCTTTAGTTTCACAGAGCAAACATCTGTTTGCTTTAGGGCACCCTTTCTGTGAAATCCTCTGTGGTTAACCAGACGGTCATTCCGATTCTGAATTACATTGTCAGCGGCATCTGGAAGTCATTCAATGTCTTTTGGATTGGATATCACTTTTTTCACTTAAACTTACTTTGTTTTCTTTTGTTCAATCCATCATGATTTAATGTACTAATGAATTTCTTCATAAATACGTAAAAAAAGATGGTAGAAACCATCAGAAATAGCTTTTTCTGAAACTTATTGCAGTTACTTCAAATGCAGCTTTCTCTGTTCTTGGTAGTCATACAGAAAGGCCTTATAGTTGTTACTGCTTATTCTCTATTTTTTTTTAATTCCAAAGAATCAAAAAATGAAGACATGTTTTTCAAATGACTTACTTTAAGACATGTCATTTGGAGTGAGTCTGTGATTTTGCTGAAACCAAATTCTCTTGACTCACAGTGACCCAGAATCTAATTTTATACACAAGCCTATGAATTCTTAACTGTTCCTTTTTTGAGTCCTTCCGATAAGGCTTATTTTTGCTCTTTAAAGAAGCGGAATGAATTGTAAATAACTAAATTGGAGCATTTGGTTTCTTCATATTAAATATATAAATGCCACTCAATGAGAAGATCTATCAAAGAAAACTAGTTGAATAAATTATGGTCTACCCATACGTCAAAGTGTTATGAAGCTTTTAAAAATAATGAATTAGATTTATGTGCATTGACCTAGGGCAGAGTTTCTCAATTTCAGCTCTCTTGACATTTTGGACCAGATAATTTTTATTGTAAGGGCTTGTCCTGCATATTGAGGGGGCTTGTCCTGCATATTGTAGGTACTCAGATGCATCCCCAGCCTCTTCCCACTAGATGCTAACAACGTCCCTCCCCGTACCAGTCATGACAATGAAAAATGTCTCCAGACTTTGCCCCAGGCGGGGCAAAACCACTCCCAGTTGAGAACCACTAACCTACCCAAGATACAGTACATAAAAGGCAAGTTAAAAAATAACTATACAGGACAGCCTTGTTTTCTTTGGGAAAAAAAAAAGTGTATCCTAACATTAACAATGGTTACATTATAAGGGGTAGAATGGGAGGGGCAAGGAGGGGAGAGTTTCAACTTTTTCTACGTACATGTGTATGCTGTTTTGATAAGCTGTGACCACAATACAAAAGTAAACATTGTTCAATTCCCACCTATGAGTGAGAACATGCGGTGTTTGGTTTTTTGTCCTTGTGATAGATTGCTGAGAACAATGGTTTCCAGTTTCATCCATGTACCTATAAAGGACATGAACTCTTCATTTTTTATGGCTGCATAGTATTCCATAGTGTATATGTGCCACATTTTCTTAATCCAGTCTATTGTTGTTGGACATTTGGGTTGGTTCCAAGTCTTTGCTATTGTTGTGGGGTGGGGGGAATGGGGAGGGATAGCATTAGGAGATATACCTAATGCTAAATGACGAGTTAATGGGTGCAGCACACCAACATGGCATGTGTATACATATATAACAAACCTGCACATTGTGCACATGTACCCTAAAACTTAAAGTATAATAATAATAAAAAAAAGAAATGGAAAAAAAAAGTAAACAAAAACTAAAACACTTTAATCAGAAAAAAAAGGAAGATAATGCAAGTGGTTAAAAGAGTCTGCCAACAAGTGTTAGAATATTAAATACATACATTTCCCATTTCTTAATAATTTCCGAATAATTACTGTGAAATCCTGGAGGAAAGTGTCACAAGTATCAGAACACCACACTCCCTTATATCACCGGCAGTGTTCTCCTTCGTTGTTCCTACAATATTACGTTCTACTTGCAGGTGTCTTTCTACAGATTGTGTGGATTTTATGTTATCTGTTCATCCTAATTATCTTTTTTTATTGGAATTCTACCACATTTGCTCATTTCTCCTAGAAAATCTGAGCTATCTATTCAGTCTTCCATGTTCTCTTGAAGTGTAACCACTGCTCACTGACATAACTTCCACCCCCACACTACTGGTAATTACGCCATCTAGCTTATTCTAAATTTTCGTCTTCATATATGTCTTTCAGAATGCTTTTTTTTTTTTTTAGATGGAGTCTCGCTCTGTTGCCCAGGCTGGAGTGCAGTGGTGCCATCTCGGCTCACTGCAACCTCCACCTCCCAGGTTCAAGTGATTCTCCTTCCTTAGCCTCCTGAGTAGCTGAAATTACAGGCACGCACCACCATACCCAGCTAATTTTTGTATTTTTAGTAGAGACGGGGTTTCACCATGTTGGTCAGGCTTGTCTCGAACTCCTGACCTCAAGTGATCTGCCAGCCTCGGCCTCCCAAAGTGCTGGGATTACAGGCATGAGGCACCGTGCCCGGCCCAGAATGCTTTTTAAAAATCTTTCCATCTTATTTAAATCTAGATGTTTTAAAGTATCTACAGGCAAATTCTAGGGCACATTTAAATGAAGTATTTTAATTCTGACTGTATAATACTAAATTAGTTAACTGGTATGGTCATGAAATGTGATCATCTGATTTATGCAGTTTTCTCATTAGCAGAGAGTTACTTTGCTCTCTTTGCTCCAATGCCTGTGAAAATTTGCACATATAGGTGCTCGATTGACTCACCCCACACCTAGAGCATTTTTCAGATGGCTATCATGGCCAAACACAAGCATGTCTCCTTGGCTTTGTCAGCCCTTCCTGAATTCCATCTGCAATTTATGCCTTTATTATGGATCTTGTTGCTGGGGAGCTCCTGCTGATAGACAGCCAAGGTTCACTGTACTAAAAAGGGAGTTTTACTGTGTGTTTATTACTATGAGCCAGCATTTGTGCTAAGCTTAATATGCACTTTCTAATTTAATCCCCTAGATTGCTTTCTGCATTAGATACTAGTACTATACTTATTCTTAGACAGATAAGAATGATTCCCCAGGCCCCCAAGCTAGCTAGTGAATGCTTGACAGAAAACCTGGGCCCTAGAGAGCCATGGTATCTTCACGGTAGAGGCATGTCCCGGCAGAGATAGATGAATAAGACTCTGGGATCTCCACTGCCATCATCCCCCTTTAACAAAATCAACTCCATTTCCATTTGTTTTATAAATTGAGGTTCCTCATAATATTTCATTACAAAAAAAAAAAAGATTATTTTGCAGTGTGACAGTATGGAAACCACTCCTGAAGAGTACTGGTGGTGGGGCCAAGGCCTTGCCAAAACTTAGAGTCATCCACATAGTCTTCAGATCCAAAAAGATGCCATCTCCCACTGGACAAGATACCAAGGGCCTCTAGACTATTTTTAAAGTAACCTCTGACCCACATAATTGATGCATCAAAATGTGCCACCACTCACCACGGTTCACAGTTATCCCATAATCACCTCCTATGAGTGAAGATTATAGTATAAGACGATTAATGGCTAAAGTGTCTCTTTGGAAATTCAAGCTCTTTTAGGGCCACAAATTATTAACAACTGCCTTGGGGAACTTGAGGATCCTCAACAGCTCCAATCATTTTCCATAAAAGTAACCTTTAAAAGATGTTACCCTTGATCTTAGGACTACCACATAAAAAGAGGAAGATGTCAGCTCAGTATAAAAGTATTTACTGAGCCCCTACTATGTATCAGGCCAGAGAAGGCAATATATCAAACCTTATATCTTTGAGAACCAGGAAATTACCATGCGATTATTTTACACATTAAACAAAATCCTGAATGGATGAACAAATTTACTACAACATAATGTAGGCCAGAATAATTTTTATATACTCCCACCAAAATTGCTCACAATTTTTCCCAGTAGTAATGACACAATAAGGAAATGTATAACTATGAATATAGCCCAGAGAAATTTAATGTGATTTTGTTAATATTACTTCTTACTTACAAAAATTAAGTCCTGAAAGATTTACCAGTGATCATTTAAAGGCAAAGCAGCTATTGGGTTCTAAGAGATTGCCCACTATCATAACCAACAATAAGAGCTGAATGCTGGTAGCTTTTTCAACTCCTTTCACAATTACATTTTATATGTAATGTTCCTTTATATAGTTTCCTAAATTTTTCAGTATTTGGGAAAAACTCATTCTCTCTGCCTTGTCTCGTTTTGTCTTCTAATTGGCGATATTAGATAAGAGTTTCTCAGCCTGAGTGGTACTGACATTTGGGTCTGGATGATCCTTTGTTGGGGGAGGGGCATTCTGTACATTATAGAATATTTAGCAGCATCTCTGGCCTCTACCCACTAGATACCAGTAGCCGCCCTTTCCCTACCGGGCTGTGACAACCAAAATGTATACAGACATTAGCAAATGTCAAAATCCCCTTCATTTGCAAATTACTGTATTAGACAAATATCATAAAAATCATCTCCTTGGGGGAGGCAGGTAGTGAATGTTCAAAGCTTATATTCTTTTCCTAAAAATAGAAAGCATCCACATAAACAAGATTCCAACTGTGATAAATATTGGGAAGAAAATAAATAGGTTATACAAAAGAGAGTTATTGGGGAAGGATGGCTACATTTGATTGGGTCAATAGGAAAGGCCTCTCAAAAAAGATAGTATTTGAGCTGATGCTGAAGGATGGGGAGAAGCCAACTGTGAAGTGAAGGGAAAAGCATGTCTCATGCAGAGGGAACAGCATGTGCAAGGTCTGAAGTGGGAGAGATCTTGACATGCTTGAGAAATGAAAAGGTGGACAGGAAAGCTGGGTGCAGGGTAGGCAAGGTAAAGGGTGAAATGCAATAGGCTTGGAGAGACTGGCCTCATTGTGTAAGGTGGGGAAATCATGGGATGCTTCCCCGAAGAGGTGACCTACTATGCTGAGGTATAAAGGGAAGTAGAAGCTAACCAAGCCAGGGCATCCCAGACAGAGATGAACATGTACCCAAACCTGGGGCATGGGCAAACATACTGCCGATAAGGAAATGACAGTCCAGTGTGACTGGGCCAGGAAGAGCATAGCTGGCTATGAGGCTGGAACGGCAAGTCATGGCCATAAAGTGACAAGGTTTATTGTCTGGGTTAGGAAGTCTGGATTATATTCACAGTGTAGAAGGCTGCCATTGAAAGTTTAAAGCATGGTATATATCTGGTGGGACTATTCATTGCAATAAATATTAACTGACCATACCTCATGGACAACCAACCCATCTAAATCAATTGCGGACATTTCTATTTAGTTTAAATATAAATGTATAGCCTGCCACCTCAATCTGTGTTTCGAAGAATACCCAAAGATTAACATTTGCAGTCACAGAAGGTCACTCAGAGTGGGTGGGCCATGGATCTCATAAAATGCTCTCACTAATAGGAGGGGCATTGCCTTCTATCTATTGGCCTATATGATTCATGCCTGTGGTGTTCAACAAAGCCTTCTGGTTTCTGTATGCCTTGGTGGGGGTAGGGGAGTGCCTGGCGGAGGCTCGCCTCTCTCTCCACCTGATGAAAGAGCCTCTTTGTCTTTTTTAAACAGGAAAAATCCAATGAATGGATATTTTGGGTAGCAATCCCTCATTTTCTTAAATTGCCTGAAACCCAGTCTATTATTGAACATTAATCATTTGAGTGAACGGTTAAAATCTGAATAATGTTATATTAATAAGGAAACTTTAGATCACTAACATAAATGAAAAATTAAAATCACTCATGGCCAATAGAATGCCAAATAAACACCAGGAAAAGAAAACAATACTGTTATAGTCAGTGTGGATACTGGGGCCTGCCTAAGGCTCTGGGCCTGAGTTCTGCTTTCTTTAACTTAAGAAGGCAAAAGAAAGGTGTGAAAGACTTAATTAGCCCCAAACTGAGTCTTTCTCCTGGACTTAATCAAGATTAAAAGAGAATTGAAAGGTGAAAAACTTCCTTACTGTGTAAGTCACTATGTTATAATATCATGTTTGTACTTCATATGAAGATATGTCTTAGGGTAGCAGGATATGAGAAGAGAATGGATAAAACTTGCTCTAATTTCCTTAAATGAGAAAACTCTACATATTTAAATCCTTTTCACTCATTTTTTCAAACCTGGAGCAGTGCTACATTTATCTTTGTGCTGCACAATTAGTAGTCCATAGCTATACATACTACGGTCTTGCTTTGTTTTGTTTCTTTTTGCAAATCTAAGATATAAGCTTTCACCCTGACATTTTATTGTAAATATTACACATTATTATTCTATATTATGTGTTTATACTTATTACAATGGCACTTACACTTGGGTTGATTTCATCATTAAAATTTTTTTAAATTCTAATATGCAAATGTGTTTAATGCATCTTCTATCTATACTTACACAGAAATATTCTCCATAACGATCCAATATTAGGTTTTCAAAATAGAGCATAACATCCAATTAAGAAGCAACTAACCCAAATATATTAGAGTGTGACTAAATATATTTTCACTGTGCCAGTTTTTAATCAATATTTCTTGAGAAATGAAGTAATTAAACAATTATCAGCAATAAAAATTACTTTGTATTCATAAATATCAGAGTTAACTGCAAATAGGAAATGCAGGCCAGTAATTTTATCTTCAATTATTTAGTTATGTCTTATAGCAATGTTAAAATTTTATTTCCAAATTAACAACGATCAAATAGTTATGCATAGCTACTACTTTTGTAACTCCAATGGACCCTGACACAGTAATGCCAAATGCATACCAATGATAATTACAGACCTGCATACCACCACCTTTATACTCATCAAAATATCTGCACTGAAATAGATCATTTTTACTTAATAACTACTCTCAGGGTTGTAATCAGACATACCTACCCATGAAAGTTTTGTAAAAAACAGTGTTCCCTAAAGTTAATTAATAGTTTCTTGGCAAAATAAAATTTTCAAGAGTTTATTATGAACACTTAATGGTAGTTTACTCATGTACCCTGCAACTGCCTTTGTTTTACCAAAGGGACAACTCCACACTTATTTTATTCAGTCCTAAATTAAAATTTTAAAGAGCAATTCCACTTTTTATAGCTGTTGATACTTCAAGCCCCCTCCCCTCCATTTTAACTTAGCAGTCTAAGTATGCTCTTAATAACAAGTAAATGTTCTTTCATTGTCCTTTTATTAATTTATATATTGAACAAATGAAATATTTATTGAAAGCCAAGTATATTCCAGGCCCAGGGACGACACCAAACAGACCCAAGGAGCACTTGCCTTCCTGGAGCTTCTATTCTGGTAGGGAGGAGACAGATGGGAAGCAAGCAAAGGAAACCATTGCAAAGGACGACAAGGGCTGTGAATAAAAGGAACAGGGGTAATGGCATACAGAGTAACTCTCACCTCTCCAAAAAATATTTGAGCCATCATGTCAGTCTTATGTGGGAATCTAAGTGCTGTAAAAGGGTGTCTTTGCTGTCTCTGAACCATCACTAAGTACTACAATACTTAACTGTAGATGATCTATGTTAAAAAGAAGATACAGGGAAATAAACCACAGCCAGCCTTCTCATAACATTTTCCTTTAAATGTTATAAACTAAACAATAATCATGTATCACACTGCACAAGGTCTAATTAGGTTTAGTAGAAGTTTGGAACACAGTCCTACTTTGACAGATGACCCTCAGGTTAACTCAGCCCTAAAGACAATTCCTATCTGTTCAGAGTCAGTAGTATGCACAGGCCAAGAATAAAGAATATTTATTTTAAGCTCAGTGTGGTACAAGGCTCTACAAAGAAGGCAGCTTGTAAAAGTGTCTGTGGCCTGGGTATTTTTGGCAGACAATTATCAAGGTATAGTAACAGCTAAATTAAAGTTGGTTTTTGACAATAAGCTTCTTTCAGGCAGCAGTCAGATTGAATCTCTGTAATTCATTGAGGGGACACTGGTAGTCAAAAAAAAAGAAAGAAACACAAAACAATTTCACAAACAGTATAATCAATCTCTAATGATTAAAAACAGGCCAGGTGCAGTGGCTCATGCCTCTAATCACAGCACTTTGGGAGGCCAAGACAGGAGAACAGCTGGAAGCCAGGAATTCAAGACCAGCCTGGGCAACTGAGAGCAAGGCCCTGTCTCTATAATAATTTTAAAAACTAGCTGGACATGGTGGCACACACCTGTAGTCCAAGATACTCGAGAAGCTGAGGATCGCTTGAACACGGGAGTTCGAGACTGCAATGAGCTATGATCATACCACTGTACCTCAGCCTGAGTGACAGAGTAAGATCCTCTCTCTAAAAAATATGTAAAATTAAAAAAAATAACAACAAACAATATACAGCACTTAGTAGGTGCTCAGTAAATATTCATTGAAGGTTAATATATGGCTTCAGTTTTATAATTTAGAGTTCATGCAGATAGGTCTTATTCCATTCAATGTGTATTTTTGCCTAGGTAAGTTGTGACCTTTACATTGTTAATTTATAATAAAATAGTTTTTGACCGTAACTTGACCAAAATTATTCAATATGTATGATAAATTTGTAAGCATTCAATTTGTATGAGAAATTGCTTGTCCCCCCATGGCTAAATAGTCATCATCCTGTGAACTTTAGCTCCCCAGCCTCTATTGACAATGGCAATGAATGCGTTCATAACAATAATAAAGGCTTGTTTTAATAGAATGTTCCATGCATTAAACACATTAATGACCCATGAAATAACGGCTTTATCTGTAACACATTAAGCAACGTTGCTAAAAACAACATATTAATTGAAAGTCTGCTATTTCTCTTAACGTAAGATTTTTTTAAGTATAAAAATGGCATGAAAGTCATTTTCTTAAAAATAAATATAATAATTCAACTTCAAAATTAGAGCCATGCCAAGTATAATAATAAAAAAAACTTCTAAAATAAGCCTGGTAATTTTAGATGTAATATTTTGATAAATTGCCATTTTTCTATCAAAAATGATATCTGTCTGGATTATGACTTAAGAGTCTTATGAATATTTTAAAAGCTCATAATTTTCTTCTCTGCATAAATGTCTCCTATAGGACCTTTTCTTCTCTTTTTCTCTTCCCTTTAACAGGTACGAATACTACCATACTCAAATACTTTCCTTACTTCCATCTTTTTCAATTTTCTAATACTCCGTTTGATATTGCTAGAGCACCACTATAGCATTTTCTATAAATATGTGTGATCACAATTAAATCCAAGGTAATATCAAACAGAAAATGTCAGTCCTCTAAACATGGAAATATAATATATGAAGAAAAGTATGTGAATTATCAGTGTGTTTTATAAATTCTCTTTTGGGGGGCATACAAAATATCAGACCAGAGACAATTATTTTACTGTCTGTTTCTTAGATATCAAAGAGAATTTTGAAATTCATCAAAGCTAACCTTCTGTTATGTACAACAGGCTAAGCTGAAAAGAATGTTAACAAGTTCAATTTTCATTCAATCAGCACTACTGCTCTCTGAAATGTTTCATTGCAGGAAAGAAATAAAAATAATCTATATGGTAATTATGAGGATGAATCCCCCAGTAACTTTCAGCTACATGAAAGGTCAGTTCTATTCAAGATATTTTATCAGTCCCCTGCACATACTCCTGTCCTGTCATTTTAAATCTGAACAGCATTTTATTTTCCCATTTACAGCTACCTGCAGAATTAAGTACTTAAGCCAAATAAGAAAAAAAAAAGAAATGTTGAATGCTGGCAAAGGCTATAATAGCATAGAGATAAATCGTTCATCTGCTCTCTCTCAAGCCTCTAGGGCTGCAGATTTTTCTTCTCCTGGTGCACTGTGGGTATTCAAAACTTGTTCAACATGATTTCATTTCATTTCAGGCACTGCCTGAGAAAACTAAATTACAGAATCAATCATACAGAAGGTCAGAGTGAGACTTCATTACAAGTATTGCATGCTTGCATGAATATCTTTCATTTATGACTGACCCAATATGTCACAATAGCTGTCTAGTAAAAATAATCCACTTTCTGAAATTGATGTACTACTGATGTCAGTGCTACTCAGCAGGCTGGGCAGATTATAGAGAGGTGTTAAAAAAAAACACACACAACCCTTTGGAACTCACATTGTAGATTTTTAGAATTGCAATCTTTTGTGGATTAAAACAATTTCCTCTGATCATCTGAACTGACAATAACACTTAGAGGTAACAAATTTTTAACCAAAATATACTGTTGATTTTGACTTGCCAACCACATCCTGTTTTAAAATACACGTATTCACGACAAGCAAATCAAGGTTGTTCTTTGAAGTCACAAATGCATCGACATTCAATTTTTCAGCAATTCGCTTTTGAATACTGGGGCATTATTTGCATATTTTGAAATGTGAATGCTAATCACTGGACTCTTTTTAATCCCCCTTTTTTGTTCCTGCCTTCTGTTTTTAAATATAATGGCATAAATTTAACGAAGATAAACATGTTGTGCTTGTTGCCAACAATAATGCAGCTAATCAGTAATGTGACAAACTGTCACTCTTTCTAAAGGAAAACCGATGAAGCTCTGAAGAAAAGCTGGTTCAATACAACATCAACAAGCTGGCTTTTCTTCTTATATGATAGTCTTAATTCACCATAGCAATCCTTAACAGACAGCCATATTCATTTGGATAATAAAACTTCTTACTTGCATAAGGTATGAAATATCCAACACACACTGGGAAGCTGAATGCATGACGTATAAAGTATTATTTATTATTTTTCTGGTGACTTTCCTAAGGGAAATCTCTGAGGAGGCTTCTGTGGAGTGTTATGATGTAGCCAGCCAACTCAGTACCCGCAGAGAGATATAGAAGAACCCTGACATAACCAATTTTTAACCATGCCTCTGGCGATTCTGAATTCAAGTTTATAGGTGAACATGTCAGGTAGTACATAGAACAAAGCCAACAACACATTGTATTCATCATAATTCTGTCCTAGTACATTTTATTTTTTTCCAACATTTGTGATTTAAAATCCCATGACATTTCTTCAAGGTGAAATTCTACTAGAATTTTCAACAAGATTAGTTTGTTTCAAGCCAAAATAAATATCACTCAGGTTCAGCAAAACTTCAAAAAGGCACCAATAAATGTGATGAGGTCCATGTAAATACCATGACAACAGCCTGCACTTAGCTAAAGTACCTATACTTTTAAAAATCAATGAAATAATTCAACTGCTTTAGTGATTAGCCATACATTACAAAAGAAGCATTAAAAATTGAGTCCTCTTTCCCAACGCCAGTCCGTGAAAGCATTGTTCTTTAAGTGTATGTGAATATCATAATTATTTTATGATTCCATCTTTAGTTCTTTCCAATATAGTAAATTCAATTGACCATGAAATGAAATTTCATAGTCAAAATGCCTCCTTTACACTTTTTTATGGCAGCAATAACAGTTTTATAGCTTTAAGGCAAGGTAATTCATCAGATGTTTAATTTAAAGGCAGATTCTTATATTATTAATAAATATTTACCAATTTAAGAAAGTACACATTTTAACACACATTTAACTATTTCTGCAACTTAAATGAGCCTCTCTGAGCATCTATGAATGATGGTGAACCCTGGCAAACTCCCTTGGTGACTAAACACACCCATTTTATTTTTATTCTTTTCTAAGCAAAACATTGCAAGCCTGGCTGTAGAGAAACAGAGAATAGAACCCTCCATTCCAGTGTCAAAGGTACAAAAATATAAGAAAGTCCCCAGGAAACAATTATTTGTGATGTCTAGTAACGTTTATGAATACTTAATGACTATTTCCCGACTGTTCACTGAATTCTTTTCTGACCAAAAAAAAAAAAGTAAAAAATAAAAACCCTGATGTTCAGCTCAAACACAAAAGATCACAAGCAAAGAAAATTATGTTGCTGCAATCCTATTTGGGAAAGCAATCTTATATTTCAGAGAGCACTTTGAATCTTTGCACCACTAATCCACTACATATTTTGCAATCATATGTTGTTATCTGGGGAATTAACAATGAAGCCAATAAACATCACTGGCATGGTCCTAATGTGCAGAGAAATATGTAAACAAGCAAGAGGATTTGTTTTTTGTTATACCAACACATCTGTTTCATTTTATCAGGGTTTTTTAAAAAAAAGCTCTATAAACTATTAATCTTGTTTTAAAAATGTCTACTTAGTACCTCACCTAGCTAGACACAAATGCATTATATGCTATGATGGAAAAAAAAGAAAAATCCCAGCAGAAGAGTTTAAAATACTTAAGCAGATTTACTCTAGTGATTGCTGACTATAATTGCACACTAAGAAAAATAGAACCAAAATTATTGCATTAGTTATCTTGGCTCTCTGGAGTGCCTTAATCGATGTTTATGACAATAAATAACGCAATTAGGTGTATTTCACATAATCACTTGTTCTATATTTTTCTCTGCTGGTTATAAGCAATTATACTTTTTCCCTTTTTTGGTATCTCAGTTTGGTATTTCATTTGCAATAAGAATAAATCGTGTATCGTAAGCATTATAATACTAAAAACTCAAAAGACTTAGGCACCTGATAAGGACTTCCATTTCTAAAATCTTGCCTGGGCAAACTTTCAACTCAAGCACACCTTTGTGTTAAGCCAACAGCAAGGGAAGATTGGCTACTTCCAAATTAATGAATTAGACTTTAAAAAAAAATCATTTTAAATCAGCAGACTCTTTTTGGATCATCCTCTTTTTGGTTACTGTCAACCAACCCAATACCCCTTTGTTCAATACCAGGCAGCGATCCAGTACCTGCATGTAAATAGCACTAGAATCAATCCACTAGGAACAGGCAAGAGCACGTTTCAGAACATGGACTCTCAGATCTTTACTATGATTTGTGCAAATGATAAAAAATAATTTAAGTAATAAATGTGGTGCCTACCATATGCAACCCACTGCTATGAAGCACGCCATCTTGTTCCACGAGATTTCTTGAGATTGTAATGGAAGGGAGGTCCAGGCTTTGAGGGGGAAACTGGGGTGTGAATTCACTTCCCTGGGAAGGCAATGGATCGCTGAGGGCTTGAAAGGGTAGCAGTACATCCGGCATGCCTAGGGCAGGGTCTGACTCTGGAGGAGGCGTGATTGGTGGAATTTCGAATTCCTCGTCCCCAAGGCTTGGTGTGTGGAATGTCTGCTAAAAGGAAACAAAATACAGGTATCTTCATATTCTGTTCCTATATCTTATTCCTCCGGGGAGGGAAAGAGAAAGACATTGCATGAAAACACTACATACATATCTAGGCCAAATATTTATTTCTCAAATGAAAATATCTTAAACACAGATTTCCATATATAAAGTTTTGCTGATCATTCTGATTAAAGATTTAAGTCTCATTATCATATGGTTTTAATGGAGTATCAGTATTAACAGTTTTTTAATGCCTACTTAATTAGCAACATCTGTCTTTGTTGTTAGTTGGAGCATATAACAAATTGCTACTTTATTGATATGTTAGTGAAACAGCTCAAACCGCTGACACTATCCACATGCTTTATAAAATGCTGATGATTTTGTGGCATGCACACACACACACACATATTAATCCAGAAGTGAACATTACATATATTTACTTTCTGCCACAACATATAAAACAAGTAATATTAAATTTGTGGTTTGCTTTTTTAATTTCCTCATTGGTATATTCCCAAGTGCAATGACTACTTCTATGGAAATTGTTACTGTGTGTAATACAATGTTTTATATAAGGATTATCATAGTTCATATTAAAAGATGCCAGCGCTTTTATTTAAACTACAAAGAGGGTTATTTTCTTTTACATGAACATTTTAATATGTATTTATCTGAACATTTTCTACCAGTCTTCGACTTTTTAAAGATGATCTAGAGAGCATAGAGCTATATTGATATAGAAATACTAACTAGATTTGATGCTGTTCGCTTACTTAGAGAAGTATTATATCTCAAGACCTAAGTAAGTCTTAATGCATTCTTTTTTTTTTTTTTTTTTTTTTTTTTTGAGACAGAGTCTCGCTCTGTCTCCCAGGCTGGAGGGCAGTGGTGCCATCTCGGCTCACTGCAAGCTCCGCCTCCCGGATTCACGCCATTCTCCTGCCTCAGCCTCTCGAGTAGCTGGGACTACAGGCGCCCGCCACCATACACGGCTAATTCTTGAATTTTTTAGTAGAGACGGGGTTTCACCGTGTTAGGCAGGATGGTCTCGATCTCCTGACCTTGTGATCCACCCACCTCGGCCTCCCAAAGTGCTGGGATTACAGGAGTGAGCCACCGTGCCCAGCCAATACTGAGATTCTTAAAGGCAGTGTTTTAAAATAGGGCCTCGTGATATAAATCAGTGTTGCTCCACCCAACCACACTAACCATTTTTGGGGGGATTTTTTTGGCGAGAGGTTCTGGGGGAGTGGCAAGGTCTAGGTTTTTTTTTGTTTCTTTTTGGTTTTTTTTTTTTTTTTTTTGGTCAGGTGGAGGGTTTGGGGGGCTACTCATATTTTTTATTCCTAGCTCAGAGAGTCAAACTTATAGTTCATTTACTATTAATAGTATTTGAAAGAATGAACTGGTGCAAGATAATTTGAGTCTGCTATTATCAGTTAAGAGGACTAATTAAGTGCTGAAAATCATCATTCTTCAAGCTATCAATCATGATATAATGTAATGACCACTTGAGGGAAAAGAAAAACTCAAGAAAAAAAAGCAACAAAAAACATTTCTTACATATAGAACCTGTCAAATGTTATTTGTATCTCACCAGAAAAAAAGAGGTCACGAGCTATGGCAGTCTATGGTGGGACAACTGAACATCTTGAGGTTCTTAGCAGGCTCAATATATTCAAAACATCGTAGCAGAATAATACATTTGAATGCTAGACTAAAATATTGGATTTTCTGACACATGCATTCTAATAATGACCCCAAAAGCTGTCAGTTTCTAACTGTGGAACCCCTAGTTCCCAAACACAAAGGGATGAATTGGCCACAAACGTGGTTGGCTAATGAGCATAACCCTATGGTTGCATTTGCCGTTATTTTGGCACTAATATGGTCTAGTAACAGATGCAACTGTAATTTGTGACTCATTTGCTACCCCATTACTGCTTAATGAAATCTAACATATCACATTAACAATACGGATAAACACTCATTCTTGATATGTGGCATTTGGCTGTTTTCATTACCACTGTAATTAACACTTGAAATATTATTTCAATAAATATTTAAAGTACTTTAAAAATGGTCAGGGTAATCATGACACAGATAGAAAACATAAAGCAAATGTGTGAATTTCAAACTCAGAGTATCCTAGTTCCTGTAGTGTTATCTACAGGACAATATCCATGTGAAGGGAATTGGTTTCAGGCACAATTTAGACTTTACAGCATGCAAACCTAAAGACTTCCTGAATTAGTTTACACTCATTAAAATGTTAAAAAACCAAGTAAATTTACTTTTAATGCAGTGACTGGGAAATTAGGCACGTGCTATAATGTAGCATTAACATTTACTTGGGCTTTATTTTTTGTTCAAGAAAAGATGTACAGAGAAATCATTACATAAGATTACTTCCAAAACTAACATAAAACATGTCTATGCTAAGCAGTCATAATTAGGAAGGTTTTTATTTTTGTTCAGGAACAGAGAGAGATGTCATATGCAATATGTCCCTATGGTATAATTTTTTTAACGACAAATTAATTTCAATTAAGCATATTACAATATCCTAACCTAATATAATAATCCACTGAAATAACCAAGAAAATGTTAAAATGTTAAACTACCTTTAAAGGCAGGTAATATATTAAAATTAAGCTTTCCTTAGAGAAAAAAAGGAATCCAAAATGCTGGATATCTGAGATTATAAAAAAATAACCACATATGGCATCAACAACAACAAAAACAACAAAAAGACACACTGACTTTGGTAACTGTGCCATCTGACCAATATCAGATTAATCATTTAGAGTTTACGTGATTATTTTTTTACAGATATTGACTTTTCAATGTTTACCTTGAACATGTTAAAGTAGTATGTACATGGTTAAATACCATCTGTACTGAAATGTTCAAAACATTTGTTCCTTTTGATAAAAATGCAAATCTGGAGAACTGTTGTATCAACATATAACAGCCAATGTCTGACACGGTGAATTATCACAGCTGGAATTAAATTGTCTCTGAACAGCTGCTGGCAGTAGAGCTTTCATCAATGTTTGATTCAAATGTAGGGAAAAAAAAATCCTACAGAATGAAACATCATGTCGTCCTTACAGATGGGGTTTGTGTTCATTACCACAAACAACACAGCAGCCAGTGCCAAACAATATTCCCTTATCTAAACTGTCTTCTTGGTTAGAGAGATGATGGTCACTATAAAAATGATTAATCTAGGAATAGCTTTAATTCTTGATCCCCCGTTTATTCTAATAATTTCTCAAAGTTAATTTCTTTCATAACACTTGCCTCCCTTTACCAAGATCATTTATGAAGCCATTATTATTTTCATTCTCTGGGGTCAAGCTAGTTCAGTTTCCTGTATTTGAATGTATCTGGAAAATGAGGACTTTATATTACATGAACCACAAGAGGAAATGTTCCATTTGGGCCAATTTCACTTCTGTTTGTTCTTGTTCTAAAATCTTAAATCTCACACAGTCTACCATTTTTAGGAAACCATGTTTTATCTAATCAAGATTGAGGTTTTTCTGGAGGGCAGGCCAATGAGACCAAACAGCAGCCCAAAATCAATAATAGGAAATGCAGTAAAAAGAGCAGCAAGAAGATGATGCTTGTTTCATCTGCACCCGTAAACTGAAGACAGACCCAGAGACAATGAGGTGCTGCATTTTGATTCCATCACCCAGTTTCCCCAGCTGTGACCAAGTCTTGGAGCATGCCAGCCACTCATTCATTCATTCTATAAATATTTATTGAGCACCTACTACTGCCAGGCACTGTACTGGGCTGTGGGGATCTAGCAACAAATTACAACACTCATTTCACATCACCCCAAGCCCCAGGAAACTATAATACTCTTCTGTCACATAGTTTCCCAAACCATGACAACTTAATGACACTTAATTATCCCTAGATATATGTGAAGTTAAACTATTTTCCATTAAAAGTCACTTCTAGCCTGGTATCTAAAAAAATAACCACTTATCTGCTTAGATACCAACACTGTATATGTGTGTGTGTGTGTTTTAACATACATTCTTATATATTTACTTTTTGTTTGCATTATTTTTTAATCAAAAGATTCGTATGAAGTTACTAACATTAGTAACAGTCTACAGACAAGTGATAAAAGACTTATCAGGTTTTCTTTTCCAATAAGCTTTTCTCTTTTCTCCTCCAAAGTAGTTACCTTGTGCCACATAAGAGAGAGATAAATTTGATACTTTGTTTTTCCCTTCAAGCCTATTAAATTATCTCAATAACACAAAAAACAGGAACAAACACATTAAGACAGTCACCTACCTCACTGGCAGCGAAGAACGCATTGTTCGCCTCAGCCATATTCATATAGTTATTATTATTTCCAAACTGAAAGAAAACAGATTGTTTTACGTTAATATGCGGCATAATAAAGCATTCTGGCTGTGATTTGGAAAGAATGCTGGTGTTGCTAAATAAAAGAGAGTTTTATCAGCCCAAATGCAAAACATGACAAAGGTTTCAAGGCTATACTGTCAGCTGGTTCCCTCAGAAAATAAAGCACAGAGTTAAGCTAACTCAATAATTCTATAAAATAGTTTTGTTTCTCATCAAGACTAACTGTGAAGGGAAAGGATTACAAACATTAAGCCAACTGGTCACCAGTGTGTGTTGCTTATTGACCTGGCATTTGTGAGAGGTGAGAGGGAAAAGAGTTTCCAAGAAAATCACCTTGACACATTTTAAAAGCATGTAAGGATTTTATAGCTTAGTTTTCAAGAACAGATGTCACAAGTGTGGGTAGGTTAAAATATGAATTAAAGGGAATAAAATTCAATTCCCAGGACTCAAATTCTATTTTCTAGTGAATGGGGTGTGGCATGAATATAAATTGTAAGACTAAAGAATATTTTTAAAATCTCCAAACAGAGCTTAAAGCGATATCTATATCCATCAGAGTTGCTGAAAACAGTGATATTTAATCTCTCAATGTAACATTAAGTGCAAAGAGGTTTAAAAATAAGCGGGATCTCATGAACACATCAATTTTTATTTCATTCGCTAACACAATGGGCCATTCATATCATCACAAATAAGACCGTATCAGCATTTCAGACTTAAGCTCTTTACCTCTAGGGACCTGTTATCAAAACGTAAAACTTGGATTTTGGCAGAAATGTATTTTCAGGTTCAAATGGTCTAAATCGGCACATTTTGTTGCTTTAAACATTCCATTATCAGTCTGGTAATATGGAAAGGCTCTGTGAGTATAATAATCTAGAGCTATATTATTTTCATGATTTTTAACTGGTAAAAGAATGTCCTTTTTATAAAGTGTATTATTTCCTTCCTTGAATGCATCAAATAAAACATAGGTTTGATCTCCAAAGGGTGAAATGTGTATATCTATTCTCTAATATAAATAAAGCTAGTAATTATTTAAAGATAGAATTTTCCCAAGGAGAGTGAGAGATGGATGGATGGAGATAAATGGGTAGGTACATAGATAAATACACAGATAAATATTGAGAATAAATAGAATATGGAGAGAGATACATAGATATGGAAGACTCATATAATCCTCTTCCTCAATAAACTAACACTTATTTCTGGGGGGCTCTCAATCTCTGACTCTGAAGGACTTACACCCAGAAGCAGGATTGACATGCTACACTTTATCATGTCAGGGATCCAAGAACTAAGCAGGATTTATACAAAAGACTCTAATGGTTCCAGAGTATCCCACAACAGCCAACACACCGAAATGCACATACAATGAGTCATCCGACAAGCTCTCACTGAGCACTCAGCTTCATTTAGGTAAATATCTTTATAAGGATTTCTGAAAGATGAATTGGCGCTTAAGAAAGACCTTTATCTGGTTTCTCTGAAGGCATGTGATATCAGAAACATGTGCATGGCTGCACATGGGCACACACACACTCACACACATATTTTCCCTTGTTTTTCTACAATGTTAAATACATGCAAGAAAAAGTATTTTAAGTATTTTATTTTCTATCATGAAATTTTTGATGAATGAATGATGCTAGAGTTAAAATCTCAGGTCTCCATGCAAATGTTCCTTTTGGATATTTATGAGAACCTGGGCTCGAGATGAGTATTCCGTGCACCAGTCCTGGCCCCCCAAACCGCCTAACAACATATATCACAACCTCAACGTTATTTAAATGTAGGTTTTGTTGGGGAATTAGAAATCCATTTAAAGCAAACAGCTCATTATCACAGAGTATTTTTTTTAAGATTAAACTTACTTATTATCTAATAGCACCTAAAACAACAAAGAAAAATAAAATGGCTATTAAACTAAAGGCCTAAACAATTCAAAAAACAAATTAAGCTTAGAGTGAAATAAGAACTGGGTTAGAAATCCTCTTCTGAACAGTTAGTATGCGAATGTAATTACTGAAGAAACTACAGCTAATCAGCTGTGAATTGTATCCATTAATTAGTATTTGCCCTGGAGAAATGAGAAAAATCAGTAACAACACTGGCACCGCAGTGCACACTGATGAGCAGAGCAGGCCACGCAGCGTTTAGTCAAGCAGGTGGCTCCAGTGGTCCAGGTAATTTGAAACGCTCTTACCTGAAGTACTGAGCTAGCATTACAAAGCACTCCTTGCATATCTTTTGTATCTATAGAAGGCCTTAATTAATGGCTTTTAATTTGGAAACACTTGCTGATCAGGCGGGAACAGTTATAAATCACTTCAAATAGAACTAAAGGTTTCTATTCTGTATTGGGTAAAACAGCCCCTCTACAAAGGGGGCTTTAAATATTGACTTGTTGCAGGCAATTGTCTTTCTCCTGCATAGGTACCTGGGACCCTAGTTCAGTGTGGCAAGGTAGTTAGATAATATACAGGACACCCAGTTAAATTTATTGAATAAACAGCAAATTTGCTTTAGTATAAGTATATCCCATGCACTATTTGGGGTATACTTATAATAAAAGAACTATTCTTTATTTATCTGAGATTCAAATTTAACTGGGTGCTGTGTATTTTTATTTGGTAAATCTGGCTACCCTACCATGGTGGTTAAACTAATCAGAATGAAAGGGTGGTATTTTCATTTGATTACCTTACCTAGTAATGCTAGCTTGATCTTATTTGTTTTATTTTAAAATGTGACCTATGAATCCTGCTTTAGTCATTTGGTGTAAGAACAGATCTGATTCTGAGAGAAAAAGTGCTCCTTTGGGGCAGGTCTCTAATATAATGACCTCAGAACAATTAACTTTAAGTGAATTGTGTACAATTAAATTTACTTTATGTTCTAAGAGGCAGTGACATCAGTAAACACATTATAGTACAAAACCCCATAGGTCCATGGGGAAGGGGCCTTAACTGTGTTCACTGACATCTCTCCCAGAACTAACAATGTCTGGAATATTATAAGCACTCTAGTATTTGTTGAAGGGAGAGAGGGAGAAAGGTTGATCACACATAAACTTCAATGCCTCCTAATCGCCCATCCTAACTGGAGTCATTTTCACTTACTTTTTAAAAGATGATAGGAATAAGTATTTAGCCCAGTGACACCCTCTACATACTTTATTTCATTTAGTTTTCCAAACTGGGACTAATCATAATCTATTTTCCCAACACCCAGTAAGATAATTATCATCCCTATTTTATGGATCAGTAGACTGAGGCTTCTAGGGCTCAAGTAACTTGCCGAAGGTTATAGATTCAACCACGGAAGTCTAGCCTCCTCCCTACCTCATGATCTCTATCATTTACATTCCGGTATCTGCAAAAGCTTGAGTATTTCACTCAGTGATCAATTCAGTTTTACTTTTTTATCTATTTTACTCAAAGTTAGAATTTCCCAGAGGTACTCAAGTCTAGTAAAATGCTCCTCAAGAAATGGTTCCATGGTCCAGTAAGGTTGGGAAAGGCTGACTTCCCTTTGATGAGTCACGATGCTCGCTATAAAGTTAAAGGCTCTGAGAAGGCCCACAGTTCCTTCATCCAACAAATATTTATGTGCCTATTATGTACAAGGGGCTGTGCTAGGCACTGGAGGCAATATTATGGAAAAGATGACGAATTTTCTACTTGGATGAAGCTTACATTTTTCTTAAAGGGGGAGACAGGAAACAAACAAACAACATGCTGTGGATCACTTGCTTCTGTTTCCCCTGCAATACCCTGTGAAATCACAGTTTGGGAAGGCTTGTTCTAAGCCCTTTATTGACAATATTATTTTATTTTCCCTGAATCTTTCTTAGGAAAGCTAATATCCTAATTTTACACCATGGTAAAATGTATTTGTTTTATTAATATGAATCAACTAAATAAGAATTTTTAATTATTCATTCTAAGTCACCTTAACTTGGTCTATTTCTAAACTTTCTAGATTATAACCCTCCACTGATGTCCCCTCAAAGATCCCCTACTCAACCATATATGGGGCCTTCTATGCAATTTCAAGAGTCAAGACAAAATATTCCAAATAAACTAAATGAATATCAGGTAAAGTAGTTAATTGTTCTAAAGGTCATATACAAACATTATTAAAGAAATCAGGCAATTCCAACTGTTTTAAAGACACATAAATGGTCACTGGGAATCAGGGGTATTTGGCATTTATGAGGCACACTGGTGGTAATAGGTCCTTTTCCATGCTGATAGGCTCTAATAGATGTGATCCCCAAAGATAGAGTCCCCAAAGATATCATTATAAAGCAGAACTAAATTACTCTGCATTGAACTTCTGTATCTTAATAATTTCAAAAAGAACATCCTCATTGTACTTGGAGGTAGATTTGCTTTTGCTGCTTGATGAGTAATTATAGCTTGGGCAAATACAATTTGTGAAGGATGTCAATTAAAAAGGAGCACCGCAGGATTTTTTAGAAATTTATTAAGGACCATCGTGTCTGTGGCCTATTTGACCATGTGAAGTGCCAAAGTAAATTAATGTGGATTGTTAAGTCTAGCTAGTCCAGCAAAGCGGCCGGAAGAAAGTGGAACAGCCCAGACAAAAACCCATCTGTAATCACAAGACGAATACTTCAGCTTGATGCGTCCACACAACATCATTTTCACTGAAATTATTTTGACACCCATGTGAAGAATTGTATAGGCTTCTAATAAAGCAGCATTAACTACAGGGTCTCAAACAGCTAAATGGCACAAACTTAATCCTAAAAAAAAAAAAGATAATCCTTCGAATTCTCTTTTCTTTTTCCCCCATTAGATTTATTAGCAGACACCATCCAACTTGATGCCTCACTATGGACATCTGTCAAGTCACTTACACAAATGAACTGTGCCATGATGGATCAAGTGTGCCACGCACGGTCACATGCTGGCAGAGGCCGGACTGCAAAGTCCACACGCACGTGAAGGCTCGGTTAACTACCCCCTGGAAGAGAACTTAGGAGAGATCATCAAGGTTCAACCATTTTCAGCATTAGTAATCTGTTTCAAGACACAAAGCCCAAAGGAGTGAAAACAAGCCAATATGGCGGATGATGATGAATACTGATGATTATCGTGGATGGGTCTGGAGCACCACATTAGAAGGCAAAGCATGACTTTGTGACTAAAGACCATCTACACCAAAGGTTGGAGGTTCAACAATACTTTAGAAACAAAACATTGCAAACAACAGGCTATGAGGTATAATATAGGAATCTATATATAATCATATATAGTTATGTATACACACAAGCATATATGCACACAATTCTGCTAATTATGTACATACAATTATATAGATTTACACGCACATACATATAATCACACACACACACGTCCACATGCTAAAACTCCTAGATGAGGATCCCCTGAGCACCACACTCGTACATCCAACGGTCTACAGCCCTTCCAATTGGATGTCAGTAAACATCTTAGACCTATGTCCAAAACTGAATTCCTCATCTTCTCCTCAAAGCCTGCTCCACCCACAGTCTTTGATGGGGAAATGACTCACTTTTGGTGACTCCGGCCAAATATCATTCTTAAATCCTCTCTCTCTGTCTCCCTTCCTTCATCCAATCATCAGGAGATTCTGTTGGCTTATCTTTCCAACTGTACCCAAAATGGACCATGTGTGCCTGCCTTTTGGGATCCACCCAGGCCGAAGCCATCCATTTCCTCCTGGACCTCTGCAACTACCTTCCCAGCAAGTCCCTCTGGTTCTACCATACTTCCCAACAGACTATCCTCAACACAGAGACAAAGAGGCCTTTCGAAAATCTAAGTTTAGCCTGGGCAACATAGTGAGACCCCATCTCTACTAAAAAAAAAATTATAGGCATGTTGGCACATGCCTGTAGTTTCAGCTACACAGGAGGCTGAGATGGGAGGATTGCTTGAGCCCAGGAGTTTGAGGCTGCAATAAGCTATGACTCTGCCACTGCACTCTAGCCAGGGTGACAAAGTGAGACCCTGTCTCAAAAAAAAAAAGAAGAAAGAGGAAAGAAAGAAAATGAAGGAAAGGAAGAAAGAAGGGAGGGAGAGAGGGACAGAGGAAAAGAAAGAGAAAGTAAGAGACGGAGGGAAGGAAGAAAAGAACTAAGGAAGGAGGGAAGGAAGGGAGGGAGGCAGTAAATCTAACTCAGACCATGTCACTCTTCTGCTCAAAACTCTCCAATGGCTTCCGATTCATTCAAGGGAGATGCCCAATCCTTACAATTGCCCCATTTCTTCTTACCTTTTGGCCATCGTCCTTCCCCTTTCTCACACTCCTCTAGCCTACTGGCTTCCTATTGTTCCTTCACCACCCCAGACATGTTCCCACCCCAGGGCCTTTGCACTGGCTGTTTCTTCTGTCTGGACTATTGTCCCTGTAAATGTTCCCAGGGTTCGTTCACTCCCTGCCTTTGGAGTCTTTTCTCAGATGTCACCTTCTCTCTGACTACCCTCCTCCACCTCCAACACTCTCTATCCCTCTTCCCCAAGTCTACTTTTTCCATGAATAGTTTTCAACATCCAACAATATCATTACTGCCTTTCTCCTCCCACTAGAATATAAATTCAATAAAGATAAGAATGTTTTGTCTGCCTTTTACACTGATGTCCCAGTAAGAAGAAGAGTGTTTGGTAAATAGTAGGTGTTCAATAGGCACAAATGAATTTCTGGGTGCAAAATAATGATACTCAGAACTGCTGTCCAAGCCCATCCAGACACAGAACTTGAAATCCAAGTGAAAATAAGATGTCCAGCAGCCAACACCACTAGTCACTCCCCAAACTACATCTATGGGAAAAATATGGTAACATTAAGGCTTCTGTGTTATAATAAAGTCCCATTTTGAACCCCAGAACTATCTACCTAGAAAAAGGCTTTATTCTAGAAAATGCACTAACCTTTTTATAGAGCCCTAGGTGGATGGGGGTTGGGTGCTAGGGATAGGTGCCTTCCGTGGCTGAGCACAAACTGCAATGAACAACACAGATTCTAGCCTGCAGGCAAAATGCTGAGAGAAGAGAGAACCAACAGCATAAAGTCAATGGGGGCAAGGATTCAAGTGTTAGATTTGACAGCTAATTTTTTTTTCTAATTTAAAATTTCCTCTTCTAAAAAAACTGCTTTATATTATAGGTCAGGGTTTCTCCAAGTGTTGTGCTAAGGACTGCAGAACAACCAGATGGCTGTTAAAAATGCGCATTACCCGCTCCCCACTCTGGATTTACTGTAGCAGAATCTCTAGGCGGTGGGACCCTAATACATGTATTTTTAACCAGCTTTGAAGGAACTCCAAAGCACTCTAATATTTGAGAACGACTAGCCTAGTTCATTTTAGACTAATATGGAAATTCCTTTTTTTAAAATAAACATTTCTACACATCTCACAGAAATGCTGATAGAGCACAGGCTGTTTTGTTGATAGCAATGAAGGCTTGGCACGCATATTTACAATCTCCTCTCACTTTCCTGGATGATAGGGACATGCAACCATTTGTGAAGTGACCATCCAGCCCCTTCTACCCATATCACCAGGAGAAAGGATGGGAACATCCAAACTTGGATCAAGCAGGAACACAAGTTCCATTGTTGGATTCTTCAACAAGTTCTGTGGACCCACACAAGTAACAACAATGCCTAAACATATGGACTCTGCTCAAACACGGAGGCCTTGGGATTTTCATGATCTGGACACATTTGAGTCTGTGAATCGCATAACCATCTGGACTAGTTAAAAGTGGCAAAAAAGAAAAACACCCTCTCAAACCCAACTGCACTTGTTTAATATCAGGAAAACAAATATAAGTAGAAGTGGATACTAAGGTTCCAGAATTAAGGGGGCTTTTTTGTTTTGTTTTGGGAAGTTTTTTCTTGCTTTTTTTTTTAGCAAAAATGGGGCCATCTTTGAGATTGGCCAAGCAACCAATCATCACCAATATTCGGAGAACAGGAAGAGAAGGCCTCTGATCTCTGGTTCTCTTCGAATACACACCCACAAAAAAATCCAATGGTAACACATATGTTGTGAAGTGACTACATCTTTTGTGTTAATTCCAGTTTGTCTCCCTCCCTTCTGCCTGAAAGCCTTACCAACACTTAACTGAGTCCCTATTAAATGCTACTTAATAGGATATATTTAGTGGAATATATTATCTACTTCTCTGCAGATGCAGAGAAGTAGAAGATATGACTGTTGATTTTAAGGGGTGAAAACTCAGTTTGGGTGATGAGACAAAAAAATATATCAAGCTAAGGGCCAACTCAGTGACAAGTGGCTTGCAAATCTAGGAGGAGGAGTCAAAAAGGAATGGCCTTTCAGAGGAACAAGTCTTTTTTCAATATATAATTTCACCTTTTATTTTAGATTCAGGGAGTAGATGTACATGTTTGTTACATGGGTATATTGCATGATGCTGAGGTTTGGGATATGAATGATCCCATCATCTAGGTACTGAGTATAGTACCCAATAGTTAGGAACAAGTCTTTAACCAAGAAAGAAGGCAGACAGAGGGAGAGTCCCAGGCAAAAAGGAGGGAGTGAGTGAAGCTTCAGACCTACTTGTACACAGGCTGTGTTCAAAGAACAAAGCAGAGAGCAATTTGGCTACAGAAGAAAAGGAAGAAAGCTGGAGGAGATGGTAGAAAGCCAGGCTCTGGTGGGCCTTGAAGGCTAACCTAAATATTTTGAAATATATTAAATAAGAGTGTCCACAAAGGATTTTGTTAGAGGAAGGAGGCAGAGAGAGAGAGATGTAAAGCCCACACCCGAACTTATCAATAGTGTGAGATGCACAAGAGTAGTATTAAGAAAGGCTGGTGCCAAGGAGACCAGTGAAGAACACTTCAAGGCTGGCAGGAGGTTGAAAGTGTCTAGACCGGGCAGAGGCAACAGTAGGGAGAACAAAATTCAGAAAGCGCTTTACAGGAGTCAGACTAACTTTGAATTCCAATCCTAGCACCAAACTAGTTGTGGGATGGCAGGCAAGCTGTCTTACTTGCCTTAAGAACAAGTTCAGCTTCCAGCTGAACTACTTGCTAGGGGTCATTGTGTACAAGCTTGCTAGGGGTCATTGTGTACAAGCTGTTTACTCTCCATGTGTTTCAATTTTCCCATCAATAAAACAGGGATAAGAACAGTATTTGCCACATCACAGGGGTTTTGAGGATTAAATGGGTAAGTATTATAACGTCACCTTTTCTTTTTCAGAAATGTTTAATTTTTTTAAGAGACAGAGTCTTGCTCTGTTGCCCAGGATGGAGTGCAATGGTGCTACCATAGCTCACTGTGGCCTCAAACTCCTAGGCTCAAATGATCCTCCCACTTAAGTCTCCCAAGTCACTTGGATTACAGGAATGTGCCACCATGCCAGGCTTAAAGCCACCTTTTGTATCTATACTAATGGCCAGGTGACATTTCAATGAGTTTTGAAGAAACCAAAAGAGACCAAGCATATCTGTTTTACAAACTGCTATAGCTTATATGACAGTGCAAGAGAATTTTACTATTTAGAGAAATCCAATGGCTTCCCAAAGACACTTAGAGTAAAATTCAAACTCCTTGCCATGGGCTACAAGTCCCTATATCATCTGGGTGCTGGCTCCTTCTCCAAACTCCCTCCTAAGAGAGCAGCTGCCACCCACTAAGCTCCAGAAACACTGCACTGCCTGGTCCTCAGTTCTTTCTCTGGGCCACTCATTGCACTTGCTGTTCTTGCCTGGGCCACTCTCCCTTCTATCCCTACTTTACGCAGGTTTCTGCTCAATGTTCACTCCTCAGGGAGTCCTCCCAGGTCAGCTTAGCTAAAAGGACCTCCATGTGCCCTCCTTGTCTCTTGCCCATTCTCTTCCTTTATATCTCATCAGAGATACAAAGTCACTCATCACTGACTAATGTACTGGATTTATTTGTCCATTCACTATTTCTCTCCGTTCTAGAATAGACAGTCCATTTGTCTAGTTCAATGCTGTTTCCTTGGAAGAGTATCTGGCCCACAGGAGCTGCTCAGTATGTTTCTGTTGAATGCATAAGTGAATGAGTGAGCCAGAAACATCCAAATTCATAGCCCAGCTCTACCACTTACAAGCTGGGTATCATCAGGTAAGTTGCTTCATGTTACCTCTCTGAACTTCTGTTTCCTCACTTCTAAGGAGGAAAGCATAGAACTATATGGGACTGGGCTTTGCAAGAAGAAGGGAGACAACACAAACTCCCAAGAAAGGATGTCATACAGAGAGGCACTTGATAAATGTCAGAGTTGGAAGTGAGAAGCCTGGGAAGACAGAAGTTCAATGATCTGGGGAAAATGAATGGGTCATTGAAACATTCTGTATAACATTTATTAAGTGCCTACAATATAAAAGATACAATGGTAAATATTAGGCTAAAAATGTGAATAAGACCCAGTTTCTACCCAAGAACAGCTCTAATAGAAAAGACATATATGACTCCTCATGACAGGTACTACGTGGAGGAGGTATTTGAAGTACTCCCCCTTGAAAGTCAGCATAAGTTTTCAAACAAGAGGAGCCACTGGAGTGGGGTCTTGAAGGATGTGTAGGATCTCACCTGTAAGACAAAAGCACTTTGGTAGATAAAACTACTTGGGCAAAGGCCTACCTAATGTCATCAAAGTGAGCCTTGCATACCAAGAAATGAAGATGTATGCATTCTAGGCAGGAAGGACAGAGACAAGGCTGATATAGGAGCCTGCAAGTATACACTGTGCTTAGGGGAGGCTTAGCTTGAATATGCTTATGAATAAAAGGAGACTTGCGAATGTTTGCAGGTAGAGAAGAAACTAAGCACAAAGGAGAAGGAAGATCAGACCATGACAGCTGAAGATAAAATTTGAGGCATAATTTTCAGAAGGTAAGAATAATGTCTATTCTGCGTGTCTTCTCTTGTATTTGGCAAACTACTGGGCATCTCTTATAAAATGACAGCAACTTACAAAAGAGATGTGCTTAGTCTGTTATGGTTTTTGTGAGAATCACTGAAGTGACAGCTGAGAGAATCCATTAGTCCAGATGGAAAAGGTGGTTACTTTCTCTGATGTTGCTAGAATTGAAAAGACCCCTTCTCCATGGAAAGATATGACATGCAAGCTTCTATTACTAGCAGTATCCTCTCTTGGGTTTAGAAAGGGTTGTGACCTGTTATAAATCCCAATATCGCTGGGAGGAATAACAACTTAGCTCTCATCTGCCATGGGCACTTTAGTGTGAATTCGTTCATAATAAGCAGTTCTACTGATGCACACAGTGGGTATCATCTTCAAGGATGCTCAGAAAACAACTCTTTGGAAAAGGCTTCCTTGGCACCACCTTCCCCTCCCCTAGCTGGACTGGATTCTCCTCCTTTAAGCTCCAAGGCAACCTGTGCATTGCTCTAAACTGTGTTAAAATGATCCCATTTCAGTGTCTGTCTCCCTGCTACAGTCCTTGGGGGCAGAGGCAATGCCTCATTGGCCATTGCAACACCAGGGCCAGGCACACGATAGGTTCTCAATTGATAATGCAATGGCCTCAGGATCAACCCCAGGGAGGCTTGCACTTGGCAGCTTCAATGTGGTTAAAGACACTTGTTACTAAGCCATTTATTTTTCTGTGCACATGATGCAGCCCACATCAAATTCAGGTGAACCACTGTTATTATGGTTGCCAAAGTACTGTCAAGCCTTAAAACAAAATAGAAATAAAAAGTCATGTAAGATAAAATCTGAGTTATTTTCCTTGTACTGCCAGACTTCGTAGTTCTTGCTGCAATCCAATGAAGGACCTTAGAGACTTTCTGCTGAAAACAAACTTTCAGGCCTCTAATGACATGACATATTTACACTGGACACCCCGAGTAAGTCTCCTGGGCATCACTTCTTGCACAACCATATGAAACTTCAAATGTAAAAAAGGAACAACAAATTAAATAAAATGTTCCTCAGTATTTTTAAATGAAAACCTTTTAACGAATTACAAAACTCCCTTAGTTCAGTAACCAAACTTTCACTAACCAATAGTAAAAACATGTGCTCTCTAATTTCAATAAATCCCTTTAATTATGAGTTAGTGTGAATTCCACCAAAACATCAATGACTTCCTATACTATCTTCCATTCTTTGATTTCTAAAGTATAAAATATAATGCTCTTAAACCATAATCATGTTCAGGTGCCAAAAACTAATGTGCTAATGCACAGATGCAGATAAAGCCATAAACAGTTATAAACAGACAGGTATAAACATCAGTGATTCTCTGCCGGGGCAATTTTATTCCTCAGGGGACCTTTGATAATGTCTGAAGAGAGTTTTTTTTTTTTATTGTCATGACTTCTGGCATCCAGGGGATAAAGGCCAGGGTGTCACTAAACATCCTACAATTCACGGGGCGGCCTCCCACAACAAAGACCTGCCCTATCCAAAGCATCAACAGAGACTGAGAAACTCTGATATAGATCAATCCATACATTAAACATAAATTCGAGATGAGGTATTTTACAATAAATATTACAGAATCATTGCTTCTACACTATCCAAATACAATGTGTTGTTTCTTCAAGAGGGCATTGTGTTGCCTTTGGATATATCTATAAGATTACTGACTGCAATTAAAGATTCTCTTAAATGTGTTTCAAATATATATCAACTAGTAGGTTCTCAGCAATGAAGTTTTCCATTTATATAAACACCCAGTTGCTTTTTTTGTTCCTGCTGAGAATAAGCCAAGAAACAGAAATAGTTTAACGTGTTCTTTTAAGGCTAACATTTTTAAAAGATCAATAAACCTATAAATTCTTCCTTAAGTATTATAAGGGACTGAATGTGTTTATTTTCCAGTCTTAATCATATTTGATAAACCAAATACCTAAAGCCTACTTAACTCACAAATCATCAATGATAAGAAGTTCATAAGCATATATAACATATAATCACTTAAGCCAAACAAGATTACATCTGAGGTCTATTAATGTCTCTTAATTCACATTTATCATTGTTTAAGAGCAAGTCTAAGATAGCTGATAAGAAATTATGGGAATCTATGAAACCACTGGTACCAGTCTGGCTTTAGAAACATGTCAGGGCTAATGTTTTACTGCATAGTGGCAGAGAGCTTTTGCTCACACTGCAAGAATATCTTGATTACATACATTTTTCTGTGATTTTATGATTGCCGGAATTCTGTAGGGACAACTTTTTACCAGATGGGTGATCATATAGCTATCATTAGTTCTCTGTATTTTACCAGTTGTGTTTATCTAAAATCTTTTACTAGGAAAGAGCTCACATGAGACTCTAAATCCCACTTCCGACGAGGTCTTAGGGCAGGAAGGACAGAAATCACATTCCTCCCAACCAACTATTCCAAAATCTGTAACTTAAGATTTTATATCTTATATTTATTTTAAAAGAAGGGTTTTTGCTAAACCTATATTTTCATTAGTTTGAGTATGTGGCTAATGGTTTCTTAAACATAACCATAAAATAAAATCCCTTCAAAGTAGGGGTTGCTGGCTTTCATCTTGAAGACAAATAATGGAATTCAGTCAAGATGTAAATTTCAATCGGGCGTTCAGCTACAACTTATTTTAGCATTTTATATAAAATAACCATGAATTTAAGTATTCCTAAATAATGGAGGCATTTTATTCTTGGGATCCCAAACAGTCACTGCATACTAATACATTTAAGATTACCTTAACATTTCCTTACAAACATTTAAAAAGATGTGATTATACAGCAATTTGTAAGTAGCTCTTCTTAAATCATATATTAAATTTTACTCACTTCAGCAAAAATCAAATTCTAAAAGAGTGACTCAACTGTATTTAGGCAAATTATATCAAGTTGTAAATGCAAAAGTGACCAAAAGGGAGGAAAAACAGATGTAAAAGTTCTTAAAACAACCACAAAAGAATATCAGTTAGGGTGCATTTTAAGCTAAAGACACTACATATACTATCTAAATATTTATTAACCCTCTGAATATGCCACAGTTAAACATGCAGCATATTTGGAGAGAAAATTCTTGTTGAGAAGCTAAAAAAAGGGAGGGGGGACACACTACTTACCTTTAAAGTAAAATGTTAGCACCTTATTCACAGCAACTCTTATACGAAGTGTACATATTACCATACACACTGACTCCATTTATTCCTAACAAAAAAGAATTATTTTTCTCATCGCTACTAGTGGAAAAATATATATGGCACACAGGAAAAATTACTACACATTCCACAGTGCTGGTTAATAACTGAGGGGAATAGTAGAATCCATCTATAAAGCCAATCTATAAATTTCTTTGGCCATAATAAAAATAAGTTAGAGGTATGATTTTTTTTTAAGAACTGCAGCTGCCTTCATATCAAGATTAATATTGAAAATAAACCCCGTATAATAGGGCCCCTGGGATAAGTAACAGATTCCATGAGGGATGTCCATCTGGCACTAGCCATAAGCCACTCCCTTTTCCACTGTGCTAAATACTCCAGACCAAAAATATGCCCTCCCAAGAAAACCTCCCAGGAAAACCACGCCTTCAACAACGACGCACATCACCCACACTGTTTCACTTCCATGTTTTAATGACTTTAATAAGATTGTAAAGTGGTGACACTGAATATCTTAATGCACAACTGAAAATAAAAGGGTGCATATCAAAGGAAAGCTCTAGACACAAGGGATCAGAATTCCCCAAGGAAAAATAAACCCTCCAGAGAAAACAGAAAATACATTATATTAAGTCAAAGTTCTTGACTCTTGCATTGCCTAGAAGGGGAGAGCTGGGAAAACACCACGGGCGTAACTCATTCCAGCACTGTACAGTTATAATCTCCCTTCGTGTGCCTTTGTGAAATGAGCTGAGATGAAACCTACATGTTGCCTACCCATTCACCGTTGGGTAAAATGGTAAAGTTGCTTCCTCTATTAGACAGGGCAGTTTGGTTTTTTTTTTTTTTTTTTTTTTGAGACAGAGTCTTGCTCTGTCGCCCAGGCTGGAGTGCAGTGGCGCGATCACGGCTCACTTCAACCTCTGCCTCCTGGGTTCAAGTCATTCTCCTGCCTCAGCCTCCCGAGTAGCTTGGATTACAGGTGCCTGCCACCACACCCGGCTAATTTTTGTATTTTTATTAGAGACAGGGTTTCACCATGTTGGTCAGGCTGGTCTCAAACTCCTGACCTCAGTGATCCTCCCACCTCAGCCTCCCGAAGTGCTGGGATTACAGGCATGAGAGGAGCCACAGGGCAGTATTTTTAATACAAGAAAAGTAACCTTAACAAAGAAATATTTAATTCCTAGTGGTAGAACCTGAAGTTAGCACTTAATGTGGTTAACTGGAACTATATACAATGTTGCTTTGTAAAAAATACTAACCAAGGAATCCTCATACTAGCCTTGAGAAATTGGAATGATGGAATATCTAGATAATAACATGGGGTTACATAAACTGGCAGTAGTTACTGAAGCAGAAAACATTTTTGACCCTAAACAAAATGTAATATATTTTAAAAGGAGCCTAAAGTTCATCATACCTTATGGACTCCAATACTTTAGGGAAATTTCTTTAAACAAAGTCTTTCCAAGAGTTTTCATTCATCAAAGATAAATATTCTAGAAAGGTTTTGTGTCTCAAATTTGTCAATTTAATTTTAAACAATTCTGAAGCAGTTTGAATGACAAAGGAAAATAGTCATGGTATAACAGAAAAACATGATTCAAAACCATATCCAGTTTGACAGAATTCTTTTATTCTTTTGCTTTTCTATGCTTTCCAGGTGTTTTAACATTAGGACCTACTAGTTCTGCAATCAGAAAAAAAGTATATATTTATTTATAATGAAACTGCTCAAGAAGGATTTCATTAATCTCCATCGGCATGAAGCATGTAAATAAACATAAATTCTGAAAATAACAAACAGCAATAATCAAGTTTTACTGTTGATTCATTTACTCATTCTTACAACAAATATATTCTGATTAACTCCTATGTGCCAGAAAGTTTGCTAAGGTAGTGAAAAAACATTAGAAAAAAAAAATCTATGCCTTCATGGAGCATCTAGCCCAGTGCAGAGAAATAAGATAACAGTCAAATAACTACAGATATAAGTGAAAAAATGAATGAATGTGAGACTTCTCCTGTGAATTATGCCATGAAGGATACAGCTATTGATGGGAATGGAAATTAGTTCAATCTCTATGAAAAACAGTATGGAGGTTTCTCAAAGAACTAAAAATAGAGCTACCATTCAACCCAGCAATCCCAGAACTGGGTATCTACCCAAAGAAAAAGAAATCATGACATAAAAATGACATCTATACTTGTTATGTTCATTGCAGCACTATTCACAATAGCAAAGTCATGGAACCAACCTAAGTACATATAAGCAGCTAACTGGATAAAGAAAATGTCAGATAAATATATATATATATATACACACACACAAACACACACATATATACATGTATGTGTGTGTATATATATACACATGTATGTATATATGTGTGTGTATACATATGTGTGTATATGTGTGTGTATATATACATGTATGTATATATGCGTGTGTATATGTAGTGTGTGTGTATATGTGTGTGTGTATATACATGTGTGTGTGTGTATGTGTGTGTGTATATATATATATATATATATATATACATATCTCCCATGGAATACTATGGAGTCATAAAAAAAGAATGAAATCATGTTCTTTGCAGCAACATAGATAGAGCTGGAGGCCATTATCCTAAGTAAACTTAACTCAGAAACAGAAAACCAAATACCACATATTGTCACTTAAAAGTGAGAGCTAAATAATGGGTACACATGGACATAAAAAATGGAAATGGCAGACACTGGGGACTCCAAAAGGACGTTGGGGGGTGATGAAGGTTGCAGAATTACCTATCAGGTACAATGTTCACTATTTGGGTAACAGGTACATTAGAAGACCAACCCGACCAGTTGGGTTGCAATATACCCATGAATATACCCATGTAACAAACATGCACATGTACCCCCTGAATCTAAAATAAAATAAAATTAACAAAAAAGGAAGCATATAGATGGAGAATAAATAAGAGTGAGCACTGGCAGATCAGTTAGGAAAATTGTGCCTCAGACCAGATGAGAGATGATGAGAGCATGACCCCAGATGGTAATGGAGAGAAGAGAGCAAAGATGGGGAAAGTTGAGTCATGGATGGATCCCAGGAACTTCCTTTGGAGTGTTTTCCCTGGACTTGATGATGAATTGAGAGGGGTGAGGGAGAAGAGCCATCAAGGAAGCTTCTAGGTTTGGGGCTGGCATAACTGGATATGTGGCAATGCCATTCATCAACACAGGGGAAGCTGAACAGAATCAGTCTTCCAGCAGTGGGCCAAAGCACGGGTGCATTTTAAACATTGTTGGGGTTGAGGTGCCAAGAGATGTCTGTCATTTACCAGAAAAGTCTGGAATACAGTGACCTTTTCATGTGAGACTCTTTGTGAGACACATGGGTGCTGGTGTTCAATGAATGAGGCCCCCCGTAGTGAGACTGGGAAGGGAGAACATCCCAAGGGAGATGAGAAGAGGCCTAGAGGAGAACCCTGAAGAACACCAGTGTCTGATGACCAAGACACGGATCCCAAAAAGGAGCCTGAGAAAGGGCAGCAAGGGATGTGGAAGGGAAGCCTAGCAAGGGTGGGATCCCTGACATCAAGAGAAGACTTCACTAAAGAGAAAGTGATTAATAATGTTGAATGCTGCAAAAGCTTGAAGTACAATGAGGCTGAAATAGATCTGTTGGGTTCAATGACATCAAAGACACTTTGGTATTTATCAAAAGCACAGAGAAGAAGTATAAGGGAGGGATGGCACCAGCTGCCCTCCAGGAGTTGTGAAAACAGGACGAACATGCATGTACCTACACAGAACCATATCAAAAAAAATTCAAATACTCAACTCCAGTTTTGGTGGGAGAATGGAAAAGTGGCTGAGAGTAAGAGGGCCTGCTATGGCCAAGGAAGAATTATAGATATAAAGAAATTGTGGGCTGGGTGCAGTGCCTCATGCCTGTAATCCCAGCACTTTGGGAGACCTAGGCAGGAGAATCAGCTGAGCCCTGGAGTTCGAGACCAGCCTGGGCAACATATTGAGACCCCTGTCTTTACAAAAAATGTATTTTAAATTAGCAGAGTGTGGTAGTGCGCGCCTGTAGTCCCAGCTACTCTGGAGGCTGAGACGGGGGTATCACTTGAGCCCTGGAAGTTGAGAGTGTATTAAGATATGATTGTACCACTGCACTCCAGCCTGAGCAACAAAGCGAGCCTCTACATCTTTAATTAATTAATTAATTTTTAAAAGAAAAAAAGTGGTGACCATCCACCATATGATCTTGCTTTGTTCTAAGGGGAAAAATAATAAGCATTATGCCCCTAGCATATAAATTATCCCTGTGTAGATAAAGAGTCCAAAATGGTACATAAATGGAAATCCTTGGAACAAATGGACAAAAACTATTTTCTTATAATAAAGCAGAAGATGCATCTTTTGGGATTAGTGAGAAGGCCTTGTTCACCATGGGATGACAACAGTTGTACAACTCGAAAACTGTTGGCTTCTGGTAGTGACCATGCATGGCGCCAAGCTCACCCCCTAATCCCACAATCCTCTCCATAACAACCACCAGAGCAGCTGAGTCAGATGGAAAAAAAAAAAAGAAAGAGAAAAAGAAAAAGACATCCCTTCATCATGAATGGTGGCAAAATGAAGAAAAATAAGCTTCCTCAATACCCTTTCACTACTAGGGAGTGTCATATATCAGAAAGTAATGTAGATTGCTTTCACTTCAAGAACTAACAGCTCTAAAGGAGGGTCAGTTCAAAACTAAACACACATGTATTGCTCGAGAAACACTTCCATCCCCAATTTTATATACCCACGTCATTTAAGTAGGGGAAAGTATCTGAATGTGTTCATAAGAAAGTGACATCTACTAAAAGAAACAGGATTAAAGGATTGTTTTTGTCTCTAGGACAACAAAATGTATAAGCCCCAAACTACTGTTGTCCTGTATCTTTTCAATAAGGTCTTAAAAACAAGAGAATCAGATGAGGGTTTGCAGTTAAAGTTAATACATGAAATATTAACTGGGAATTTAAAGAAATTTCTGACAAAACTTGAAACCATTGTTCAACATAATTTGGTTTTGATAAATGTTGATGTTGGGACCCTTTGAAACTGACAGTTGTGTCTGTGGAGCAATGTGAATTTAAGTCTGTGATTTTTGGAATCAAATATTTAATGACTAAGAGGGAAAAGCAAATTTTCCCCCACAATTCTGATATGTCTAAAAAAATGAAACTGACCCATATTGAATCCTTTCCCCTTTCATCTGAGGTCCTATCAGTTATCTTAAGTAAGCCAAAGGGAAACTTCCAAGTGCCAAAACTTGACAATGAGTAACTAACTCACTGTGCTTTCTGCATATGGATGTCTCTGCCTATGTATCCTGGTATGTATATTTTATTTCTTGACCACATTCCATATTTTCCCAACTTCAGGCTTTCTCTTCCATTGGAAACTCTTCTTGCCACCTCCATTCCAAAACACCCTGCCCCTAGCCAGTGGCCCCCTGCTGAAATTCCATGCTTTCATCAGTGTCCCGTGTAAACCACCTCACCTACTGCAGGAACTTTGCTCAGCTCAAGCTACCAGATTTACTGACCTCCTTCTCTGGAATGTCCAGAGCTCTTCCTTTCTATCTCTTTTTATGACACAGCTTGTGTTGATAATGGTTAATTCTTCCTCTGCTCCATCCCACCACCCCCATGCCCACTACAGTGGAAGCTTCTAAGGGCAATGACCATCTTGTTGCCATGACTTTTCTGCAATTCTAATGCTTTATCCATAGAAAAGACACAAGAAGTGTTTGGATGCAATTTTTTCTTCTTGCACAAACTTTCTTTTTAGTGGAAGAGGCAATACCAAGTATAGAGAAGGAAAACAAAAGTTAAAAAAGTAAAGCAGACTCAAGAAAAAGACTCAAATCTTGGCATTATATTTACTTGGGTTCTAGGAAGTAGACCAAAAAAATTGTCCTCAAATCTATGATTGACTCATTTATTCAACAAATGTGTACTGAGCTCTCATTATGGAATAGATATACACACAGAGAGAGACATACAGATACACACACGATTAATATACCTTGGAGACATAAGCATCAAAAATGTCTCTCTCCCAATAGGCATGAGCTTTTTTATTGTTAGGTTTCTGACTCAGCAGAGCCTCTCCAAGCACTCAGCACCTGTAACTTTTCCTATCCCATTTCCCCACAGCAGCTCTGCCAAGCTTTCAGCACCAAACCTCACCCACTTGTCAACTAATGGACTTTGTCCCTCAATGGGTAAACAGAGGCCATGAGGTATGCAGTTCTTTTGCAACTATCACCCCAAACCAGAACTTCAAATCATCCCTTTTTTTTCCTTTGCCCAGCAAAACATATTCTTCCATCTGTGTTCTGAATCCCACTCCACCATGGTTTGGTTTGGCTCTGTCAATTTACCTCTCATTTGATTCTTCATCTTTTCCCACTCCACTGTTTCTTCCTAGCAAAATGTTCCAGTCCCATTCACCCTTAGAGTTAGGGGAGCAAACACTGCTGAGCCCCTCTCAAATTAATCTTGTACCTCCCTCCCCTAAACCCACTAACTATGTGTCCATCTCCACATTGTGATCTGTCCCCCTTCACCTTTAAGCCTCCTACAATTTGTCTTCCTCTATTTAATGCGCTGTGATCATTAAGTCTACTGTGGACTTCTAATCTCCAAAGCCCATGGACATGTCCCCCGTAGTATCTAGGTCTCAAATGATTACTTTTTCTCCTCTGACATTTTCAGCTATCACCCTCTGGAAAGAGTTATTTTCATTTGGAAACAGTCACTCTAAGCCAGTGGTCTTATCCCCTGGAAAGGTTCTCAGCTTCTTCTTAACACATCCTCTAACAATTCATCATGTCCCAATGCATCAACCACGAACACTCTCCAGTTTGAATATCTTTCACTATACTGAGTTGCAAATTTCTTACTCCTTCTGAATATTGCCTTGGATGACTTACTACCAACTTATATTCAACAAATCAAATACAGAGCTTATCTTTACCAATCTCAGATATGCTCCCACCCAGAAATCAATCACTCTATTAAATTTCCTTTCCAAAGCCACGACCTTTGATTCTCTCTTATCCTCCACATGTGGTCATTCAACTACACCAACCACACCAACATCTTTCACATCACTGCATATCTTTCTAATGGTACCAGCAATCCTAACCAATCTTCAGATGCCAATTTCCTCCCTTCAAACCCATCCTCCACACTGCACCTGGAGTTACCCTTTGATATGGTTTGGATTTGTGTCCCTGCCCAAATCTCACGTTGAATTGATGACAGGTGTAAGCTACCGCGCCCAGCATATGATGTGATTTTTTAACGCAGTATGCCAAGGTAGGAGGTGACTGGATCATGGGGGAAGATTTCCCGCTTGCTGTTCTCATGATAGTGAGTGAGTTCTCAGGAAATCTGATGGTGTAAAAGTGTGTGGCACTTCCCCCTTCACTCTCTCCCTCTCTCCTGCCACTATGTGAAGAAGGTCCTTGCTTCCCTTCCGCCTTCTGCCATGATTGTAAGTTTCCTGAGGCCTCCCAGTCATGCTTCCTGTTAAGCCTGTGGAACTGTGAGTCAATTAAACCTCTTTTCTTCATAAATTACCCAGCCTCATGTAGTTCTTTATAGCAGTGTGAGAATGGACTAATACATCTTTATTTCCATTTGTCATTTATATTGCATTGTTTAAAATAATGGAAAATACTGGAAAGCCTGAGGACTAACACAAAAGGCATTTCTCACCCCACTCTCAAGATGAACACTTCACAAGGGGGAACCAAAAAGTATATTTAGTATATTTTTTAAATTGAAAAGTATTCTGTAATCATTTTCTTCACTGAGACCTTCCTTCTAGGATGTAATTTTTTTTTTTTTTTTTTTTTAATACAGGGTCTTGCTCTGTCACCCAGGCTGGAGTGCAGTGGCATGAACATGGCTTACTGCAGCCTTAGCTTCCTGGACTCAACCAATCCTCCCACCTCAGCCTCCTGAGTAGCTGGGACTACAGGTGCACACCATCACACCCAGCTAATTTTTTATTTTTTGTAGAGACAAGGTTTCTCTATGTTGCCCAGGCTGGTCTCAAACTTCTGGGCTCAAGCGATCCACCCACCTCAGCCTCCCAAAATGCCAGGATGACAGTTGTAAGCTACCACACCTGGCCTAAGATGTGATTTTTAACACAGTATGCCAAGGCATGGCTAAAGCGTAATTTACCTAATTGGTTTTCAATAGGGTTAGTCTTCCAATATGGAAGTCTGATCATACATGTCACTGTCAGGGTTAAAATACTTCCACAGTTACCCACAGCCTAATTAAAACTCTTTTCCTCATTGAAGGAAAAAGCCATTTACAAATCAACATCACTTTGTTTATATAGCCTCATTCCCTTCTATTCCTTCTGCTCCTCTCCTCCATTGCCAACCTCATCACCTCTACTCTCATAATCCTTCTCTTCTTCTTGGTTCTTCCAGTCCCTTTCATAGAAGGATCCTTTTCTGTTAACATCCAATGGGGTGAGCTCTTCTTCCTCCTGCCCCTACACTGAAGCCCTTTCACACTGGACTATGATTGGTTTCTTTGTCTTTCTTCCTAATTAAGCTGTGAGCGCCCCCAGTAGACATGTAATCTTACCACACAGCTGAAGACTCACAGCAGCTCCTCAAATCTGTGTTAAATAAATGGGAGTAATGTTTTATTTCATTTAGATTTGTCAGCAGAAAAGGACTTATTGTGTAATATTTCTAACAAGAGCTCACATGTATTGAGTGCTAAGTATGTGCTGGTATGTATAACCTTGTTTGATCATCAGAGTTGCAATTTTACATGTCTTTGGGTAATTATTGGACTGATCTGCTTGTCCTACCCATGGACTGGAAATGTCACAAAGGAATTACATCTCTTTTTGCTCCCTCTTTTGTTCTCAGTATTGGATACACTATGTGGAACACTGTTGATGCTAAATATGTATTTTCTGCATAGATGAAGAAATGACCCCCTGAGGTCATTCACAGTGTTATCTCCATCCTTAGAGAGGGGAACTGAAGCAGAATTCCTTTGGTTGGGTTTCACATCAAAGATGAGAAGATGACACGCCAGTATGTTTCAATATTCCGTTCTAATTTTTCTGATGGTTTCTTGCCTCTCATGAAAGAAAGTACCACGGCCACAGATGAAGCTGCGCTCGGGGCTACACACCACATTGCCAGGAGCAGTAGGAAGCATTGAGCTTTTGCAGGACTCCAATCTGAACAGCTTTACTAGGCCCCTTGACACAACAAAGGCTGACTCTGAAGCATTCCTCTTCAGTTGTTCCTGTCTTTGTAAGTGAAATCTATTTCTCAAAATGGGTCTGTACAATGAATTCTAACATCATAATTACTTTGTCAATATTTGGGAAACTTTTTAATAGTGCTGTGTTATTGGTCATTTTTCAAACTAATATATATATTTATATTATATATTATATATATTTATATTATATATTATACAATATAAATATATAATGGTTGAGAGGGAGGAAAAGATCATCTATAAATCTCTATTTCAGTATAATGAAATTTGGATATTACATTTTCTTCCATTTATTCTCACTAGAATTTACTCTCACCTCCATCCCATCATCAACAATTATCAAATATTATCATCATGAATATTATATATATATTAGTTTGAAAAATGACCAATATTTATATATTATATGATGACCAATTTATATATATAATATATGATATATATATAATATTATATATTAGTTTGAAAAATGACCAATAACACAACACTATATTAGTTGTATATAAATATATATATATATATATATATATATATATTCCTTAATTTTTTCCTTTCAGGTAGAATGTTCATGAGAAACTAAATTTTCATATACTGAATCTGAGACCTAAGACAGATGGCCAATCAAAATTAAGTTACTCTTCATTTTCCCAGCTGAGTTAGGGCTCCACATGTTACCAGGTGTTATCAGATATGACAAGAAAAGAAAAAAAAGACCCTATCTTTGCTTCTAATTTGCAGGATGATGAAAAGCCCCTTCCTTTTTTTCCTCACCAGTAGATTCTTTCAACTCCCAATTGTGTTTTCATGAGAGGCACAAGGTAGATCAGAAAACCCAACTGCAAAAAAAAAAAAAAAGTTCACTCCAGCTTTCGTTCTGAGAACAGTCAGATCAAAAGACTTTTTCTGAAGGCAAAACAGGTGGGTTTTTCCCTTTATACTTACAAGTGAAACAAACATGTACTTTGTACTTTCACTGAACACAGAGCAAGTGGACAGAACCAAGCTTCCCTGTGCTTAGTCAATATTCATACCTGCAAAAGACTATACAGTCCTACAAAAGAAATAGGCACCTGGAATCGGTGACTTATAACTGGGGCAACGGGAACAGGATCTCAATAGCAGTATTTCAAGGAACTTTCACAGAATAAGGTGCAAGTGAGAAAGACATGTAAGGTAACACTGAGAACTCTTTCACCTTGGACACGCATATACCTATATGCATAGCCACACCTACACACACATCGTATAACCACATACATATCAGCCCTCTTCCTCTCAGAATCCAGCTCTTTGGGAAAGTGAGAGTGCAATTTTTAATCGAGTTCAGCGTATCCATAAATTGGACCATAAAATGAAAGTGGCAATGGTGAATTCCCAGGAGAGGTTAAAAAATAAATGTATATATAAACTACAAGGTGATGCAAAGCAATAAGGTACATTTTATGCCAAATATCATCTGAAGAGAATTACTTACTGGCAAGAATAAAGGGAGAAGATTGCTTATAAATATTGGACAAACCTAAATATTCTCGTTTGTTCTCCCTAGCCCCTTTTTTCTCACCAGAAAATGTCCTCCATATCTTCTTATTTTTATCCTACTCCATCACAGAATCATCTTAAAAACACCGCCTAGTTTAAAGAACAAGGCTTCTCATCTAAACAGTCTTTGCTTCCACCTCTTGAAATCCCACCTTTCCTACAAAGTCTCCCTTTTCATTTGGAGGAAAGGTGGTAATTATTTCCCAAACTCCTACCCATTTAAGCACATAATTACCCAGACAGTTCTTCAGTCACTGCCACACTCCTTATATTCAATGTCAATACTTCAGATGCTTTTCCACTGTTGATAATTCTCCCTGTGGGCACATGCTCTTTAAACATTTATCTTCACCAATATTGAAAGGCTTGAATTTCATATCTTAGGAGAACAGATATTTTCTGACTGATAATCCAAAACTCCCCTATAACCCTTTCACCCACAACTGTAATAATAATTTTATTATCTCTTCTTCCAACTCCCCAAAGAATCTTCTAATACTGACAAACAAATCTGCTTGTCATATGTGGCAGCTAGGCTAATTATTTTCTAAGAGTCATGCTCCTCTTACCATCATAAATCATTATGGGCTGTTTCCAACTCCCTTGCATTTTGATGCGGGTTGGGGGGCAGGCAATTTAGCTCTTACTAGTGCAATGTGAGCAGAAGGATGTGTCTCACTTTGGGGCCAAAGCAGCTGAGCAGGTGTGGCTTCTCCACCTTCTCTATGTCCCGTTCCACCCCAACTGGGTGTTAAAACCTAAAACAAGATGGCAAGGCCTCCACCGGCCTGGGTCCCTCCTCCACTGCCTACCAGAACAACCTTGAACTTAATACTTGAACAGGAAATACACCTCTATTACATTTACCTCATTATACATGGTGGGTTTATGTGTTAACAGCTGTTACGATATTCTAACTGAGCCACCATATCCTATTTATTTATTTCTACTTTCCATATCCTTTAAGGCTATCTCAGTAGTTCTACATTTGTTAGATTACTCTGTGCCCCTCTTGTCCTTCAAGTCTCTGATTAAATCCATCTCTCTAACAAAAACTTCCACTCAAGATCATCCTCTCAACATTTTGAGGATGTTTCTACTACATTCGCTTGCATTTGGTTACATCGCCCATTCAGCCTCTCCATCAATAAATATTGACTCAGCACTCTTACATCAGATGCAAAATTATTTCACCAATCTGATTATATGATTCTAGAGGAGAGAGGTTTTTTTCAGTTTGTTTGCTCTTTGGTGACAAACCATCTACCTGTGGCATAGGCCAGTAGGTATGAGTTTATGTCAAATGGCTAGTAATTGGCTTGTTTACACCACAATTCTCAGTACCATACAGGTAGGGGAGATCTTCCATGGAGAAGTGACTCTCCTGAAACAGGCTTACTACCTGCTGTGGGTGAAAGCGGCATCGGTTCAAATCCCATCCACTTGCTGGGGTTAGGTACGTTCTTTATAAGGTCCTTCTCTACATTCTCATTTCCTTATCTTTAAAACAAGATAATACTGGTGCTAAACTTGCAGAATTGTTGCCCATCAATTGACAAAGCAATGTAACAAAACCCCTTTTACCTTTAAGACATCATAATAAAACTTTGAAAGGAGTTGGGAGCCCAGAACGTGCTTTTGGAAACAGAAGAGCTTCCTAATTCCCCAAAATGCAATTCCCTGATGCCTTATATTCTCTTCAAAATTAAATTCATTTCGTCCCAGGATATAGAGAACAGCCATGTGACTCTCCACTAATGATTATCAAATAATTTGCTAGTGAAAGGAAGGTAAGTACTAAAGCTACCACTCTGGACCAACTTTTTCAAATCTCACCAGGCCTAAAGTGTGGGGGAAGGCAGACCTTAATAACAGTAGCATTTATTGGCATTTCAGCACATTTCACCTTGATCATAACCCTATTGGGGGAGTATTACTTTCTCCTCTGGTTATAGGTGCAGACTCTCAGAGAGGTTTAGTGTCTTGTTTTAAAATCACACAGCACATGCACATGTGGTGTACGCAGAATTTGAAGCCAGTCTGTATAATACCAGATGGTATGCTCTTAACTACCACCACGGTGTTAACACACAACTCATGCCTTTCCAGAGTACAGTTAACACATATACAACCTCCAAATTCTTCCACTAGGCACTTGATCCTAAAATTTCACCCAAAATTCATCTAGAAATTCTCCAAATTAAGTCATGGTTGAGAGGGAGGAAAAGATCATCTATAAATCTCTATTTCAGTATAATGAAATTTGGCTACTACATTTTCTTCCGTTTATTCTCACAAGAATTTACTCTCACCTCCACCCCATCATCAACAATTATCAAATATTACCATCATGAACCATGGGGCAATAAAAAGAGGTGCTATATCAGTTTTACTAAATGCTGTTCACAGAAAGAGTATCAAATTCTACCTATCAGTTTCTCTCATTCTTTCCTAACTAAAGACTTAAAAGCCAAATAAAATAGTAACTGGGAGCTTAAAAAACATGTAAAATACCATATAATCAAGATTGCTTAAATGTATAAAACTGTCAAGCAGATTATCCTTTATGCAATTCAAATGAGCCTTTGGGAGACAGAATTAACTGAGGGCAAACAAGAGCTTAACTTTAAAAGACAAAGAGTTGGCTTATATCAAGTTGACACTTCCAGATAAGATACTGCATTATACCAGGTTATACTTGCAGTAATAATTTTTGATTGGCATATCATTTGCCACTAACTGCTGCCTGGCTTCCACTGAGCACACGCAACATACTATAAACTGTTATGAAAGATGTCTTTGTATTGTTCAATATTTACAGGGTACGTTATTTTATAAATGCTCCAGTTGGCAGAAGTTTAAAAAGAAAAAGCATTAAAACATTTCAGATCAAAATGATCCTCTTTGCCTTACAAAAGAAGTACTTTCTAAAGACAGGTGACAATTCTGTTCAGAAATTTTCACACCAAGGCTAAGTAAATGTTCAGCGGTAAAAACAGAATTGCTTTGTTCAGCTGCACAAACAGATTTCGACATTGCCTCTATTTGCGTATTCCTGAATATCCTCTTTCAGATCCCACTTTTATGGGAAGCAAAATCAATTTTCTTTTGGACAAAAAAGTGAGATCTGGTCTAATGATTTTAATCTTTTAAATAAACATGAACTGAACTTGGAGCACAAGCTTTTCCCTTAAGAAAAGATCTTTGTTGCTCAGAAAGATTTCTTTCAACCCATGAACAGTTAGTGCCCACGGCAGTCTAACCTGGGGAAAAAAAAACAGAAAATACATATTTATACCTATGTTATTTATTTGTTAAAAAAAAAAAGCAAGTGTTTAAAAACAAAAACAAAACCCCTGCAATCAAATTATCTTGCCCCTAATGTAGACGGATGTTAAGTTTAATTTTTGAAGGAAATTAGGTTCCCCAATTCAATTTTAAGCAAATAGAAAATGAGAAACAGAAAACTGTAACATAAAACTTTTATTGCTACTTTGCTAAAAAAGCACACTCATGTTTATGAAATAGAGTCTCCCTTAGCCTCAAAGGGGAATTATTCTGAAAATCAGCAATACTTCGGGATCCTCACAAACACCAGCCCAGTGCAGCCTTTCTAGGCCTGTTTCAGCCCTGCTAATAGTTATTGTTTGTACAACTGTAACTAAGTACATTACCAACCAGTTGTTCAATCTATATAAATTTAAGAAACACATTGCCAAGGAGTGACTCATATATCAGTCTATTATATGCTACAGGGCTGACTGTATTAAACAAATCACTCTGCCTACAGCTGAAGAATAGAAGCTATATACAGAGCAGAGGTTATTGTCTAATTTAAATCTTGGCTTGCTTCCCAGTGCTGTACAAGATTCCAATTTGTGGAAATGTTGCTCTCTGCTACTGCCAGAAAGGCTGCAGAAAATGGTATTGGGAGCCTTCCAGAAATATGTCTGCAAAATGCCAATCAACAAGTCACTAAAGATTAACAGTATGACTGTACCAAATTAATTTAAATTATAGAAACATATGGCTAGGATGTTTGCTTTGCACTTAAGACAACACCTACCTCACAAAGAGCTAGGTTTATTCCACAGTACAAAATAATAGCCCAATGTTCAGATTACTGCAAAATGTGATCATCAACTAATATCTCAGGAGCTAGATGTCCTTACAGAGCCAGTTGTGTTTTTTTTAATGTTTAGGGCCATATCTTTAATATATTCAAAACATAGGGGAAAATACTTTTCATAACAAGGTATTTTTCACCCGCAAAGATATAAAGAAAAAATCAACATTATTCAGCAACTGAAAACAATTTGCTCTATAATGGGAAGAAAATTCTAGCTTTATTGAGATTCACCGTAGAACCCAGAGGATGATGCGATCTACTGCACATTACTCCCCATTCTAAAATATGATTTTGGGCTAAGAATTTAATATACGGCCAAGAGACATTCACCAATTATGTGACCAAATCACAAAAATAAAAAGACAACACAATTTCTACCCCGCCAGCTGCTCTCAATGTATATGACATTCACGCTGCCTCTCCATTATTTTCATGGGAATCTTTAATATATACAATCATGTCATCAACCAAAAGGGGAGAAAATCAATGGCACTTCAAGCCGTAGTTATACATTAGTGTACACTGTATTTCAACTGAATAGGAAGGGAACTGTTTTATGTTTCTCTCCACCGCTTTTCTATTATTGCCTAGCTAATGGAAATACATCAAACAAATGTTATATAAGAGCAATAAATATTAAAGTTGACCTATCCATCTGGGAAAAATGAGAACAATACTGCTCACTTTTAGCCCAAATATGACACTGATAAATGAAGCGATGAGATTCCATCACACTTGCAGCAAACTGGGCTGGGAGCCCCCGCATGATCCTGGTACCAGCAATTTTCTTCATTCATCTTCATTAGGCAGTCACTTGACCTGCCTCCCAACATCCCTGTCAAATCTGAACCTTTGTGGGGTTGGGGGGGGGAGGCTGTATTTTCTAACAACGTAGTCAAAATGTGCCCTTCAAGTTTTAAAAAAGGCCAGAAGAAGGCCTCCATGAGCAAGAAAGGGTGCAAACAAGTCCTCTGGAAACAAAGAGACATTCAGTGTAACTCATGATTAAAAGGGAAACCACAGGATAAAACTGGTCCGTGCATATCCTGCTTCCCCGTGCATCGCCACGGTGGCAGGGAAGGCCTCCGAGTGTGCGAACAAGCACACCCTGCGCCATCGAAAGACAATTACGTATTCAAATGAAGGATGTACGCGGGGCCTTATCACAGATGTAGAAATGCTTTCCATTTCCTTCCTCAATCACAGTTTCAAGTGAGCTGGAACAAGAAAGGAGAACATTCTTACCCTAACACAATGAGCGAGTTTCATCACATTAGCAGTTTTACATTACAGTCCCATTATTTTCTATTTCAACGGCATAATAAGAGAGGTGCTGATTTGATTATTCCGTAATAGTGAAAATGAATACCAATGCAATATAAAATTGCTATTATAACACAAAGCTACTAATATGATTCACAAGACCCCCTGGAAATTAGGTTTTATAACTATGATCACAGGGGAAAAATTAGAAAGCCAGTAAGCAACAGAAGGGAATTAGGTGCTCCACACCAGAGCCTTAGCAATGCAGACAGCTGCTCAAATGAAGCCAGGCAGCATTTACTTCGAAACGACATGCAAAACCCAGTCCTTGCAAATTATTCAAGAGGTTTTCTTTTGTTTTTCTTCGTGGCAAGTGTTCCAGATACTCAAAACGTTAACTAAAGCTGTGTTTGAGTATAGTATTAAGGCAAGATTCACTGATTCATAAAATAAATACAAGACAAACAAACAAACAAAACATAAATGAGATGATGCTAGGGAAAGTATGAAGAATCTATCACTTCAGGAATCAGATTCTTAGAACCAGATTGATTCTACGAATCCACAAGAAACAAAATTGCCTGAGGTCAAAGGACTTTTTTTAGACATGGCTCTCACCCTAAATAACAAGGATGCTAAAACCAGTTGTGATTATTTCTAAACCAGTGTCCTCCACAGGAGTCCGGAAAGATCTAAGACCCACCCCAGCATACTCTCACCTGGACGCCATGGTTCTACTGAGCTGAAAATATGTTTTCCCTATGGCTTCAAACACATACCTGCCTAGGCAGGCAGAGGGTGAACACAGAAGCTGCTGAACAACTTTCCAGCCACCCTAGGTACAAGGAAAGGATGCAAAGCTCTTTATAAAAGCTCTTTCCAAGTCACTTCTCCATCAGGTTCTGAGAGTGTACAATCTGAGAAGAGCAGAAAACCATGACAAGCACCAATCTTTGGCCTGAACACAAGGGTCGCTGGCTACAAAGTGACAACTACAAATTTCTGCTTCTGATCCAATGTAACAAGAGATATGTTTATGTTGGCCAGAAGTTTTCCATCTCTGCAGAGACAGGGAGCTCTGATACTGGAAATGAAAATGCTTATCATGGTTTTCTCCTCCAAACAGAAGAGATTCTGCTATATTTAAGAGATTCTTAAAAACGTATTAATGTTTAGTCTGTAAAGGAAGTCACATCGCATCAAATGTTACTCTATATCTGTATGCTTCCTTCTCATGTGTTTTAAACATTTAGGTTATTAGAGGATGCAGCACTATGATTGGAGCAAAAACCAAAGAGTATGTAAATAAAACAGGTACAACCCATGCACATCATCTTAGCCTAGGCCTTAACTCCTGGCACAGACTTCTAATCAAAAAATACCTTGTTAATTGAGGACTATGGGTACCAGTTAATCGGCATTCGATCATATGAAGCAATAATATCACATGGCAGTGTTTCACAGGGTTTTTGGAGAATATTAAAAGGTGGCCATATTTCCCAAGCTGGGTACCACAGAAGTATTCCAAGAGTTGTAAAGGTGAAAATCTATAATCCTACTAGATATCAAAGGCTGATCAAGACCTTCCAACTATTGTCACTGCATTTTGCATTCTCATTTCCCTCTTAGAATAATGCATATGCCAATATATCTTAATTATAACAGTTAACATTTATTAAACACCATCTATATTCTAGGCATTATGCTAACCACTTCCCATTTATCGTCTTATTTCTTCCTCACAACCTTAGAAAGTAGAAACTATCATATTTCATAAAATCTAAGACACCATTGATTATAAGATATAATCTAACTACAGACATGTTAAAATGTGAAAAATATGTGTGCCTAAGTCAGTAAAATATGCTACTATTATTACCATGCCCATTTATAGCTAACTTGTCCACAGTTACACACAAGAAAGTCTGGACTTGAACTAACAACTGTGTGAGTCTGAAGTCTTAAGTGCTAAATAAGTAGTCTCCAATTATTTTTTACTAGACACCTCTACTAAAGATTTTCATATAAATAATACCAATTAACACTTACATATAACTTGCCATGTGCCAAGTACAGTTTAAAGCACTTTCCATATGTTAACTCATTAATTCCTCACAACAGCCTATGATACAGGTACAATCACTGTACCCATTCTACAGAGGAACAAACAGGACTTTGGCCAAGCCTACATGATGATGATGCAGACAAACAGGCCTCCAAGTCTACACTCTGAGCCACTATACTGTCTCTTTAATAACATGGGCACCCAATTGCAACATATGCAGGTTTGTTTATTTATTCATAAACTATATACACAGTTACCACCATCCTGATGTATTATGTGTATTTCAGAACATACCAAAAATTATAATTAAAAATGATGAATAAAAATATAGAGATGGCTGAGCGTGGTGGCTCATGCCTGTAATCCCAGCACTTTGGGAGGCTGAGGCGGGCGGATCACCTGAGGCCAGGAGTTCGAGACCAGCCTGGCCAACATGGTGAAACCCTGTCTACTAAAAATACAAAAATTAGCCGGGCATGGTGGTGATCCCAGCTACTAGGGAGGCTGAAGCAGGAGAATCGCTTGAACCCAGGAGGCGGAGGTTTCAGTGAGTCGACACCGCGCCACTGCACTCCAGCCTGGGTGACAAAGCAAGACTCTATCTCAAAAACAAACAAACAAACAAACAAAAAAAAAAACAGAGAGAGAATTACTAATATTTTCTTCTCCAACCTTAATGCTCACTCCCTGAGCTATGTGGATTATACTAGTGAAAGTACTGCCTTAACCCACTAATGTAAACAGATTCCTTTTAAGAAGCCTCCCTATCGAGAATGGTCTGTAAGAGACAACCATGTCAACAAGTAAAGTTCCTTCTGCCTTCCCTCCTGGGGTGGGCTAAGATGGACCCTTCTCACCATTCCCAATTACCTGCAGGAAGGCAGCAACAGAATAGAGAAGGAGGGTAACACAGTTTCCTGTACTTTAAATACCTCCCTGCCTCCGCAAGTAAAACTTGAGCCATGCCAATGAGGGAAAAAGTGGCCGCGATTTCCCAGGTGGCTTAGTAATACACAGTTTTCTGACACACTGCAACTCCATTCTTTCCTAAAAGTTCCTTCCAAGCCTGTAGGCACTGTAAGACAAACAGCTAAGCACTTCCTGAGTGCCTACTATTTGCCAGGCTGTATGCAGCACCAGGAACACAAAAATAAAAGCTATGGCCATTCAGGAACAAGATTTCAAAATGAAAAATAGGAGGAAAATCTAACATGGATGGAAAAAAGCCACACTTTTCCATGCTTCAAGTTTAGTTTCCATTTCTAAAATGTCTGTCCTCATATGTTAGCCAGAAAGCCAGTTTCCAGCAAGACAAGCAGAAATAAATATTATGCAAGTCAAACCTACAAGAATGGGTCTTCAAGAAAGGGAAATAATTTTCGGTCAAAATCTAAAAATCCATATTCAACAAAAAAAGCACAGATTGAGAAACTAATTCAATAGCAAAAAAGGAAAATTACCATTGATCCAGGTTGCCATTTTTAATAAAAAGCAGTAAGGTCTTAAAGAAAATATTAGCATTGAAGTTCAACCAAATAAATTACTTTGTCATCAAAATGAAGAATGCCAGAAAGTTCTCTGAAATACAATTTTTAACAAAACTGAGAAAGCAGAGGAAGTATTTTTTAATATTACAAATTTTTGACACCAACATAAGAATTCCATGATATCCTAAAGAGCAATGAACCCAGGTAATGCAGTTTCTAGAAATTTTAAAACACTACCAAATAATATTGCTTCTTGCATTAAGTATAGCATTGGTTTGCTAGAATAATCCTAACAATGACAATGCAATGTACTTTAAATTGGGGTCAAAAAACTTTTTTCTTAAAGTACCAGATAGTCAAGCTTTTAAGCTCTATGGGTCATCCACAGACACACTGCAACTATACAAACTATATCACCCCTGTTGCAACTACACGAAAAGCAGGAAAGCAACCACAGAAGACAGACAATACATAAACAAATGAGTATGACTGTGTTCCAATAACATTTTATTAATAAAAACAGGCAACTGGCCCATGGGTGGTAATTTGCTGAAACTTGGTTTAAATTATTATTAGTATCTACCTTTTTTTAAAAGATGATGTTTTTTAGGGTCTTTCCATCATGAAAATTATGTTTTTATGAAAGTGATTTGGGAAGTATTAAAATACAGAATAAAGAGCAAGCCTTGGGCTATGAAGTCAAATAGGACTGGGTTCCAGGACTGCTGTGTGACTTTGGGAAACTGACCTGCCATCTCTAGGTGTTAGTTTCCTCACTTGTAAAATTAAGATGCTGACAGCCCTCACCTCATAGGGTCACTCACTGCAAGGACCACACAAGTGAACATGCATACAGCACTTAGCATAGTTATGGATAACCCTGTACCTACCTTATTATAGCAATTGCTATCAACTTTCTTCTAGCTTATCATTAATGATACTATAAAAACACCCAGCATAACGCCAGCATAAGGATGTGAATGAATGAGCAAATGAAAGGAGGGAGGGCAATGGCAAAATTTTACCTTGGTTTCCAAGCTAAAGTATAACCTGAGTTTTTTAATGCTTTACAAAAAGGAAAGGCAATCAGAACCATAATTAATATTTAAGCTGTACTGACAGGTTTTCCAGGGAAAATTCTATAGAACTTGTTATTCTCCAACTTCCAAAAATAAGCAATAAATTTTTTTTAAAGAGCTGTTATTTTAAGACTTTATTTGAACCAAAGAATGTGTTTATGGTAACAACATACATGTTGTAAATTAATCAGTTTCAATGTTATAAAATAATACTTCCAAGAATAAATGTATCATATAATCTATGTACCTCATGTCGATAATTTAAATAAATACATTAAATAAATACATCATTCCGAAGTCCGCTTTATCATTGTTTGTAAAATCCAATTGTCATACTCTGGTATTTGTTCTCCAAAAGAATCATCACTTTCATATTCACTACAGCATGAGATGAGATATTTAATAAATAATAGGACATCATAATCCAGGGATTAAGTAGTTTCTTTTAGCAAAATTTAATATGAGGGTAGCATATGCCAGCCGTTCCTAGTTGAGCAACAATTTCTGTGTTGGGAGAGGATAACAAAGCCAAGTATTTTCCCATAAGAAGTTCACACTCTAAAAGGCCAGGCGCGGTGGCTCACACCTATAATCCCAGCACTTTGGGTGGCTGAGGCAGGCGGATCACTAGGTCAGGAGATCGAGACCATCCTGGCTAAGACGGTGAAACCCCGTCTCTACTAAAAATACAAAAAAATTAGCCAGGCGTGGTGGTGGGCACCTGTCGTTCCAGCTACTCAGGAGGCTGAGGCAGGAGAATGGCGTGAACCCAGGAGGCGGAGCTTGCAGTGAGCCGAGATCGTGTCACTGCACTCCAGCCTAGGTGATAGAGCGAGACTCCGTCTCAAAAAAAAAAAAAAAAAAGAAGTTCACACTCTAAAATGAAGAGAAATGAGAAATGTCTATGTGCACACAACTTCCCACATACACACATTAGTTAGAGACCACAGTCATGCCCACCCTCCAGCTCACGTGACATTTCAAAGCAGAGATGAGACTTAAAGGATGGAAGAAATGGCGTTTGTTTCATGGATGGGGTAACGGAGGCTTTTAGGGGCTTATGGGATGGACAAGTAAAGGATCAATGAGACAGAAAGGCAAGGCAAGGCAAGGCAAGGGACTCGATCTCAGGAAGTGGTGAGTGGAGATGAAAGAAGTCCAATGGAATGGCAGTCACTGGAGATATATTTAAAGAAGAGGGTCTTTTTGTTTGTTTGTTTGTTTGTTTGTTTGAGATAGAGTCTTGCTCTGTTGCCCAGGCTGGAGTGCAGTGGCATGATCTTGGCTCACTGCAACCTCTGCCTCCCGGGTTCAAGCGATTCTCCTGCCTCAGCCACCCAAGTAGCTGGGATTTCAGGCCCGCGCCACCACGCCCGGCTAATTTTTGTATTTTTAGTAGAGACGGGTTTCACCATGTTGGCCAGGCTGGTCTTGAACTCCTGACCTCAAATGCTCTGCTCATCTTGGCCCCACAAAGTGCTGGGATTACAGGCGTGAACCACCGCACCCGGCCAAGAAGAGGGTCTTTTAAAGAAGCAAGATAGGAAGATCCGTTAAAGAGAGAACTGCATAGGAAGGAAAAGGCCTGGCTAGGATTCCCTGAACCTTCTCATTTCACTACTCTCTTGTTAGTCATCAATGCAGTTAAGAATCAACGCAATCAAATCGAATCACATAGTGATTAATTTGTGCCACCAATAGCTCTAATTTTGTTAACTTCTCATTCCAATAAAAATAATCATCTGGTTAATCCATTTCTTCAGCGGGATTACTTGTTTGCTTGTTTCTTTAGCTATAATAAACTCTGAATGCCAGAGTCACCAAACTAAGCATTAAACAAACTGATTGACAATTCGGAAGCATAGGAATAATTACAGATGATGCTAGGCAATATCACTAGATTGGGTTTTCATGAAGCTCGTGACTGGATTTTGCCACAAAAATCACTAACTGCTTTGGCTTCCAGAGAATGGCCTCATGGATAAGCCCCAAGTTCCAAAAACTACAAAATGTCAAAATCACATTCAACTAATTAATAATTTTATGTCACAATAAGAATTAGGAATCTCTAGAAGGCTGGGTACAGTAGCTCATGTCTGTGATCCCAGCACTTTGGGAGATCGAGGCAGGCAGATCACTTAAGCCCAGCAGTTCAAGACCAGCCTGGGCAACATAGGGAGACCCCGTCCTACAAAAAATATAAAAATCAGCTGGGCATGGTGGCACATGCCTGTAGTCCCAGCTACCCAGGAGGCTGAGGTGGGAGGATTGATTGAGCCCAAGAGATGGCGGCTGTAGTGAGCCATGATCACACCACTGCACTCCAGCCTGGGTGACAGAGCAAGACCCTGTCTCAAAAAAAGAAAAGAATTTCTCGGAAAGTCTTAATTTTTATCTAAACCTATCTGAAAATTCAATGATGAATTTTATGAACTTAGCCCTGAACTGACATTCCTGGTGAAAACTGCAATCATTGTAGGACAAGAGCCGTCGTGTTAAATGCTAAGGCTATTTTATACACATCCAATATTTTGGGAGCACTGCAATTAAAAGTCTTCTCACACTAAAACCAATGCACAAAGCACCTCTCAGGTTTAAGCCTCACTAGGCTGATGCCTGAAACACAGCAAAATGCTCATACTCTTTATACACATGTCCAAAGGTCTAGCTATCAAAAGACAGATAAAAAGGAGCATTTTCCCCCAACTGATGGAAGCAAGTCCAAGGTGAAGAAAGAGGATAGAACGAGAAGGTAAACCATCTCTCAAAGGTGAGAAATCAACACAGAGTCAACCAATGTCTTCATCTCAACCCAACCCACCAAGCAATGTATCAGATTGGATTGGAGACAGATTGGAGACTCTATGAAAGAACTGGCATGCACAACCCAAGAACCTCCTGGATTCTTGGCCCTTCTTTTAAAGAAGGGGGGTTTCTAGACAGGAATAGAACCCACAGAGTCATGGAAGCCAGCCCCCTACCATAAATTGTTCATAACCACAAGCTTATTGGTCAGGTTTATAAAGTGATTCAGACTCTTTAGAGGCTACAGGAAGGGTGCAGATAAGAGGACACTTATGCTGGGGTGGGGAATTATTGGAGAGGCCTCCAACAATGAGATATCACCTATAATTACATTAAAGATTTAAAAACATGATTGAATCACATGTTAACAATCTCCTAATTAGAGCTCTGACTCTCCTTAGAATGTCCAACATCCACTGCATCTAAGAAGCACTAGTATTTATTATGTAGTATTGTTTGTGTCAAATTCCCAAAAAAGGTTATCTTGAAGGTTAATGGATTTAAGTAGCTGGAAACCCTGATTAGAGTTGCCCATAGAAATCTGAATTCTGCTCAAACAGTTCAAAGCTGACAACAAAACAGTGATGGACTCTGAAAGTGAAGAGACCCATAGAGTTCACATGTAATGTTAAAATGTTCGGCACTTCACTTCTCAACTGGGGTACATGTACACCTAAGACCTACATCTTAGAAGTTTCCAGAGTTACAGAATGAACTGGATCGTGTCTCAGATTAACAATTGATTCAAAGAATGGGGATAGAAAGGGAGCCATGACAAAATAAAGGAGGGGGCTGTTTTGTATCACAGCAAACAAGGAGATCCTGTGTAAAAGAAATTATCAAAATTGTTAATGCCAGAGGGTAGTGGCTCATGCCTGTAATCCCACCATTTTGGTAGGCCAAGGCAGAATTGCTTGAGGTCAGAAGTCCAAGACAGGACTGAGAAACACAGTGAGAGTGAGACCCCATCTCCACACACACAAAAACATCTTTGCATTAAAAAATGAAACTAGAGGCTTTAAAGAACTGCTGCAGGCTACGTGACTTAAAGAATATAAGTTCTCTGCCTTCTTTGTCATCAGGAGTGCTTCTGTGATTACGTATAGGAAGGCAAACCTTAAAGGAGGTAACTGAAATCTTTACTTCAACATACTCAATTGTATGCACACAGCTTGGTAAGCAAAATAAGTCACAAATAAGCAATATTGCTTCAAAAACCTTTTTTAAAAAAAGATACATAATCAATTATTTTCATATTAATAGAGCAAAGGAATACCATGAATAATCCAAGATACCAGGTAATCCAGAAGTCAGATACTGAGAAGTGAAATACATCAGATAATTTTTACAGTGTGTCTATGATCTTAATTACATTTTACTAAGCCTAATACTAGTTTTTCTTTCTTTTTTAGAATTTCTAGATTACATTATTTGAAAGTAAATAATGGCTTCAAATCATGTTAGGCAACAGAATTCCCAGGAAGGAGTGAAGGTAAATCAGATGACTGAACTATATTACAATTTAAGCTGTGATGTTTGCACAACTATAACAATATTATAAATGAGCTTGAGGTTTCTTACTGAAGATGTTTAATATTTGATCCAAAATATCGAGCAGTTTTGACTAAGCACTGTAAGCAAAGAAATACGCTATCATAGCAGGACACCTGTAAGTTTCCATTGTATAAGAAAATGTTTCCTTTGTTTAATTGGAGAGTCAATTAAACATACAAATATCTGAAGACATTATTATGAAGGCTGATTTGGAGGAAATGTATAATGCAGATACATTCTGGGTGTAAGTATTAAATTCATACAACCATTCTGGAAAATAATTCAACGTTGCCAAGTCAAGAGCATTCCCTAAAACCCATGAGTTCCTCTCCCAAGTAAAGACATGAGAACAATTCTTGCACATGTGCAACAGCGTGCATACACAAGGGTGTTTGCAGGACCCGCCCATGATAGCAAAGCACTGGTAAAAAATCAAATGTCCAGAGGGAGTATACTCAGACCATGGAATACTGTACAGTGGCAAACCAAAAGAAAGACACCTGCATCCACTTAGAAGAATATTACAAAACTAATATTGAAGCGGGGAAAAGCAAGTCAGAAAATAAAATATATAACATCATTCCACTTATAAAGAAACCAGGAATATGTACAACTAAGCAATATATTATTAGGGGATAAAGAGATGTATGGTAAAATTTTATATAAAGAAAAAACAAGGGAATAATAAATGTAAAATTCAGGAAAGTGACTATCTCTGGGGGCAGGAAGGGAGGGAGTTGCAACTGAGAAGCGCACAGAGAGAACTTCAAAATTATTGATAACTTTCAACAAAGTTGGATGTTAGACAAATAGGTGATCATTTTATTACTATTATTTAAACATGCTCATAATTTAAATTCACATGTATAGCTATATATTATGTATTATAGATATAAAACAATTCAGAGGTATAAAATGCAATAAAAAAGTGTACAAGCCCAAATCTCTAGCATACTGCCAATCAAAAGATGATTGTTATTCATAAAGTATCTCAAAAAGGAACATTAGACTATTTCCAGAAATCCTGGTTGCTTTATTATTCATTTATTATTTATTACCCCAGGAAGATAAATTTTAGGAAGTTTCTACTTTGAGTGTCTTTCTTCTAAGTTGCAAATACAAATAAATGCTTATTTGGAATTATAACTATACTGGAAGCTCATGTTTCAAATAAAGCTATTTATATATAGCTTCATCATTGTTTGAATGCTTATCATTGCAGCCTCATTACAAAGAACATCTAAAAGATTTTTTTCCAACCTAAGAAAAAACAGTGCTATAATAAGGTATCTTACATTCATGGGTAAAAATACTCCTTTTAGAGAACATAATATAATTAGTTTCTATTCCAAGTCTGTCAGTGTGCACTGTTAACCTCTGACAATTATGCATGAACCTTTTAATTAGCATGTTATCTTTGGTGCAATTAATAACTTGTACTTCATGTTATAGGCAAATTAAAGTTTTCCCACTAAAACCAAATTCTTCAGCATAGTTCTAAAAGTGTTTTGCCATTTAAATGAAATTTTAACATTCAGACCTCTTGCTCCCAAAACACATAAGCCATTTTTTCCAAAGCTAGACAGCTTTTCTCTATCCACGTTCTTTCAAATATTTTACCTAAGACAGAGAATCTCATATTAAATTCAATTTCACACTTGCCAATCACACACGCCCACTCACAATTCCTCCAGATGATGCAATGTGGCCTAATGTGTATGCTTATGTATGTACATGTGCACACACAAACAGGCATAATGTTTAAATACATATAAACACATTCATTGCTAGGTATTGGTTAAAACAAACAGGCTTACAGCATACCAACTTATTAAACATAATGATTGATATTAGTAGTTTCATTAATGTAATTAACCTTTAGATTTGAATTATCAAGTTCAAAGTCTAAGACCGAGAGCAGTGGTTCTCAGGCCGGTACAATAATGGCAAGTCATGGTATTCAAGAGATGAGTCTAAAAGGCCCCTCAGTCCTGCCCCTACCAGAAACCAGAGATATTTGCTGCTGGTAATAATGAGGAGGGGGTTTCTAAGTACAAGATCAGCTCTATTCTTTCATTCCCTGGAAATCTGCCCTCGCCTCTGATACCTCAAAAAATATCTGTTGCATTTCCAAGGGAAAGAACAATGATATAAGCCTTGCTGTTAAAAAAAAAAAAAAAAATGCCACTACTTACAAGATAAAAGGCAAGGTGTTTTGTTTTTTTCCCCTTTCTCTTAGACTAGGCATGAATAATCTCAAAATATTTGTTTGTCAATAAAGTGATTAAAATAAAGTGATAGACAAGACATAATGATTAGAGAAATGAATCAAAGTAATATTTGGGACCAGGGTCTTACAAATCTAGAGTAAGTATGTTGAGCAGAAATAGATACTAAAAATTTACATTAGAACAAAATAAAAATGGATTTAGTAATGCTGGATTTAAATTGGAAATAGCTGTTTAAACTCATGACCTTAAAGAAAATTTGTCTTGGCCAACTGCGGTGGCTCACGCCTGTAATCCCAGCACTTTGGGAGGCCAAGGCAGGCAGATCACTTGAGGTCAGAAGTTTGAGACCAGCCTGGCCAACATGGTGAAATCCCATCTCTACTAAAAATACAAAAATTAGCTGGGCATGGTGGTACATGCCTGCAGTCCCAGCTGCTTGGGGCGCTGAGGCAGGAGAACCGCTTGAACCTGGGAGGTGGAGGTTGCAGTGAGCCGAGATGGGACCACTGCACTCCAGCCTGGGAAACAGACAGAGAAGGACCCTGTCTCAAAAAAAAAAAAAAAAAAAAAGAAGAAGAAGAAGAAGAAAAAGAAAATTTGTCTTCTGGCTCTCTCCCTAAAATGAACTAACTGGGGAATCATTTCTACCTTCCAGAAGCATTTGAATGGAACAGCTTGATATCATGCAGAGCACCTAAATTTTGGATGCCACTATGCTCTATCAAAGGAATCAGAGCTCCTCAGAGAATAGCTGACTCCATGTATTGGGTCATGAGAAAATCAAGATCCACTGGAACTTGTGGTTCCCAGAAAACAACAGTGCTTTCAAGAATGCCTGGGGGTAATGCTAAGGGGACCAAAGAGGACATTTAAAGGGACTCCCGCAGGTCATGCTGTGACCATCTGAGCATCGACATGACAATATGAATTTTAATTAATTAGAACAAGTGCATCCCATAAAAGCTGAGAGTCCAGGATACTCAAAGAGAAACAGTAAGGCTGGCTGGGCACGGTGACTCATGCCTGTAATCCCAGCACTTTGGGAGGCCGAGAAGGGTGGATCACGAGGTCAGGAGTTAGAGACCAGCCTGGCCAACATGGTGAAACCCTGTCTCTACTAAAAATACAAAAATTAGCTGGCTGTGGTGGCAAGCGCCTGTAATCCCAGCTACTCGGGAGGCTGAGGCAGGAAAATTGCTTAAACCTGGGAGGCGGAGGTTGCAGTGGGCCAAGATTGTGCCATTGCACTCCAGCTCTGGACAACAGAGCAAGACTCCATCTCGGGGCAGGAGAAGAAAAGGTAAGGCCTACTGAAAACACATTTGTATCATAATACCAAAGAAGAGTGACTATAAGATGTCCTAAAAATAGATGGTGAAGTATTTAAAGATTAGGATACTCTCTTTCTCCTGTGAAGTATGTGCTTCTTTATGAGGAAAGAATCAGCATTTTTCTTTTTGTGTGTTTGTAGGACAGAATGAATGCAGAGAATTCTAACCCAAATAGTTCCAGAAAAGTAGGAATATACCATGAAAGATGGCAGCAATAGTTTGAAGAGTGAGTCAGAAAACAAGTAGTTTGAGAACCGTTAGCCTATATTCTAATGACTTGAAAGTTTAGTGCATGGAGAAAAAATATTTAATGTAAAGTCATGTTTGCCTTTATAATTTCAAAGAATACTTAAAGCAGTATGGGAAATGCCTAAATGGACACATTCAGAACTCCTGAGGGAACGAGCAGAACACAGAGGGCAAGAGAACTTGGAATCAGAAATTCCACGTTCAAGCACCACGTTGCCTATTCCTCAACTTTAAGAATGATCAATCCTGCCATATCTGCCTCCCAGGGTAAGTCTGAGGAACTCTCCCTGTGGTTTATGTTTGTTCAACTGTATTTGCAGGTCCATCTTTAAGATAGTTTGCCCATGAAGATAGCAAGGTACTTTTTATGACCCTATCTCAAAATCAGGACATATTCTGGTAAAGACACATAAATATTGGCTCAAATGGATTTTGTTTTACCTGAATCAAAGGGATTTTGTTTTACCTGAATCAAAGGGATGAAAATTTGCCCCAGAAATAGTTGACCAAGTACCAGGAGGTTTCAAAGGAAAAACTAGGAAGCTGACAGATTGAATGTTCAAAATGATTCCAACCCAAAATGCTCTATTACCCAGAACTTGACTCCAGAGATAATCCAACCAACATGAACCTCTGTTTTCTATTTACTCAGAGCATAGTTGCTGCTCAATACATCCATTCATGCAACAAGTGCCATATTCATGATCCCATGCCAGGCACGTTCTATGTGCTTAAGATGCAGTTAGTGACAAAAGAGGCCAAAGTCCATGCCCTTGGTGACTGGGGACAGGCAAAGGTGGATGGCAATAAATAAGAATATTAGATGAAGGAAGTAAAATAAGACTATGTCACTTAAAATGACTTGGTGGGTAGCATACTTTTGAAAGGCTTCTCAGAAGAGGTGACATTTTTGAGCTGAGACACAAATGACAAGGAGCTGGCATTACAAAGAGCTGGGGAAAGAATTCCTTGCAGAAGAAAGAATCAATGGAAAAGCTCTGAGTTAGGAATGTGGCTGGCATGTTATTAAAAAAAAAGAAGAAGAAGAAAAGAAGGCTTAAACAAAGTGAATGCCAAGAAGTGTTAAGATGTGAGCTTGCAGGGGAAGGAAAGAGCTAGAGAACACGGTGTGAGTAACGTAAGCGAAAACAATAAATAATACCTTTCTTCACATCCAAAAGCTGATCAGATTTCTTTTTCCAATGCCAAAATACATGTAAGTACATAATGTCACGTTGCATACCACTGCGGTGGAACACAAGGAAAGAAGAGCTATAATGCAAACAAACAGCAACTGACTCTTTGGGGAGCTTAAGAAAAAAGAAGTCCAGGCACCAACACAAAAGGCTGAATAAATCACAACCTTACTCAAAGAACAATATTAAGGGCATAGGCTGTAGAAAAGGCAACTGGTTCAATGCTTCTCATGCCCTCTGAGAGCTATCACAATTAATGGCATCATCTTCCAAACAACAGGTAATACAATGTTACTTCTGTGTTATAGAAACATTTGGGTTATAACTGGAGATGTATGGTATATTCATCACAAAGATGATAATCATTTCCTCTTTGTGTATTCAATGGACAGAAATCTCTAAGACTAGGCCTCTGCTTCCCAAATATTCATGCAACTGGAACTGTTACAAGGGTAAAGGCATGAATTAAAATTATAGAAATCTAGATGAGATGGAAATTGAAAATACACTAAAACCTAAAGTCTCCTATAGTTAACATGGGATAATATATGCATAGTTCCTAACAGCGTACCTACAATCCTATAAGGGCTGAGTAAATGTTAGTTTGCTTTCCAAAGTAAAAGTGACCTGATTTTTCTGTGTTGCTCCCCCTTGAGATCTAAAGCTAAACCTCTACTGAATAAAAGCAGAGTGACTTACAATTGAGATAGGCCAATCTAAAACTGAAAAGTCTAAAATGTCAAACTTTTAAAATAAGGGGATGTTCACTGCTTATTTGACTCATTAAAAATAAAAATACCTAGTGATTGTGAATTTAAAACTGTAGACTTATGATTTGTGCATTTTATATATGTTATTCTTCAATTAGAAGTTCAAGAAATAATAATGGGAGGCCTGTATTAAACCATTTATATAAAAGTTTCTCAACCATAATGGAAAGATCAAGATGTCTAGCATAATTTGAAAGTATGTTTCTATTTGACAGAAACCTTGGCTTGGAAAAGTTAAACTCTAAATATTTGTACAGAAAGAAGTATTCTGGGTTTCATTCATTAAAAGTCATTGACCACTGCAGAAAAGGGAGAGCAAGAGATTTACATATATTTTTCTTGACGTTTTATATGCATTAGGCCTGGCAATGAACTTGAGGTAGGTATTACTATCTCCTTATTTCTAAGGGAATCAGAATACTGTAAACAAAGACATGGAGCTAAATAATGGAGTCAAATCCTGGCTTACTAGGCTCCACATCCATGTTGCTCCACTTATCAGACGGCCACCCAAACATACAAGTTTAACAAATTCCAAATTATTGGGGCCTAAATAGACACTTTTTTGTTTCAATATTGCCCTTCTTCCCTTGTATTCTGAATATCATGTCAACCATGAATCATAAGCCAATGCTTACAAATTTAACTTCACATTATGAGTTTTGAGCCCAACTGATGCCTAACCACTAAACCATTCATATAACACACTGAAAAGAAGCCATTTAAGAAATGAGAAAAATAGGTATTGTTTTCTCTGTATGGCTGTAAAAGCTGAGATAAGAACATTTTGGCAAGTTCAATAGAGCCGAAAGGCTTGTGAAGGCTATGGGAGGATGAGTATATTGGAAGAAGATCAGTAGGTCAAGAATCTAAGAAGAGCTATTTATGTGGGAGACAGGAATTACCTTGAAGGAAGAGCAGAGCCCCAGAAGAAGAAAAACAGAATATAACAGCTAACTATAAAAGGACCCAGGGCCAGGTGCGGTGGCTTAGGCCTGTAATCCCAGCACTTTGGGAGGCCAAGGCGGGTGGATCACGAGATCAGGAGATCAAGACCATCCTGGTTAACATGGTGAAACCTCGTCTCTACCACCAATATAAAAAATCAGCCGGGCATGGTGGCAGGCACCTGTAGTCCCAGCTACTTGGGAGGTTGAGGCAGGAGAATGGCATGAACCCGGGAGGTGGAGGTTGCAGTGAGCCAAGATGACAGCCACTGCACTCCATCCTGGACCACAGAGCGAGACTCCATCTCAAAAAAAAAAAAAAAAAAAAAAAAAAAGGACCCAAGAGAATATAAGTCCCATGAAAACAGAGCTCGAGTCTGTCTTGTTTTGTCACATTACCTATTTGATACTCAATATGTAATTTAATTTCTGAGTGAATAAATTAAGCAAATGAATAACTTAAAAGTATAGCTATGAATGTTAAAAAAAAAAAAAGAAAAAGAAAAAGAAAGAAAAAAGAAAAAATTAAGTGGGGAGAGGCATGCCTATGGCCTTGTCCTTGGTCCTGAATAACTGTTTGGCCAGATAGTATGGTTTCCTAACCCTAGCTCATGGTGTTCAAATTCTACTAGTTTTTCTTTGTTTGAACTTTCCATCTCCATGAAACTAAAAAGTATAATTTTTAAGCTGCAGAACAAATCATTCCATGTCTTATTTTCTGAGGTTACATAGCTGGCTGCATGTACTTTCAACAATTCTATCATGCTTTGACACTTAGAAATATTTTCCCTACCAGCTTTGGGAAGCTGGGCGGTTTGTGTTTACCATCCTCTCCTGATGTTACGCTTTAGTTTAAAAATAACAGTCATTATCACTCAATTATTCAGTGATCAAGTGTAACACCAGGTGCAAACAAAAGTTCTGAGAACACTGGAACATGCTCTTGTTACTGCAAACGATTTAAGAGCTTTGAATTTATGAAGCCAGTGATCATGTTACTCTAAATTAGAAGCAGGTAAAACAGAAGAATGGCATAAGCTAAATTCCTTCTTTTCGTTTCTTTACTTCCTTTTTCCTTTTAAGGATATCTATAGCAAACTATATTAGCTTTCTATTTTCTCCACTATTTGCACTAGCATTAATCAACATCCAAAAAGTGTACAAATTATTTTATCTTTATAATCAATCTTCTGAAATGCTAACTTGAAAATATAAACAGCACAATTACTTTTTTCTCTTTTCTTTCCCATTTGAAATGTGTGCTTGTGTGTGTGTGTGTGTGTGTATCTGAATCTGTACATATAAATCAAATACACACACATATACTTGTTTTAAAAAAATCCTCAAAGAATCAATCACATATTACAGAACTGAAGGAATATTGGAGTTCATCTGGTCCAAAGTGTTGGTATTGTAAAATCACTTTCAAATTTCACAGTTATCCAAATGGTAATGAATATTAATACCTAAGAAAATCAATCAAAGATTAACATTAAGACATTAGATTTTAAAAATCATTGCATTTAATATTTTTTATCCATTTTCAAATTTCAGAAACTAGGTCTATATTGTCCTATAGATCTAACAAGCACTATAAAAGAAAAATTACAAAGATTTCCCAATATACAGATAGACACATAAATGAAAACTTTTAATTGCAAGAGAAAGGGAACTGGATTCATCAGTTACATGCATTTAGAAAAATCTGTCTCATTCATCAGCAGCAATGAAGGAGAAAAGTTGGCAACAGAGCCAAGTATACTTACTTTCTAAGTAGCCAATAATTGGAGGCATTTAAAAATCTTTTTCACTAAAATATACATTTTTTGCTCAAACTCCAGATTTCTGACATTTCCTTATTCTACTGATAATGACTTCATGTGAGCAAAATGGAATGAAAGATTGAAAAAAATCAGATATATGCTACCCATAAAGGTTTATCAATATGATATATCTAAACATTTATGTACTTATTGGTTTAACTTAGTTGATATAAATGAATATGCATATCATACACATCATGTGAACAGAAGAGCAGATCAGTGGCTGGGGGTAGGGGATTAACTGCAAAGGGGTACAAGGAAACTTGTGGTGATGGAAATGTTCTATATTTATTATGTGGTGGTTGTTCACAACTGTACATGTTTGTCAAAACTTACCAATAGCACATTTAAAATTGGCAGATTTTATTGTATGTAACATATCTGACTCCCCGACCAAAAAAACCAAAACTCTGTTATACCATGACACCTAAAAATAATTCCTACAGAGACTTACCTAGAACATCATGGACACTCAAATATTAACCATGACCCAAGAAAACACTATAAAGTATGCATAAACAGTGATTCTCCTATAAAATCTACACACATACACAATATGTTAAGAAATGAGTACAAAAATTAGGGGAGCTACCATAATACATGGCAGAAACAGATTTCCTGCCCCCTGCCATAACTATCATTTACCAACATTCAATCGAATTTAAGAATTGGGGGAATTTCAGAGAGTATCCTAATTCACTTCCTAATTCACTTCCTCTAGATACCACCACTCAAAGATTCCCGTGGTTCCCAGAGCCTTCACTTGACATTCATACAACTTTGACCAGGAAAGAAGGGTGCGCCACCTCCACCTGTGCCTCTGCCTCTATACTAGAAAGGATTAGGCAGAGAAAGAGATTCAAATACTGGAAGGAAAAGAAGGTATTGGGAAGCCAGGATGGTTTGTTGGGGCAAAGTATTCTCTTGTCATACAGATGGCTCTCTTCTTGGTGGTGCCCCAGCCCACCCTCAAGGGTGTCTATAAGTAGGAGAAGAGAAAAGCACTAATGATGATTATAACATAATTAAATAATTTATGAAGGATAAAATATCAGAGTCATGAGAGCTCTGAAAGAATAGGTAGACTACATGCATCTTACCTACACATTGAGTATTAAAAATCCTAGCTGCCCTCTGCAGTGATGCCCCACCCAGAAGACCAATCCATTGGAACTATTGCAATCTGATCAGATTAAACACACCAAGGTCACTCTGAAAGTATGGAGGAAAACACCAAATTAAGAACAAAATAATACTTTTAAAATATAAACCAGTTTAAAAGTATCAAAAACGTTTCTATTTAGTCCATCTCTGATCTCTCTCCCAAACCTCTGACCGAAAGAGACACAGATTTTTGCTTCTAAAAACAAAGTATATTTTACCAACAGGATAATATAAGTGCTTTCAATTTTATCTAATAAAAAGTAGGGCAAAGTGAAAAACAGGTGCCTCTACAGATGGAGTATACTAAATACATGTAACACTTCTGATAATGTTGAACCACCCCCTCCCCTTTTGGAATTTGAAACATCCCGCATAAGATCTGCATTTTTCAAATATTGCTAAATATTTAGAGTCTAAAAAGATGAGATTCATTATTTTGCACAGTAACACATCTCCTAATAATATTTCAGGCCAGTTTTGAAGAACTGAAATTGATATCTTTTCCGTATATACTTAACCTCCTACAGATTTATTTGATTCTCAATAATTACTATTCTCTGGTAAAAGGCATATGTTATTACAGTACACTGCACTCCCACAAGCTGCCCATTCAGTGTATTTTAATAAATCTCTGCCAGAGCTGTATAAATTTGATCCTGTTTAAATTTAATAAGGATCAGAATATATCAAAGCACAAATACCCATGGGAGAAATAGATATTTTGCATAGTTATTGAATGGCCTATTCAGGGATACAATATGTAAGACCCAGACCATCAACCTTGAATTAAAAAGAGAGATTAATGCGTTCAAAGCCGGCTACTTGTTAAATAACATATGAAATTAGTATTTAATAAAACGTCTTCTCTATATTGTTGCTAATGGTATCCATCCTAGTACAGCTTTAATATCAATATTCTCATACAGAATTCTAATATTTACAAGAATTGTCAGCAATGTATTTCTTAAATATCTACATTATCTTGATAAAATGCAACACTGTATGGAACAGAGATGAAGAATACCTCATAGTAATTTGGAATTGTTGAGTTTAATGTTCATTTGAGTAATATAAATAAAAAGAACAACCACTTTGCTGGATATAGTTTTCACAGATTACAAGCCTGATGATCAATGAACTGCTTTCCCATTCTCTTCTGTAGCTGGATATGTTTCTGATTTGAATCGTATTTCAATAATCATTAATATCCTGTGGTTGAGCAAATCATTTCAATTTTTTCCAACCAAAATCTACACTTGAGTGTAAACACCAATGGCAATGATTAATGAGCCTGGATTTAGAGGCTGTTAGAAGATACAGGTAGCAAAATGTCAGGTATCAGGAAATCCTTCCTCATAGTAAGGACGACTCACAAGACAACTATTGCCAGGAAGATCAAAGGGAAATGGTATCATGCGAGGCATGTAGAACCAACCTGTTCTAGCGCTAAATGCACCAGACAGATGGATGGGCTAATCCGTCTTCAGTTATCTACAAATACTGCGGGGGCCACAAATTGTTTAAAGCCACTGAAACTGACATTCACTCATGCATGTTATATTTGAATCTACACCTCATTATTCCCAACCACTTTCATCTTATTCTTAAACTAGAAATGTAAGGGTTAGTGCATTCATCAGACAAACTGATAAAAGACACTATCTGGTTAGCCTGTCCAGATCCATTAGAAACCTCACCAGAAGATTAGGTCTTACTTTCAGATAGGTAGTTATCAGGTAATGAAGTCTCTCCTCAATGCGCCTGGCTCCCGAGCGAGGTTGGCACTTCATCCTCCACTACATCTTCTATGAGTATCTAAATCCTCTCTACCCTCTTCTGACTCTTCTGTCCTCTGCTGGATGGGGTTCAGTGAGAGAAATGCATCCTAGCTGAGCAGACGAAAAAAAAAACAACATGGTTGGGCAATCAGCTATTTGTCACACTGAGAAGACATCACTTCTTACCAAGCAAGAAGTAGTAGAATGGGCTGGGCGCAGTCGCTCACACCTGTAATCCCAGCACTTTGGGAGGCCAACACAGCAGGAGCTCTTGGGCCTGGGAGTTCAAGACCAACTTGGGCAATGTATTGAGAGCTTATCTCTACAAAAAAAAAATTAAAAAATTAGATGAGCAGGGTGGCACGCATCCACAGTCCCAGCTACTCAAGAGGTTGAGGTGGGAGGATTGCTTGAGCCTGGGAGGTCAAGGCTGCGGTGAGCACAGTGAGCACTGGTCACACCACTGCACTCCAGCCTGCGTGACAGAGCAAGACTCTGTCTCAAAAACAAAAAAAAAAAAAAAAGAAGAAGAAGAAGGAGAAGAAATAGTAGTAGATGAGCTACAAATACAATGCCCCAATGGCTGAAGGAAACTGAAGTATGGATGCAGATATGACATGTCCCATATATCTAATTTTATGAAATATGGGTATATAAAATCCAAACATAAAAATCAGATCCATAAGACTAATGAGTGTAGTTAAAATTTCCTGAAATAGTATTTCTAAATATATTTAAAAACTAGCATTGGTTGAACACCTTCAGTTTTCCAATAAAATTGTGTAATTTATTATGCTATAATTTTTCTTTAAAACTTTTATTTTAAAAGCCCAGGCTTGGCAGCCTGGCCAAGACTAGCACCTTATCTTACACAAAATACAGTGCTCTGCCTCTTAACAAATATAGATGTAACCACTGCCAGCTGTTTACAACAAGCAAAAGCTGGGAAGCCCTATTAGGTGTTATGTTTGTTCTGCTCGTGTTAATAGACTCATGTTCAATGTCAGCTCTTCTTCCTAGATCAGTGTCTGCCAAATTTCAGTTATTTGTATATCACTTTCATGCATTTTGCCATTTAAAGCAGGTCCACACTCTTCCTTATCCAAAACCTTAGGGCCAGATGTATTTTACAGTTGAAAGTTTTCAAGATTAGGAAAGTAATATGGTGCATATTCCCTTATTACATAATACCTCTAGTGGTCTGAGGCAGCACCCCATAGTCAAACATGTGGACATTTTTGTAGCAAAATGTCTGAATATTCACATAAAGATAAATACAGGAAAAAAAAGTTTCATGTGAATTCAGGTCAAGTTTTGATGCAAATGTGTAACCCTAAACATTTTTTTTAATTTGTTTTTCAGAGCATTTAGAATTTGGAATTATGGCTAAGGTATAGTATTGTGAGCCTTTATTTTTCTTTAATTCATGCATTTGCATAAAAATTAATATGCTTTTTTGTTAACAAAAGGACACTTTATTTCATACATGGAAAACTGGTATTCCTTTCTATAAATAGCACATAACTATCAAAATAAATACAATAAATACAAAATAATCTATTTAATTCTAGCAAACCAAAGCTACAGAAGGGTTGTAACTGGGTCCTGTATGATCTCCTCCGTCTCTCCCTCTCTCTCTCTTCCCCTATAATGTGTCTCAATCTCTCTGCTAAAAAAGAGATTAGCAAGTATTAGGTGTTAAAGACATATTCGCACCAAACTGAGATTTTCTCACTGATGTAATAAGAAAGCCTGAAAGGAAAATGGAAATGCTTTCTATGTAATTCAATATGGTTTAAAAACATATCCTTGTAGCTAAAAATCAAGCTACAGCCTACCAATGGTAGAAGCCCAGTACCACCTGCCTAGCTTCCATCTATCCTATGCCAACCAGCACACCATGTTTGCTCATGTCCCTGGCCAGTTCTACCTTCTCTGCCAGATATTTGGAAACATACAAGGGTTGTAGTATTCAGCTGGAAAAAAAAAAAGTTCAGTGGTATAAGACCACAGGGGTCCAGGAAGTGCTTCATTTTACATAAAGCCCATTTTACTTTATGCCCCTTAAATATGTTTTGCCTTTGTGCATGGCCATCTGTGCCGATGACACTGTTACCACTAGAGTACCTAAATATGAGTGCAGTGATCAACTGTGCGTACACAGCTTCAGTGGATGCAAGTATGATCTCTCCGATGATCCTGGGTCCCTTCAGAGGCCTTTGGATGGTTCTGAGCAGTAGAACTCAAACTGTGATCCCAGGAAGGCAGCATCAGCATCACCTAGCAACTTGTTAGAAATGCAAATTCTTGGGCCCTACCCCAGACCTACTGAATCAGAAACTCTGGGTGTGGAGCGGCAACATGGATTCTAACAAGGCGTTCAGGTGACTCTCATGCTCAGTGAAGTTTGAAAAGCCTGTGGGTAACGAGCACAGTCTCTGGAACCTGCCTGTTGATTTGAAGGAATCCCAGATCAATCACCTCCTCACCTGAGACTTTGAACAAGTTATTTAATTTCAGCCATGCTTCCATTTCCGTTTCTGTTAACTGGGACATTAATAGTACTTACCTTATAGAGTCGTGGAGGATTAAATTTATTAATACAGATAGAGTACTTAGAATAGTTCCTGAAAATACTGCACAAATATCAATAGTATTCCATGTAAGCTACATAAAACCTTTACTTACAGCTAAATAATAGTATTTTCTCCAAATAATAAAGACAATTAATAACTACAAGCTTCATTTGATGCTCAGAATGAGGTTCATAGGCTTTGTCTCCTAATAAAGTGGAAGTGTGGAACTTCAGCAGAGACAGCCAAATGTCAGGCCACAGGCCAGATGCAGACTTTAGACAGTTTCCAAATAGTGCTAACATTTAAAAATGTTAAAATATCACAGAAATCAAAATTTCTGGTTCCCCTTGAAAAATCAGGACCTCAGACAACACTACTCTAGGATTCCCTAGAGCTACTGGCAGGCAGAGTGGAGGAGCAACCACCTCCTTTGAAGAAGTCTCGTCTCTTGCAGTCTCACACAAATGGGCAGTTCAGTTGCAGTCATGTACCATCTTCCTCACACCTATGACACAGGGGTTTGTGAGCCCTGTCCTTCTGCAAACTCTAAGGCCTCTAAGTGTGTCCTCTGTGTGCAGGACAGGGTGACAGCTGTCCCACTGGGAAAGCAAGGGAGTTCCCAAGACACTGGTCTTTCATGCAACAACAGGGAGAGTCCCAGGAAACCTGGGAAAAAATGGTCACCCTATCTGTGCAGATGGTTCCCAAGTCTACAATCCAAGTGTCTCTCCTATCTGGTCCCTGTTTCCAAGTACCATGAGAAGCATTTTTTTGTTTGTTTGTTTTTTGTTTTTTGCGAATCCCACTTTTGCCTCAAAACACACTTTCCTTCACGTTTATCATGTGCTATTCAAGCACTTCATGGATGAAGGCCTCCTCTATAGCAGGCACAGTCCTGGACACTGGAGATGAAGCAACGAACAAAAGAGACAGAAATCTCTGCCTTCGCCAGGTTATGTTCTAGCATGGAGGAGAGAGACAATGAATAAATAAGGCAGAGGGAATGTTGAATGGTAGTAAGTGCCTGGAGAAAACGGAAGCAAGGCAGGAGGACGGAGAGTATCAGGGAAAGCAATGAGGTGCCCATCAAAGTCCTCCCTGAGAAAAGGGACATCTGAGGAAAGACTTGAAGAGAATGAACAATTGAGCCATGCAAATATCTGATGCAACGGTATTTGGGGCAGAGGAAAACAGGACCTGGGCCTTGAGGTGGGCGTGTGCCAGGGGTTTCCAAGTGATCAAGAAGAGCGGGGTATGTGGTGGGAGGGAAGTCAGACAGGCCTTGATGAGGTCAAGGAAATAATGTCCACCACTGAGTTAAGACCAGGCTTTCCTCTGAATGAATCAGGGAGCCATTGGAGAGCTCCAAGCAGAGGAGTCACAGGGACCTAGCTTACTTATTTTTCTCAAATAGCCATCGACATCTAGTTGTTTTGACTTGTTATTCAAGGAGGTCAGTCCAAGGAAACTAGATTCCCCACCTTCTATAATTTCAGCATCCCCTCTCATTGAAGACAGGAACCACGTTTAACATCAATGAGTCCTGTGGGAATAAAGACTGACAGGGAACCAAACAGCAAAAGGGAAGACTTACCTCAGTTTATTTATGGGGATTTATATACTGCAAACTAATACTCTATTTCACTGGAATATTTGTGTTTATGAAGACATCCTGATGAACGAGACTTTTTTTTTCAGTTCATGAAATTTTCACCATAAAAGAACCCTGAATTCCTATTTTGAAATCCATTGTGCCATTTTTATTCTGCCTGTATTTGAATATAGCATCAATATTTAACTACTCATTAAATGAATTGTGACTTTTATAGTGAAAATGTCAGTCTTTGCAGTTCATTAGATTCATTTAAAGCATAGCTGCTTGATATTTTTTTTCCCTGGAAGAATAAAAGAACTGTGAATTGAAGACATAAACTTTAAATTTAAGCATGTGTTTTCTTCAAAATTAACATTCAGGATCTGTAACATTATTCATGAGATTGAGGGGCTGTTTGCATCTTTCTGCATTTACTTAGTGACTGTCGTCTTTTATGGAGTATAGAGCTGTTTATCACAGTTGGATATGACCAGTGGAATGTCACTGTGGACATTAAGATGCCATAAGCTATTATGAATCTCTACAATTCTGCATGTAGTATTAAAAACATTATCTTGAACTATGGCATCAGAAAAAATAAACCCTGGAAGATGTCAAATTTAATAACTCACTGAATCCAATAGGGCCTAAAAGTGGTCTATTTGAGTTTTAAAAAATAATTCTGATAAGACTTTAGACTGCCTGAAAGAAAATGATATATTAAAAATGGAATTTGAGAAATGAATTCAAATGAATTTTTTAGATGTTTGCAATTCTTTCTTCCTAAAATTACTATGATTTACATGTATGGAGCAGTAAATGCAAATGATTTCCAATCACCACGGGTACGTGTACTCAATTACAAAGTCTCTTAATGAGCATTGAAAAGATTTCAGCATTCACTGAACAAGACATAAAGCAAATGAACTCTTCAGTGCCCTCCCCTTCCCACAGAGGGCTGAAAGGGACTCACTCTTGTTACAAGAACACGGCCACTCCTCCCTCTCTTCCTCTTCCCAGTCCATCCCTCACCCCAGTTTCAGCCACCATCCAAAAAGAAATCGCAGCATGGCCCTTGAAGCACATTGAGCTTAAAAGTGCCTAGAAGATAAAGCCTAAACTTCAGCACGACAGGCAAGACCTTTCAAAATCTGGCCTCGACCATCCTCTCTGGGTCTCCTTTCTGAGAACCCCTATTTTCTGCCTTTTCACAACTCCACACTTATGCATGATGCTGTTTTCCCTCCCTGGCTCACCCACCCCAGTGTTCTTCTTCTGTGATGGTAACCTCCCCAGAAAGTCTCTTGAGCTAGAGTGATCATTATTAAATTAAAAAAAAAAAAATCCTACTTTGTTCTATTCTGATTTCAAAAACCTGAAAGGCAAGATATTTGAGGGAAAAAAGAGAATATTGTTTTGTTGCTTTTTAAAAAATAAATTTGCAGGTCCTGACAATCCCGTGCTTTGTGTGTGCTGATCACACTGCAATCTAATCAGGTACAGTAAATAAAATGACTTGAGAACCTTTCTGACGAATGCAAAGGCTGATGATATTTTGTGGGTGGAGGGCTATTCATGTATCTTCTTTGAGTATACTAAAGATCCATTTAATTAAGTTTGGGGAGGGGGGTTCTCTATCTTTTCCTCTGTCCTTTTTTCCTGAAGCTCTCCTACTGGAAAGGGAATGGAAGAAAACCTTATGTGGAGTCCGGAGTGCCTACCTAAATTACTAAGACAATAAAGGACATACAAAAGAAGATAATCAAATGTTACTTTGGGTACTTGAACACTTGCTAAGAGCATGCATCCTGCAGTCAGTAACATTACCATCTATACTCAGAGGGCAAACGCTAATTTCAAATCCAGAGCAATGTCAAGGATTTATCACTGCAACCCAAAGTATCTTTGCTATCAAAGACAGTGGGGGCATGAACTACAAAGGCAATAACTAAAAAGAGGGGCTCATCTCACACCTCTACTCCTCTCCAATATTGGGAAGTCCATTTGAGTTCTAGAGAGTGCACATGCCAAAATGCAAGTGCGTGCATGCCTGCGTACACACACACACACGCACACCATTCCAACATTTTCCCATATTTTGTCCACTCCCTCTCTTCCTTGTTATGGGTAGCAGCAGTGATAATGCACTTTAATGGAAACCTGCCTAATGAACCCAAAAGGAAAACGATTAGGAAAAAAATATGCAATACATCGCATTGAAAGGTGCCCATAATTAAATTACTTGTTACCGTTTTTAAATAGTGCAAATATTAGTATGCCCACAAAGAACTAAAGGTTTGTTTGTTTTAATCTAGATCTTCCAGAATTGGCTGTTCAGGAACTGCCCATGTTGCCCAAAGTAGCTACTTTTTATAAGAATTTCCCACTGCCTTTGAAATATTCTCTGACATTCCCATTGGCTTAAGTATTCTCATACTTTTCTGCCTAAATTTGTAGTTTCCCAAGTTTAATTACCCCAGAACAATCTGGTCATCAATAACCAAATAAAAGAGGATGGTATTTTTTTCCCTCATAAATCTATTCATCAAGATTCGACCAAGCCTGCCTGGAATGTCCAGCGAAAGCTTCAATAATCAGGGAGAAATGAGTTGCAGAAACTCAAAGAGAACAGAATAGCCAAGGCAGGAGATTACGAAGCCAGGAGATGAGGGCACACTGAATTAAACATTCTTAAGCAGACTTACATACATAATGAATTGGTCAATTCTGTCCAATGTTTCTGAAAGAGATTACCCTTCCAACAAGCCAAATGAGTGTTCAAGGATGGTAGCTCGGATGGATTCCTGAACAAAATAAGTGTTAATCACTTTATCTCCCCCAATCTTTTTTGTGAAGAAGAGCAACTTTTCATTTCCATAAAGCCTTGAAATCGTTGGTCGGCAGGGGATGGGGGTGGTGGGGGAGGGCTGGTTAGAGGATACAGACAATGAAGTCCCTGAAAAGGGGGATTTCCTGACAATAAACCCCTGATCAGAGCCAGAGAGGGGACATTGTTGTCTTCAGCACTCCCCTCTCCTTTGGGAATTCCAGGCGTAGTAGAGAGAAGAGGGTCACAGTGACAACTGCTTGGGAAGGCTCTAACCAGGTAGTCTTTGCGATTTTCTGTTTGGGAAAAGCTGGCCTACAACAATACATTTTCTTGGAATGTGTTCTTTTAAACAAATTGCTACAGACTTTCTTAAGACATCCTGTCAATTGTTCCAAAAATGTGTAATCAGCTTATGAAATCTTTAAGCAAAGAACATTAAATGTTAGCATAAAATCTCATAACTAGTTATGTATTGAGATTCTCCTACACACCAGGCACAGTGCTGGGCACTAAACACATAGCAGCGAACAAACGAAACACAGCGGTCACTACTGTCTGGAAATCACAGTTAGGAAAGACAAAACTGCTTCTTAAATCTCTGTGCACTCCATGCCAGACACAGTAGCCATTCCATAAATATTTGAGGAATGAATGAATAAAAAGACTTCAGAGCTTGAGGTTCATGTGACTCAAGATTTAAAAATAAAAAAATAAAAAAGTAAAAGAAAAGAAAAAGCTAGCAGGTATACTAGAACCAAACACACAAAATAATGAGCCAGAGTGTGCTCCCACAATATTAGGAGAAATGGAACAAGAAATCAAAACCCTCGACATATTGCTCCTATTTATTATTTTAATATCATCGTTGCACAGAACCAGTCATTGGTGGTGCTTTAACAATTCCTCCTAAATAGCTTTGTGACTTAGTCCAAGCACCCAGAGACAGATGAGCCCCAATTCAGGCAAGTCCCCTGTTGAAGGACAACTATTTTCTCAAATGAACAAAGATCTTCTCTTCTCAATCCGCCAGATCACACAGCTTTATAAGTTTGAAAAGTCTTTTTGCTAACCTAGAGGTATTCTCTAACAGAAAGAGGGAGATGGAAAAAGAAAACATCTGCAAGGTGCTGAAACACGCGTAGATTATTTTACCTGATCCAGGAGCCTCCTTCCCTGGTGACTACCTACTCCTCAGAATGAGTGCTGGCCTTCTTAGCTATTCTGGGGAACACAATGATGGAGGCTCCTTTTAGCTCCATCAGGCCCTAGAGAAATAACTGCCCTATATTTAGATAGATGCCCTTTGTAACAAAGGAATAATTCATCCCAGTTAGCACTTTCTAAATGACAGAACCAGAAAGTTTTCGAAAATATTCTTCTAGCTCAGTGGCTCTGAACCAGGGGACGTTCGGCAATATCTAAAGACATATTTTGTTGTCACAACTGGGGGTGCTGCTGGCATCTAGTGGGTAGAGGCCAGGGATGCTGCTAAACCTCCTATGATACACAGGAAAGTTCCCCAAAACAAAGAACTATTTAGCCCAAAACATCAACAGTGCTGAGATGAAGAAATCCTGCTTAAGTTATACATTAAATAAAGAACAGCAGGGCATCTACTGGTGACCCCAGATAGTTCTGTTAAAATATTCTGAAGTAGGATTCTTCTCCCAGAGTCTATGTTCAGCAACTTAACCAGATGTTAAAAACTGACCCGATCTTAGGATGTTAACAATATTTTAAAATAATACTGATGGTAATGGTAACATTAATGAAATGCTTGGTATACAGAGAGTTATAGTGCATATTTACAATGACCCTATGTTGCAAATGTTATTAGTGTCCTCTAGAAGGTAACTGTATTAATCACATACAATAACTCTATGGAGTAGGTGGGTTTATAACCCCCTAGGAAGTGTGTGCTGTGGGCAAGACTTGATCTGTTTTTTTTTTCACCACCATCTGTCCAGCACCCAGCAGAGTGAAATCTCCATTTCAGAAATGATGATGCTGAGAGGCTCAGGAACATGCCAGAGATCACAGGGCCAATAAATGGTGGAACCCCAGTTCAAACCGGGCAGACTGCCTGGTTCCCTAGCCTCTCTCTCTCGCACCGTGCCAGCCGGCCAACTGCTTCATATGTGGAGTCATTGAAACCTATTAGACCTCTTGAGTCTAACCTTAGATAAGCAGAACCAACCTAAGGGGGAAGGAATTAGGCTGCTTTCCAAAGTTACCAAAAGTTTCCCAATATTCAAGAGACTGATTAAACAAACCAGTGACCCCAAGACAATGGTGAAGTACATTTGTATTGCCATGAGACACTTGAAAGCAATCTAAGAGGGTGGCTGGTTTTATAAGAGGTTAACTGCTTCTCAGTTTGAGCAAGACTCATGTGGCACCAGGCACTAGGCACCGGGCAGGCTTCCTGAAGCTAAAATGGCCACTTTCTCAAAGGACAAATGCCCTGCATGAGTGCAGAAACTCTTTGCAACCACTAGGGAGCTAACTCAGGGATCATGGGATTTACATGTGGACCAGACAACAACTTGGCCACCAGTCCAATGGATCCCCAGTGCCAAGTTAACCTTAGCACAGTCTTCGGGTAAAATCTAGATCAATGCTGATTATGTCAGGAGGTCAACTTTCAGGAATTAATACTTTTTGAATGATAAGAGAGTGCAAACATTAATTTAAAGTCTCAGAGAGTATACTAATTTTCCTGTTTTCATCATTTCAGTAGATTCTATAATTCTAGGGGGAAATATCCCATAAGAAATAAATTCTAGCAAGTACTGTAAATAAAGAATTGTATCCACCTTTATAAAAAGACTAAAAGAAGAAGAGATAAGAGCTTGTTTTTTAGTTTTACAATATTGACATAGTAGGCTTTATTTTTTTTTAAATGTGGAAATTTCCCTTTTAGAACGATAAGAATACTAGCCTGGACACTATACAAACATAGTCATTGTACTTATAAGTGCTTTAAGTATTTATTCATAGCCTGCCTTTCTCTACAAAGGAAGTGAGGTGACTTTTAAAAGCATATGTGATTTTTAAAAGGTAAGTAACAGGTGAATCAAAGCAAGGAAAAAGTAAATTTGAGAAAATAATAAAGCCTAGATGGCCAGCACACAGGAATGCATATCCTACTGCCCTAGACAGCTACTAAATGGGTTTCCTGTTTGACTCCAAGCTTCTTGGCCATCAATGCAAAGAAAGAACAAGAATGGTAAGATTAATGCCCAGTAAGATACAGCGAAGTGGATTTTTTTCAGTTCTTCTTGATATAGTAACCTAAGAAGATTCTCTGTAAATCATCATTTAAAAAGACACCATGAGGTGTAATGAGCTATACATTGTAAATAGAACTTTTTAAAAAAAATGATGTTCACGAAACTATTACTCATAATCCTCTCAATACAAAGTGAAGCCTTAATCAGTGTGCAATTCAATAAAGCAGAGAGGGCCTGTGAAGGCAACTGTGAAGTGGGGTGCCACATAATATGCCATCGTGAGCATTCAGCTCTCTCACAAGTCTGGCAGAAATCTCTTATCAAATTAGGTTATCTGGATGAACGGAAGGAAGCAAGGCATCTTCTTCATGCCATTCTCCTTAGATATATTATTTCTTCCAACAGATTTTATTAACACAAACTGGGCAGCAGGGACTTCAAGAAGGACAAAAATCCTGTGTCAAAACCATTACATATGTTGGCAACATTTATCATCAGGAAAAGCGTCCCAGGAAGTTGAATTCTAATGTATGTGTGGTGTTACAATGGAAATTTTAGTGTGCAACTGGAATCAGGCCATGAGTTTTGCCTGTCATCAAATGTATCTGTTAACTTAGGGTTGAACTGCCCCCCACCCCACTTTTTTTTTTTTTGAGACAGTGTCTCACTCTCTTGCCCAGGCTAAAGTGCAGTGCCATGATCTCAACCCACTGCAACCTCCGCCTCCCAGGTTCAAGCAATTCTCCGGCCTCAATCTCCCGAGTAGCTGGGATTACAGGTGCCTGCCACCACGCCCGGCTACTTTTTATATTTGTAGTAGAGACGGGGTTTCACCATGTTGGTCATGGTTGGCCAGGATGGTCTGGAACTCCTGACCTCAGGTGATATGCCCTGCCTCGGCCTCCCAAAGTGTTGGGAATGTAGGCGTGAGCCACCATGCCTGGCCCCTCTTTTTTTTTTTTCTTTTTTTTCTAACTACACCCTTCTCTTTTTCCTCTCTACAACTGAATGGTCTTTCTCCCTGATATAAGAATCTTCTAGATCACTCCCATCCATTGCATTCTTCTTGGTCTTCTGTTATCACTCTTCTTACTCATCTTACTAGCTTTTAACTTGACTACGTTTTCCTTTACTTGGTTTCTGCCTTGGACTTCCACAAGCTTCACCCTAATAATCATGCAGCCTTGAAAAACATGGAGGAAGGAAAATGCTGTCACCTGCCATCTTGTACCTGTTTAAAGCTCCACTGTTTTCAGTGTTTAAACTATGAAGAAAGGCTCCGATGATTTAAGCTGTATAGTCAAAACTACAGTGTCTTCTAGGAATCTAGGATTGAGACAAGATGTAAAAAGAGGAACATGTAATATATTATTTTACCCCACTGGCAATTAGAAATCGTTAGCCAAAGCCAGGATTGGGGAGGATATTCGAAAAGTTATTAATGCAGACAGAGCAAGGCTTTTATGCCACCAAGAAAGTTATTTATTATAAACAATGGGTTTTGAGTCACATGGACAATAGCTATTTTAAAAACAACGAATATATCCAGGAAAGGTGCAAAAATATAAAGGCAGGCAATCCTAGTTTGTGGTGCTGATCTATTACCACTGCAATGACTGTCAATAGTGACCCTGAGCAGAACTCAAACAGTTAAGAAAACTCACCACCTGTTTTCCAAGGAATTTTATTTTTGCTTAAGGTGGTAAGTTTGATACTAAATACGGAGGGTGTTCAATGTCAAGTTGAGGACATAGCAATTTACCCTGCAGGCCAGTGTTCCTAGTGTCTACTATTCATATTAGATTAACTTAAGTGGTGTATAAAAAACTTTTTAAAAGTTTAATAGCTATGCATTTATTGTATGGGTAATCTTTACACATTGCAAGCAATACAGGGTCGCCATATGCAATGGTGATACAAATTAAAAAGTGGGTCAATGTAAAAAATTATAAATAATAGCAGTGATAGGTAGATACAGCAGAAATGAATGTGGCAAATCTGCGAACACATTGCAAGACACTGGAAGTGTTCAGAAGGAAAATGGTAGCTGTCTAAGCTATCCTTTAGAAGATTAAACCAGAAGTAAAGCATAGATTCCATTGAAGGTGAGAAAAGATGACAAGCAGGGAGAGAGGCCTGGGCTAGGATACTGATGGCTGAAAGAAAAGAAAAAGATTATCAGAAGCATAATAAAGAAGACATGAAGACTCCCTGGACTAAGGGAATGAAAGAAGCCAAGTAATCTAAATTAATTTTGAAGTTTTGCACCTGGAAATACGGCACTGAAAAAAACAGAAATTCAAAGGGGAGTTTGGGGGGCAGTGGGGATACAGGTTGCCCTCTGGCTTATGCTGGATTTGAACTGACGGCAGACAGGGAAGCGGTCATAGCCTGGAGAGAGCCACTATGCAGGAGATGAGAAATGTAGATCACAGTAGAGATGAGGATTTGAGACCCTGGGGTAAATTGCAAAAATGGCCACAATTCTCCACACCTCTGTCTATCCATGCCCTTCTGTAATGTAATTTTGTGGCTCCTCCCATCAAGAAATGGATTCTGCGTCCTCTCCCCTAGAACCTGGGCTGGCCCAGTGACTTGCTTTAGCCAGTAGAATGTAGTAGAAGGAACAGTGTGCCATTTCTGGGCCTGGACTCAAGGGTTCTTGTGTACTTTCCTGCTGTCCGAAATACTGCCATCATGAACAAGCCCAGGCTGGCGTGCTGGAGGTGAAAGATACATGCCAGAGAACTGAGGGACCCCGGTGGACAGCCAGCCAACCTCCTGAAGCAAACCCTCCCTGCCAATCTGCAGTTGACTGCAAACACATAAGAGACCCAGAATAGGATAAGCACTGCCCTTCTGAGCCCAACCTAAATTGCTGACATGCAGAATCAGAAACAAAATATGTGTTTTTGAAGTCACAAAGTTTAGAGGCGGTTTATCACTCGCGATAGATAACTGGTACAGACAACACGGGTCTGCCTAGAAAGTGAAAAACATACGAAGGCAAAACAGTAAGAGGTCAAGCTTTAGGAGGATATTCCCAATTCCTAGGAAGAAGGGGGAAAGCTGTAGACAAGACAACAGGGCAATGGCAATCAGAAACATTCAAGTATATAATATCAGGGAACCAGGAACATGGGGGCAGGGGACACAGAGGATAAAAGTGGGGGTAGGAGAAGTCAAGGACTCATCAGGGAAGTATAGCACTGGGCTTAGCAGAGAATCTGCCTAGAGAAGGCACTGGTATTTTTGCATGAATGATTGAAGTTTGATCTGTCAAGGCAGAGCTCGCTGGAGAAGAGTGAGAAGACAGTGTCAGTAACGTAACAAGGAATAGAAGTGGTCTATGGAGTGTTAAGGAGGGCCTGGGTGGGAAAGATATGGAACCCTAGGTAAAGATTACTTGTTTGAAGAATCATTCAGAGAGATGTTGAAGACGAGGTCAACAGAGTTGGACAAAAGTGTAAATGTGAATGGTCCTTTCTCTAGGACCCTACAATCACAAGTGTGGCTGGGACCATCCATGCCAGCATCACTTGGGAATTTGTTAGCAATGCCCACTCTCAGGCCCACCCCAGACCCACTACCTGTCTTTTATCCACATCCCCATGTGCCATTCAAGTTTGAGAAGCTCTGCTCTAGGAAGTACAAAGACAAGGAACTGAAGAGCATTTAATGACATCTTGAGAAAGTCATTCTGTTTTGAATTCCCTTTCAATCCCCCAGATAAAATAACACAAAGTCTTGCCTTGGTACTAAGCCATCTTCGACACCTCCCTAACACTTGCAAATCTCCCTTTTCAACAGAGTTCAACAGAGAGCAGAGCCTTAGGCAAGCAAGGTCTCCAGTGAGATTTGAAAAACACTGTTTACACCCCTTTTGTGTTTATTTTTAGGATTTTCTTTTATGTGTGGAAAGCAATCAGGTTTTCCATTTGCAGTAGTCTTAATTTCACATTAATTTATTTAAGAGAAAAAAAGAGGTAAATAAAAATATGTAGCATATAATAATGTGGATGCAAATGAGAAGACAGCAAAAGTTGTTACAAGTGAGGTGGCACTCAAAGCGAAGACTGGAAAATCTATAGTGGAAGTCAGAAGACATCTGGGCACATTTGAAGGTAGAAAGGCAAGAGACAGGAAAGATGGGAGCTGTTTGCAGAACAAAGAATATTCAACAGGCAGGAAGGACTGTTGGAAGGATTTATCCCAGAGTAGAAGCTGCCCTCTCTGGGCCTGGAAGAAAGAAAGATCTGGTCCCTGAATGGGTGAGGATGACAAATCAGAGATCTAAGGCAGATAATATCAAATTCTTCATAAGTAAAAGATTGGAGGTCCCCTCTAAAATGAGGGTAGGTTGGTTTGACTGGGACTGCAAAAGAGTATGAAAGACTTGGAATATCCATTGTGGACAATGACCAAGAGAACAAACAGATGAAAAGGATTCCGCAGCAAAGGCCCAGGGACAGTCAGGCAGCATTAATTTTTAGTAAGGAAAATGGACACAGTTTATCCCAAAGCTGAGAAATGAAACTCTAAGGCTGACACAAAAAATACAACAGCAAAGAAAGGGGGCAGAGGAGATTAGGTAGTAGTGGCAAGCATAGCTGACAAGTCCTCATAGTCAAGGTTACATACAAAGTCAAAGGTTGGCTAGGTGCAGTGGCTCATGTCTGTAATTCCAACTCTTTGCAGGGCCATGGCGAGAGGATCACTTGAGGCCAGGAGTTCAAGACCAGTCTGGTCAACATAGTGAGACCCCATCTCTACAAAAATATTAAAAATTAGCTGGGTATGGGGTGTGCACTTGCAGTCCTAGCTACTCAGGAAGCTAAATCAGGAGGTTTGCTTGAACCCAGGAGTTTGAGGCTGCAGTGGCTATGATCACACCACTGCACTCCAGCCGGGGCAACACAACAAGACCCTGACTCTTAAAAAAAACAAAAAAGAGTTAATGGAAAAGGCCAGTAGACTGGACTCTGGGAACAAGATTCTCAGTGGATATAGGGATATAAGAAGTGAGAAATAAACTAGGTTTGATCAAAAAGGAAAAACATCATGTTTTTAAAAAACTGGTTTTTAAAATGTCAACTAAATATTAACTAGTGTTCAAAATTTTGTTACCAAGAGTTGGGACTTGATAAATGGCACTACAAAAACTCAGGAAAAATTTTGAAAAGAAGAGAAATTTGGGCCTAAAATGCAGGTAATCAATTAAAATTAGGACATAATGATGTGTGGTTCTTGCAAAGAACATAAATCACTGGGTATTTTAAGTGTGCCCAAAATAAAATCCCAAAACTGAAGAAAGGCCTGAAAAGATATAAATCTTATTACAGTGTGTCTCTCTCACCAAAAGAGGATCATCCAAGAAGCACATAAAAACTAAAACTTTGAAGTTTAGGAAAAACAAGAACACTACAGAGTATACATAAAATTTCAAACTTGGAGATACCCAAGAAGGGTTTCTCAGACCTCACCCATCGCTCACTCACACACAGCACACTTGCTGAACTACCTGGTGTCCCTTCCTCTCCACTCACTCCTTCCACAGTAATTGAGAGTTTCACTGGGCACATGGCCAGCCACAATATAAAGTACATTTCCTGAGTACCCAAGTGTGGCCATGTGATGAAGGCTAGCCAGTGAGATATAAGCAAAGTGGCATGTGGCAGCTTCTGGAAACCTCCGTTTGCCCTTGATCCCCTTCAATCCCCTTCGTCCTTCTTGCTGGTCAAACCATGGAGGTTGACTAGAGGTCAACCTTGAGCCATAAGGATAAGGGTCACAGGATAGCTAGAGGCAGCTTGGCTCTTCAGTGTTTAAGAAGCCTCCATACTAGCCTTGGACTACTTCCCTCTAGATTTGGTTAGGGAAACAAGAAATGAGTATCTACTTCATTTAAGACGTTGCTGTTCAAGATTTTTTCTATTACATGTAAGTTGAACCCTAATGTACCCTCTTTGCTATTATGGGGGCCTCCTATTCCTTGACCATTTCTTCAATGGCCTGAATAGTTGGATTAAAAGCAGTCACTTCAATACCACATTTCCCTCAACTCCTGTTCTCTCATCCCTGCCTAGGCAAAATCCACCACCAAGTCAGCTTCATAATCATTGTTCTCTTCCTGCCACCAACACATCAAATACTGATAAAAAAAATTAAAAATAAAATGTAAACTTAAACACTTCTAATAGGGATCATCACAACTGTAGTCCAACTCCTTGAAAATGGACAAGTGACTTCACTGCTGCATTCCTATTGCCTAGAAGTGTCTGACCCATACTATGTCAACACATATTCACTCAAATACTAAACTACAACCAGATCTTCTGCTCAACAGTATTTTTATTCATCTCTAGTTCACTTCTTACCACATTTTATGTGCCAGGCACTTCTCTAAATGTGAGATGTACCATGTGCATCAAAGTAAATACACCCCCTATCCTCATGAAGTTTACATTTCAGTGGAAAGAGATCAACAAGAGCAGATGAATAAATGAATAATCAAGAAATTCAAATAGGGTACATGCTATGAACAAAATTATGAAGGTAGAGAGATATTAATTAGAGAGATGGGGAAAAGGATATTTTAGAAATTGAGATTTTTTTAATGGTCAGGACATACTTGAAGGTGATATCTGGGCTCAGACATAGGTGCTGAGAAGAGGCCAGCCAAGTGAAGACATTTGGGGAGAGGGCTCTAGACAGAGAGAATATCAAGTTCAAAAAGATGGGATGAAGGCTGGTACCGTTAAAACACATAAAGCGAGGGTAGAGGGGAGGAGTGGTAAGAAAATGAGGTAGGAAAAGTACACAGGGATAGATCTCAGGCTTGTCAATCAATTCCCATGCCCATACATATTGTTCTCTCTCTCTCTCCTCTCTTCCCCAACATCTTTTCTACTGAAATAGATATACACTATATATATATATATATATATATATATATATATATATATATATATATATACATGTGTATATATAGAACAAGATATATTTCTCACTCTATATCCATACAGCCACTGAGAATCTTATTCCCATAGTCCAATCCACTGGCCCTTTTCCTTAACTCTTGACATTTTTAAGAGTCAAGGTCTTGCTGTGTTTCCCAGGCTGGAAGTGCAGTGGTGTGTGTGTCTGTGTGTGTGTGTGTGTACATATATATGTATATATACACATGTGTGCACATATTTACATATTTTATATATATATGAATCTTCAGCCATCTTCCCTTTCTTTCCTATTATCACAAAGAAATAGTTACCAAGGCTTCATTTAAGGGCTAACTCTCCTTTATCTACAGTGTTCGTTCCAACAGCAACTGACCACCCAATCCATCATTCAATAGCTCTCTCACTCTCTCTCTAATCTCTTCTTCAAACATGTTCAGACATTGTCTTGAAAATATCTTCTCATTAGCCCCACTTCAAAATGTCACCCTCTACCTATACACACATATATGTATGTAAACACATACATATGCAAATGTACCGAGACACACACATACACAGTTTACTAGTACCTACTCAATACAACCTAGGATCTTTCACCAGACATTCTAGTGTCTCCACAGTTTGTTCTCAACCAACCACATCTCCCACCATGGAAAGAGAAAATCTCATATCCATAGAATATCCAGGTGACCTATAGGTTTCTTGAAGGCAGACCACATCCAATCTCAGCCTCAACAAGAAGGGCGTTCCTAATATAAACAATATTTATGATATTTACATTACATAAGCACAGGCTCATTTTGGTTTCCACAAAGAATAATAATAAACATAGACAATGGAAATCCTCAGAAATCTTCAAAATCATCAAGCTTCACTCCAGTTAGCCGTTTCAATGGACTTTGCTTTCCTATCCTACACCCACATTCTCTCATTGTGACATCAGCACTTTGTTTTTCCTCCAAAGAACCACTGCTCCATACTCTTAGCTCCTGTGGCTTCCAAGAAGATGACAGTGTCCAGCTCCCCCACTGGTATGCCTACGTGGCTACGAGCCTGGGCATGGGACCCAAGTCTATCCAATGAGACTTGATCCAGAAAAGCTGCTGAAACATGCAAGAAAGAATCTCTCCCTCTTGAAGAGGCTGAGCTGTGAGAATGTAACTTGGAGCTGCTGCTGGACAACTTCCCACTACTTGAGTACAGCCTGGCTGATATGATAAAAAAAAAAAAAAAAAAAAAAGAAAGAAAAAGAAAAAAACAGATGAAAGCAGAGCTAATATAAGAAAGTCTTGATAGCATCCCTTGAGACTCTAGATCCAGCTATGCCTGAAACAAAACTTACAATCCCTTTTCTATTTAACTCAGTTTGACTGAAGTCTTTTTCTCACTTGCAACCAAAGCATTTTTACTAAAACAATCATTTTAACCACTTTTCCATTAAACATTTTTATTAGAATTTTTAAATAAGTCAAATAATAAGGGTTGAATCTCTCATTAAAGATAAGTTGGCATCAAGGAGCAGCACGATGGATCTACCGAGTATATTTTATTAACTGTTTGATATTTCTAGATTTAACTCATCCCCTTTTGAAGAAGATCAACTTCCAACCAATCATACATATTTAATAAAAGTTTTCTAGTCAGGTCAGCATTTTGAACTTCTACTTCCTACACCTAGGAGATTTTTTAAAGAAACTGTAGAATTTTTATTATTCTACAGTAAATCCCTTGCTTATTACAAATTAGCTGTAGAAATTGCTGGAAAAAATCTCACAATTTGGTACAGTTATACTACATCCATTTAAAATAAATTGAATTTTAAAACTCACTCTTATCACCATCTTTGACATAATTCTTCTGCATAAACAATTTAGTCAATGTAGATAAGGCTACATTAAATTTGCAACATTTGGAATAGAAGGACCCAGCTTAAAACCTCACTCCCCCAAAAGAATGAGTATATATCATTCAAATATGAATTTAGAGTAAAAACTCAAATGTGTCTTCATATTAGCCCATTTGTCTATCTTCAAATTCTTCTTTTACAAACAAAGCAAAATTGAATTAAGATTAAAGATAGAATGTTAATCATACAAGAAGGGCCATTTTCCAGGGCCTGGCATGTTTTACACAAGCATGAAACATATTTAAGAGAACATGGCCTCCCTGAGGAAGAGATTAAGGATACAAACCTAGGAAACAAAGAAAATAAAACGATCTACCTCAAAGGGATAAGATTAACCTGTGAGAAGCTCATGCGGACCTTAAATAAAAGCCTCTACTCCTTATATTTTTAAACAGGATTTTTCTTTTTTTTTTAGAGCACTAATTCCACCTTCAAAATATATTTGAGTTTGTAAGTATACTCAACAAAAATCCTGTCCTTTCTTATTAACCATACTCAAAACAGATTCTCTAAAATAGTTATGACACCATTAACATTTCATGAAATCCAAAACAAATGTGTCTTCCAAAAAAATAAATGTTTTCATTCATAAATGGCTAATATGGTTTTAAATTATGTTATCACAAATTTTGCATCATTCCCCCTTAATAACCATTTAAGAATGTTTCCTTCCAAATAGCTATTAAGAGAGAAAGGATGTTTCATCATGCATACACACACATAAACACACACTCCTTGTTTATGTCATTGTTTTTAATGGTGCAGTAGGATTTCCAAATTCTTCAAGTTTCACACATTCAAGAATGTTTCCTTCCAAATAACTATTAAGAGAGAAAGGATGTTTCATCATGCAAACACACACATAAGCACACATTCCTTGTTTATGTCATTGTTTTTAACAGTGCAGTAGGATTTCCAAATTCTCTGTTTCACATGTTACTTCCTAAATTACTGCCTCACTGACTGGGAAGTTGAATTGGCAACACCAGCCAATCCTCAGGTCCAAGGATGTTGTCCTTGCATTTCCTGTCTCCTTCCTCTTGAAGGACTCAAATTCATTTCATTCATCTGCTTTACTACAAACAGAAAGACTCCATCTTTGGTTGTTCAGCCCCAAACTCTCTCTTGAGTTCCAGTGCATGACTCTGTGAGAATATACCACTGAAATATCCAAAATGAGCTTGATCTGGTTATCTTTCCTCAAAACCAGCTTCTCCTCTCTCCGCTCTGCTTCCACTCAAGGTCTTACCATTCGTCCAGGCCCCAAATTCAAACACCCTCAATCGTTTCTGCTTCCTCTTTCTGCCTTCCAGTCGGGAGGTTCTGTTTAGTGCTTTCTTTTCTTTTGCATCCAAATTCACATCTCCTTGATTCAAATCCTTCCCATACCTTACCTCAACTGGGTGATGGCATCCTACTCCCGGTCTCTCCTACTCTTGCCGGGGCCTACACCATTCTACTCAAAAGGTCAGATCAATCTTTACAAAAGTAAAACTCTAACCAATCCACCGGTCCACTTAAAATTTTTCAGGCTGGGCGCAGTGGTTCACACCTGTAATCTCAGCACTTTGGGAGGTCAAAGGCAGGAGGATCACTGGCGGCCAAGAGTTCAAGACCAACCCTGGTGACACAGCAAGACCCTATCTCTGCAAAAAATAAAATGAAAAAGTTAGCCAAGCATAGCGAACACACACCTGTGGTCCCAGCTACTCAGGAGGCCTGAGTAGCTGGGACCACAGGTATGTGTGCATCTCTTGAGCCTGGGAAATTGAGACTACAATAAGCCATGGTCACTGCACTCAAGCCTGGGTGACACAGCAAGACTCCATCTCAAAAAATATTTATGTGTATATATATATTCCTCGAATGCACTCAGTTGCAGACACCGTTGACTTTCCAACAGCCTTCTTCCTTGCTAACAGAGCATAACACTAATTAATTATGCTCACGTAGCAATGCCCAGCCTCAAGGGATATTGGATTGGTCTAAACTGATCAAAGTAATCTTCCTCTTTGCTAGTGAGTAGCCTAGGGTTGGTACGCAACCCATTTCTGACCAATAAGATAAAAGAGACGGTCTAGTGGAAAAGCTTTTCCTTCTTGCCAAGAGATGTACAGGAAGAGAAAGTACTCATTTGTGACCACTCCCACCACCATCACCTTGCTTCTTATTTTGTGTGTTTTCATGTGACGATGTGACACCCAGAGCTACAGCAGCCAACTTGTAGCCATGGGAAGACTGATAAAACTCCAAGGATAGCAGAATAAAAAGAAAATCAAAGAAGGGCTCTTCAAGACATGATTGAACCATCCAAAACAACCTGGCACTGCCAACCCAAAGACTTCTTTGAAGGTAAACAAGTGTCTTTTATGGTTTATGCCACCATTTGTTGAGTTTTCTGTTCTCTGCAGCCCAAAGCACTCTAACTGATAAACTTAGAAAGAGCAAACTCTTGACCTTAGAAGGCCCTCTGCTTGATGTGCTACTCAAAGTGTAGTCTACAGACCCACAACCTTAGCATTGCCTGGGAGCCCAGCCCTGGGCCCATGAATCAGAATCTCCAAGGGTAAAGTCCAAAAGCCTGTGTTATAACAAGCTCCCAGGTGGTTCTTGTGCATGGTAAAGTTTGAGAAACACTGCCCTACAAAATGATCACAAATTATTTTTTACCATCTCAGCTACTACCGTACATAGCATGAGATGCACTTGATCTGCAATTTGTCTGGTGGCAGTAACCTTTCCGGGTTTGAGCATCATTTGTTGCTCCTTTAGTTTCTTCTCCTCTTAATCAAAATCTTCAAACTTGAAGCCTTCAGGTCCTGAGAGGATTACAAAGGTCTGAATATGAGACAGGCTGTGAAACAGGCCGTGATGAACTATGGGGTACAGGCACATCTGAAGGACACCGAGCAGATGTTGCCATACAAGGATATTGGTTCAGTGTTGCCAGATGTCTAAAGAAAAGCTGGAATCCAGATTTATATGCAAAGTTTTTTAGATATAGACAACCAAGCCTTTTTTAATACTCTGCAGATTAAACAAATTTTCAAGTGGATTCACATCCAGCTGAGTTTGTGACATGAAGTAGATTCCTTGAAATATCGACACATACTTTGAAAACTGTGACCACCTACATGCATTGACTTCATTTGAAATGACTAAAATTAATTTTCTTTGGCTAACTATATGCTAGTCTCTACTGAGCACAGGGTCTTCATCAGTAGCCCAGCATCTGGAGTGGTCAAATAGTTTGTGGACCTCTAGTTAGGAGCAGCAGGACTGTTTTATCCATTAGTCACTATACACCACACACTTAGAACTGCAAGCTTCTCATGGGCCCACAACAATGTTTAAAATGTGAGAAAAAAATAAACTGGCCACACATCACCAGAAAACTACAAAATTACAACTAATAGATGTGAAGCTAAATATTTACAAAATGTAAACTAAGTCAACGGATCCATATCAACTCAGATATGGTATCATATCACATTAGATTAAATGCAGGATGTGGATGCATTTTAATGTTTGATGGGGCATGGAAGGGAGCTCAGATCAATAGTGCTTAGAGCTGCCAAGGTTCTAAAAAGGCCCTGGGTACCAACCTGAAGCCAACCATTCTGTGGTAAGTCTGGTCTTCACAGGTGTCACAAATTTCTTTACGCAGCTCTACTCCATTCTATTGAACTGTCTACATAGTTGGACATGGGAGCAGAACTGTCCACATAGTTGCATGTAAACCATAAATGACTTATTAAAAAGTTATGTTTGGATCCTCATCTACATATGAATTTAAGACAAGAAGTACAAGAATCAGCACACAAGCAAGTTTTGAGGGTCCCACATAATGATTTTAATTATTTTTTGTTAATTTATTCCAACATTTAAAATTCATGATAATTCACATAAAAACCCAGATTATCATCCTCTTGAAAAAAGAATTGTAAAGTATAGAGATATTGGACCCAAATGTTGGCATGGCAACACTCTACTAATGCTGACGAAGGCTATCCCTTTAAATGGGGTATGTTCTCTACTTGGCCGCAAACCCTGTCTCCATGTAGGCTAACTTGCTGTCCCAAGAGACAATTGAGTTTATGCCCCCTAGTTTAAGGCTCTTAGGAAAACCTTATTTCTTTTTCACAATGTGGCTTCAATATCTTACGTGAAGACCTGTCGTGATAGGATACAGGAATCTCTCAATCTAAGAAGAGTTTCAATCAAATTCCCCCCAATATGTTCTCAATTTGAACCATGATCCCCAAGAAGATTGACAAATGACAAATTACCCTGCAGTTTCTTTTGCCCTTCAAGCTAGCCAAGGCAGAAGCCCAATCAGGTGGAGTCAAAGCACTAATATAAGAATGTCTTAATTAATCAAAGTGATCAATAAATAATACACATAATAATTAGAAAGCAAAGTCTGGGACTGATAGAATAAAAACAACATAGCACTAATCTAAGTAAGGGTGAGAGGTCAATAGCCATAATTCAAAAGGAAAAGCCCTAAAAATATGCAGAAATAGCTAGTAACTGGAGTTTAGTCCAAGTTTGTTAACAACCCACTGTATGATTTCACCTCACACCCACATTAAACACAGTATCTTATTTTGGGATGGCAGAATTCTGACAACTACAGGTTGAGTATCCCTTATCTGAAATGCTTAGATCTAGAAGTTTCAGATTTAGGGGTTCTTTGGATTTTGGAATATTTGCATTATACTTACCAGTTCAGCATCCCTAATCCAAAAATCTGAAATCCGAAATGTTCCAATGAGCATTTCCTTTGACTGTCACATCAGTGCTCTAAAAAGTTTTGGATTTTGGAGTATGTTGGATTTCAGATTAGTGCTAAATTATATTTGCTAATTGATATTCTGTGTATTGTTTTCTTACTGGTGAAAAGACAAATTGAACTCAGGAAAGAAAAATTACAAATATATAGTCAAAGAGTCACCAGATCATTTGAGCAACATAATGAGTTTTTATTTCTTAATATACAGGGTTTAATTTGTTAACCACACCAGAAAAAGAAATGTTCAAACAGTCGACTTTCTACTTGAAATTAAAATGGAAATTAGCCCTTAGGAAACAGTGATGACTTTAAGTTTATACATCAGTGGCTGGTTCATGAATTATTAACTGATTTTAATGATCCTGGCTATATTTTATTTGAAGTTATTCTCCTACTTGCAACGACTTTTGAACCCACAAAACTCTTTCATCCATTCTCCACAGACACAGTACACTTTCATGAGCACTGACATTTGAAAAGGATCCATATACTCACAGAATGTAAAGATAATACACATGCATATAATTGATACAAAGGACTCTGGTCATTTGTTAAAGAGAGTAATGAATGAAACCCTATTATTCACGGTTTGTAAATAAATTTAAAGATAAGCGCTAACTTTCACTTGTTAAGCCTAGAGCCAAGAGTTCGGTGTTTCTTCTAAAGTTTCCCAGATGGTCATTAAAACAAGAGAGGGAAGAAACATACTTTCTTTGAAATCCATCATTTCCCATCCAGAAAGATAATACATGTCATCAAAAGTTAAGTCTTTAGAGATTAATTAATAATGTGAGTATTTTCAAATAAAATAAATGCATGTCTTTATATGCTAGTTTTTACATTTTCAGTATAAACCTATATTGAACAGCACCACTTCAGACACACAAATTAGCTGTGAAACAAAATGCTATAAACCTTTAATTAGCACTTGCTGCTTTATACCCATAAAGTTAATACTTCCTCTTCTACTATATTCTCTGTAAAGGAAAATTATGGGAAATAAAATTGTGTTTTTCACTTCCGAAAATAAAAGTAGCAAAATATAGTATTGTGGCTCAGTTTAAAGATAGTTATATTTTTACTTGCAAGGAAGTCAATACAAAGATCCCTTACAATAAGTATAATTTGATTCCTACCAATATTAAGCGCTATGTCTAACTTTCATAACTTGGGTACACAGAGCACTGATGACGATCAGATTGCTAAATAAGTAAGAAAGCAAGTTATTTCAGGCAAATAGCTGCATTAAGAAAATACGACAGTAAGCCAACTTGTATCCACACTCCTGAAGCTGAACAAGCATCTCAATAAATAATGTCTGTTTTCAAGCTTTATATACCCTCCCTGAAATAAATGTTCTGAGCTTAAATAGACTCAAAATAGCCTTTCTCAGAAAATAAAAAAGAGACACACACAAAACACCCCCAATTTCCTCTGGTCCCTTGAAGTACCCTTGGGATCCCAGTGAACAGAGATTTGCCACGCATTGCAGTGACTGCATTTGTACAATAGGTTTCTATTTTGGTGTCATTCGAGTGTTGCAGATCTTAAATCAGAGAAAGAAGGAGTTACATTAGGCAAGGTAATGGCTTCCAAAAATAAGAGCATGCCCAGTTTATACAAGGCTTGCATCCACATGCTAAGTTGTAAGGAGATAAATAATACCCCACTGGAACAATTAGGTAGATTCTCAGAAACACTACATACTTAATTAGGCTGCCTAAGTCCCTTACTGAGCATACATGGGGGACTTTTTAAAGCATTTAATAACCTGAGTAAATCCAAAATCAGAGGACACAAACTAATCCTTAACTCTGGCTCCAGCGATCGGCCTTTTCTTGCCTCTCTATAAATGCTTAGCGTAGCCCTTAGAATTCGGAGAGCAGGAACGCTCCAACCACCAAAGGGTTAAAGCACACGGAATAAAGTCCCCTCGATCTATATTTTTTGGGAGGCCCCTCTGTGCCAGACGCTGAGCTGGGCGATGATGACACGCGAGGGCGAGCAAGAGAGACCCTAATGGTCTTTTACAAACTTCAGCACTAGAGTTGGGAACGCAGTATAAACAAATAGAAAGGAACACGAGCCTCCATCAGCCACGGGGCACAGCAAACTGTTCCTCACTCTAGATGCAATTCCTCCTCTTCCTGTTATTTATTCATTAGTTTTGTTTAGCACCTTTCTTTCAGCAGGCTCCTTATTTCCTCCTGTTATCCAAGCAATCACAAACAAACTACGATTTGAAAGAAAAAGAGAGGGAGGAGGGAGGAGCAGGAGGAAGGGGAAAGAAAACCACATTCAAAAGGCACAGGCCATTCAGAGCCCGGCTGTTTCTCTGAATCTCGCCCTCAGGGTGATGTTTTCGACAAATTCGGCGCTGGGGGCTTCAGGGAGGACAGAGGACACCGGATGGTGGGGGGGAATTCCGCGCGGCCCGGGTACCAGGGCTGCGACTCTCGCCCGCCTCGCTGCTCCGAGCGACGCCCGCTGCCCTTCTGAGGTCCACCTCGCCACCTGGAACGCTCGGTCCTCGAAGTTGGCGCAGGGGGAGGTGGAGAAGGTGGAGTGACCCCAGGGTGTGGTGTGGAGGTCTCCAATCCCGATCTCCCCGAAATGCAAAACTTAGCCCCCCCAAAAAAATGAGAGGAAAGAAGCCACTTACTCTAAGCGGGGAGGGGCGGGCACCCCGGTTCCGAGGTCCAAAGTGCCCTAACGAAAGGGCAGCAAAGGCCACCTGCGGGGTCCCACCACTTCCCCCCACTCCCCTGTCCAGGCATACTCAAAAGTTTGTTCCTTTCCGTCCGTAAGCGGCCCCGAGGCCGGCTCTGGAGTAGGTGGGGGAGGTAAGAAGGACTGGGGGTGGGGGAGGGCAAGATCATCGGACCAGGAGATCAGGGACCCCTGCGTAGCCCCCACTCAGTCCAGGGGGGCTGCGATCGTGTTTACTAATAACAGCAACAAACAATCACACGCCAGCCCTTCTTTCAGTCCTCGGGCTCTCTTCGCTTTTTGGGGGCAGCAAAGGAGAGTCTGGCGGGGAGGTGGGAGGGAGCGGAGGGGCTGAGGAGAGCGCCGGCTGGGGGACAAAAAGCGGCGTGGGATGGGGCAGAAAGAGAAGCGGGGAGAGCTGGACAGAGACGAAGGCTCAAAGGTAGAAGAGACATGGGAGGAAAGAGGCCAAAGAAAAGTGCAGCAGGCGGTGAGCCCGAGCGCGGGGCGCGCCCAGGATGGGGAGGTGGCCCCCGCCCCCCGGCCCACCGGCCCAGCCCGGTCACCTTGCTGTAGCCGTAGTACCCCAGGCACTGCGCGAAGTCCAGGCTGGCAGGGTCCCCGGCCGCCGCGGGGTAGAACCTCACATCCATGCCGAAGCTGGGCCCGGGGCCGGGGGCCGGGACTGGGGTTCGCCGGGGCCGGGACCCGCCTCCTCGCCGCCGCTAGATCCACCGTCGAGGGCGCCCGGGGGTGGCGCGTGGGACTCGCGGCCGGAGGGGCGCCGGGACCCAGAGCCCGAGGAGCTCGGGAGCCGCGGCCGCCGCACACAAAGGCGCGGCCACGCGAGCCGCGGGAGAGCGGGAGGCGGCCGGGGGGACGCGCCCCGCCGGGGCACCGAGGCAGCGCTGCGCGCGGGCCGGGCGCCGGGGGCGCGGGGCGCGGCGCTGGGGCCCGGGTCGGCGAGGCGAGTTCAGGTGCGCTGGGCGAGGCTGGGACGGCGGCGGCGGCGGCGGCTGGCCCCGCTCCTCCTCCTCCTCCCCGGGCGGACTGAGGAGACGAGCCGCGGAGACAAGGGGCCCGGCCCCTCCCCTCCTTCTCCCCCTCCTGCCTCAGCCGCCGGTCCCCTCCCCGCGCCGCCGCCGCTCCGCCCCTCCCACCGCGGGCAGCTGGCGCGCCGCCCGCCCCGCCGGTGCGCTCCTCGGCCCGGACCGCCTCCGGGAGCGCCCACCCCGCCCCGCCGGCCCCATCACCCCCGCCGCGGCCGCCCCCTCTCCGGGGCCCCTCTTCTCCCTACCTCGCCCCCCTTCCCGCTCCGGTCCTCTTTGTCCCCACTGCCTCGGAGCGCTCCTCTCTCCCCTCCTTTCCTCGGCCGAAGCGGACGCCAGCCCTGCGTCCCGTGTGTCCCACCCTCCTCCTGCGCGACCACAGCTTCCCCGGGCCCCAGCATCCCCAAGCCGTCTGCTCCCTTCCTGTCGCTTTCCTCCCCATGACCCCCTTCCTTCTTCATGGGTGCCTGTCCCCGGGCCCCTCTCCTCGACCCCGCCTTGCCTTTCGAATGTCCCCTGCGTGGACACACCTAACCCAGACGCCAACCTGCACGAGTGTCTCCCGGTAGCCGGGAGCCGGGACCCCAAGTTCACCTGTAGGATTTCCCAGAAGGGGTGTTGGGGCCTGACCTTTCACAGGTAGGCAGACTTGAAGCTTCCCAGGTGAAGCCTCGTGTCGGTTCTCTTCGTATTCTCTTTGCTCTTGTTTGTATTCGAAAGGCATTTGAGTAACTGGATCTAGGCAGATCATTCACTGCTCTGGGAGAGAAAATGTCCCTATTTTCCTAAAAGGTCCTAGCTGATTAACTTCCCCACTCTACACTCACCCACCCCTCTTTATTTCTTTATCTTTCTTAAGCTCCATCTTTTTATTTAATTTTTTTTCTCATCGGCTTTATTGCTTTGAGTTAATCTGAGAGTTTGGCCTTCAGCCTTGGCGAAGGGAAGGGGCTTTATACTAAATGGGAACGTTGTGGAGAGGCCGTGAGATCTGCGCCCTCCCCAGTTTAGTTATCTGCCAGCTACTTTAACCAGAGTGGCGACATTCTGAAATATTTCCTATGACACTCGCTAACAGTTTCATCCCCTGGTCACACCTTGCTGGCCCAGGGCCTGAGCTTTTTCAGACAAGCATGACATGGGTTTTCTTTTCATTTCTTCTGTTCTCCAGAGTAGATCGGGCTTGTGACACCTGTGTGTGTACCTTCACTCAATATTATCTTTCTGGAACGGAGCAGAAAAAAATAAACTTCAATTAGGTGAAAGTTTGTGTATTTGCTCTTCTCTTAGCAAAAACTTGGGTCAGGAGACTACTGCATGAGAGAGCAGTGTGTGTTGAGAAAAGAAACAACTGCCCACGTTGTCCCTGGGTTGACTCTGATCCCCACCCTCCCGAAAAAGCTTTGGTTTCCCCTCCCTAGTCTCCATTTAACGTTGACAACCCAGCGGTGCTCCCTAATGGCCCAGCAGGTTGCACAAATTGACAGTGAGCTGAGATATTATCAGGACAACACCCCATTGAGCAAGTTCTTGAAACGCAGAAGTGGAGGCCCTTTCTCTGGGCCACTGGGCGCCTGTGGCCTTTCCACCAATCAGAGCTGGAGGTTGCAGTGGCCACCTGTTGTCTCGCAAGAGAACATCTTTTAAGTTTCGCTATTAGTATTTAACAATGGCCTACAGAGCAGGATCTGGCCACAGGAGAGGAGCAGTGTGATGATCTGGGGTACCAAAAAAGAATTTTTTAAAAAAAAAATTTTACAGATAGCTCTTACAAGGAGCCAAAACTCTGGAAAGCTAAGTTTTTCTTTGCACACTCACAATCCTCACCTTCTGCTCATTCTGTTTTGCATCTGAAGCAATCTGAGCTTGATTAAAGGATGAAGAAAAGTATAATCAAAGTTACAGAGACTAAACCTGAACTTGTAATCAGACTTCGAGGATCAGGAATATAAATACGCTTCGCAGTGGAAACCCGCTAGCTGCAAGAATGGGAATTGCAAGTGGGCTGATGTACTGCATTCAGCTTTGGGCGGTAGAGCCTAGAAAATGAAGCGAGAACTTTACCCCTAAGGCTCTCAGGAGTTAGGAATGCTCGGTGACAATCCCTAACTCCTGGCCATTGTTTTGGAAAAGTCTTTCTCTTAAATTTCCCTTCCCTGTTAGGATGCAAATACCTTTGTGAAGGGAACAATACTCATCTGTCTGCATTTTATTATTTGATTTAGGATATAAGGTAAGCAAAAGATCTGAGTTTAGATTTTGATTTAGAGGGAGGGGAAGAATCCGGGTGATGAGCTGAAGATGTGTATGTTGAGGCATTTAGAATGAGAAAATCACTGGAACAGAAAAAGGGCATTGGTGAAGGCTGCTGACTTGACGATTTAGCCCAATCTCCACGCATTTGGCAGCTATCTTTATTTATTGTTTTTTTTTTTTTTTTTTTTTTGAGTACCTACCATGTGCCAGACATGATTTTAGGCACTTGTGAATGAGAAAGAGGATTCAATTCCCGACATGACACATATAGAAGTCCTCAAAGAGGACTATGATTTTGGCTCTTGGAACACAAAATACACACGAACTCACATGCACACGTGTATACATGCCCTGAACCATCCCAGTCACCTGGAGATACTGTCATGGCACAGCCACTAGCTGCTGTTGAGAGAAGCGACATGAAAAACAAACTCACATACAGTGTGAAGGATGCCAGCTTCTACACCCCCATGGTATTTGTATAAGAAGGCTCAAGGGATGAGGCAGTGCATCCCTTGCTACATCATTGCTGGATCCCAAGAACCTCAGACCATGCTTGATACATAGTTTGTTTGCAGGAAATAAATATTCATTAAAGAAAGAAAGTTTAGAAAGAACATGGGAAGGAAGAAGGAAAAAAACACAGAATGTTTTAATAGTGTAATTTATTTGCAGGGAACCTTAAGGCAGGATTTGAGAAGAGTATATCCAGGACCTCTGATGTGAATTAGAACAATCTACTTTGGGTGGGGTGGGGGCCTTTTGCACCCTGCTGTTGTAGACCCTTCGCAGACATAAAAACTAAGATCCTATGTGGTTTCCTTTAGAACTGATCTGATTACACTCTCCATTGCTTTCGCACTATCATCTAATTTTAAGAGTTCCAGTGGTTTTGAAGACTATCCATTAAAAACTTTAGAATAATGCTTTAAAAAATTAAATGCAATTGTAACTGTCATGGTATTTGTTATCTTAAGGGTGTCACTATTTTCAGTCTGTCAGCAGTCTTGTTTCTGAAAGCCATAGACAAAGGTTTCCTTTATACTGGATTAGCCTTGAATTTGAAGAACCTTCTCCAAGAACATATCTTAAATATGCTTTGAATTTATGCTGAACAATGCTAACAGTTATTGATTTAGAAGGGCAGCAGAAGAATCAATTCTGCAGCCAAAATACAACTTCTGGGCATAAGAAAATTCCTTTAGGGTTTTGAGATGATTCGGATCAAAACTGTCCATCTTATTATAATGCTTGATGTTTCTAATTAAATAGTTGATGTCATCCAAGAATCCCTTAAAAATGGGGAGAAAATACACAAACTTTACATTGTGGGAAAACTACCTTACATCTTGACGGAACCTGAAAACTTTCTCTACTTTATCTGGTTTCAAATTATGCAAGAAAGTCCCCATGAGGACTTCATTAAACCTGCCAGAGTTTTATAACCAAAAACCTCACTGGAACCCCCACTTTTACGAATCTATGAAAGTAATTTAACCCCTCTGTGTTCTGCTTGCCCAAGATCAGATGCAAATACTATTAAACAGTATATACAGTTTAATTCTCTTGAGTTTTGGTGATGAAAAATCCTATCCAAATATTATGATCCTTGCAATACGTAATGTAACCAAATTAACGATAGCTCCAGGTGGAAATTAACAAGGCCAGGGCTACTCACGTTTCCTCTCATCTATTCCCATAGTAACAGCTAATGTATTATATTGCTAAAATATCTTATATTCAGTTTTATGTCTGAACTTGGTGTTGTGTCATAAAGCGTAGCATTCCTATCCAGACTGGATTCTTAATATGTGTATCCTCATGAAATTTAGGAGAGTTTCGTGTCTGCAAATCAACACTTCATGTGCATAGTCTAAACCACATGCAGATAAAAGCAAGTCAGAACCTACCAAGACTCTCACCATAGTGAACCTACACATGGTATAGAGGAAGAATTCTTACCTGGGAGACCTGATGACACATTACCAGTGCAGGACCTAAAGCGAATCACCATAGAGAGATCCACACAGGAATTATAGTGTGAAAAAAAATCCCCAATCATAGACATTGTTAGCTTCAGTTTTCAGTGAATCTAAACTCTTCTAGTATGAAAATGTGAGCTATTTTGATATTTTTACTTTGGTCAAAAAAACACAGAAATCCAAAAAATACAGAAATCTGGGAAATGGGATAAAAATAAGCAAACTTTTCCTTCATGATAATAAATATATATTCAGTTGTGTACATGAGGTTGTTTCCCATACTACTACAATTTTAGTCCTATTGGTCTCTGTATTACCAGGCACAAGAAGGGCTCTAGAAAACTAATCATTTTGTCAGTTGACTATTACTTTTACAAAGAATAGATAACACCCATAGGTTCTGACAGATACATAGTAATTATGGAACAGTCACCTCCAACACCCTGGTAGCAAAAAACTATTAAGCCAAGAATTCATTACCACAAATATGGAATGCAGCAAGTATTTGCTTGTGACCTAAGTAGCTCTTCAATAAAGATATTTTAGAAACCAAAACACTCCACACAATCAGGAGGTGTGCAATTTTCACTGTATTTACACTCTGCCTTAAAAAAAAATTTGTATGTTGTCCTGCCTGTTTTCTGAAATATATTCTATTTCTTTTAAAGTGAAAGAATGACCTCTTTTGCAGGAACGATTTTCAGAGACAGCGTGTTTATCAAATGGTTTCTCTGCTTTCATAAAAACAATTTATTTTCACTGAACTCTTCACGATAAGCATCAAAGCCAGGAAGAATGTACAATGAAGTTTACAATTTCACTCCAGAAACAAATACTGGGTAGTTATTATTTTGCTTAAGTGAAAAACATTTTTTTTCCCCAAGGAGACAAAGGTAGTAATGGGGGAGGGGGTTTATACAGGAGTGAAAATCAGGAAGTCCAGACAGTCTTCAGCAGGAGGGGCCCCTGGTGTTGTCCACAAAGACCACCGGCTGAACAATGAAAGCTGAAGACCCAGTACTTTCTTCGCAAATGGGTGGGGGTCAGTCCACAGTTTTATTCTTCGCTAAGAGACAGCTATAGAGGCATTAAGGAGAGAAAATCATTAGGCAGATATAATTAAACCCTTCTATGACAGATCTATATACCATTGCACATAGATATCTCTCATAGTTGGTGCTTTGGATGACAATCCTTTCTTTGATAAACATCCATGTTTCTAGGCTTAATTTATATGACATGTTATTTTTTAATAACCATAGAACAATAAAATTGTAAAAATAACCAAGAAAAGAACTGAGTCTAATAAAGATTCTGTTTCTTAAGAAATGGGAAACAATTGCATTTGATCACAGAACAGCCAAGGACTAGCAGCAAAATAATCTCTCCTAATTTACATAGATCTGTGCGTGCCAAACAGATGAGTGTTTGCTTTTCGAGTAATAGTGCAGGTGCGTATCCTGCAGTGACTAAATCTCTAACTCATCAAACTGTTTCGCCAGAATGGGACATGCCCTCTTTTTCTGGAACAGTTTCAAGTTTTCTCCCCAGCATTCCAGCCACCTGTTTATGGAGTTCATCCTCGGGAGAAGATGCATGCAATTAGAAACAAGAAAATGAAAATAAATGACCTTGTTTGTTATTTATAACAAAGAAACTCTGCAAAATTAATGCTGTGAAGCTTGACCTCCTGACCCAGGAAAAAGAGCCACCTCATGGCTTTGTGGCCAATGGACAATAGTCTGGCAGCTCCCATTGTCCAGCCACCCTGACTTTTGGATGGTCATTAAAGCCACATATCCAAAATATTAAATGTTTTACAAGTTAGATTAGAGGATTTGCACTTTTTAAAATGCGTGTTTTAAAAACTGAGGTTAGTTAGCACAAGAGATTTTCTTTTTAAGGACAGCAGGTAAAAATCATTTAGCTTCATCTACTCCATCTATCCTGTGTCAACAACATGTTGAAGGAAAGGAAAAGATTTAAAAATTCTGAACTAGTGCTTTGGGAATTGAAGAATGGTTAAATATATAATAGAAATCAAATAGAAAGGTGGTCTTTGAAAGTGGTTCAGGGAAAACATTGTGTTTCCTCCCTGCTGAGGCCTCAGGGAGGAAAGGGGGAATTACAATGTTCTGTTACATAAATGCAGTGTGGATGGTGCCCCCTAGAGTTGTGCGATGAAATAGCATTGCTGTTTTTCCTTCCACCTCTTATCCCAACCCACACATCTAGAAGCCCAGGGCAGGAAGGAAATGAAGGTGGTAATGGAGTTTTGAAGACTCTTCAGAACTGGTGCTTGGGTGGAACATCTTGAGGTAGGATGGCGACTGAAAATGACACTCTCTGGTGTGGCTGATTCTGAAGCTGGCCTCTCCTACTGCATCTTGCCTCTTTCCCCATTTGGTCTCCTCCTTCATTCACCCACAACAAATTCCATGAGTGTCCTCTATTAGTCTAAACCTTAGAGTAAAATCCGTGTTTGATTTTTTTCCATCCAAGTTGCTTATTTATTGGCCAATCTGCCCAGTGCTACTACATCTTTAATTGTTTTATTTTTCCCCAGGAGGAAGTAACTGTTTATTCAAGAAGGTTCTCTACTGTTCCTCAAAATGTCTTCTTCACTGTGAAATAAAGTCAGTTTCATAAGGCATGCAGATTGTCATGCAAACACCACCCTGAGCATTCTAGATCATACCTCCTCACCTTCCCTTTTCTTTCTGATCCCCTGAGGGTAGCTCATTATATGCCCCTCCCTACCCCTTCTTGGGAATGCTGCAGCCATAAATCTGGAGAGGTCATTAGAATTACGAACTCTGGTTGGTGTCTCACATACCTACAACAGCAACAACAACAACACAATTATAGCCACTGTAGAGCCAATGTCCTGGTTAATGTTTGTGTAACTGGCCAATTCTCAGGCCCAGAGAAAGGAGTTTAAGAAAGTTTTTGCATCTCACCAGTCTAAAACTTCTTCTGCAGTCCAAAACCACATTTCAACTATTGTTTAACTGAAAGACTGAGCCCTCTTAATCTGGAACCACCAACTAAATTCCCCCTGTGTGCTTAAACACCAAGTTAGAGAGCTGTGTTCAGTGCCAGTGAGAAAAAGTAGAGTGTGATTACCCCATCTTACCCACAGCTGAAACCTGTGTCATTTATTTTTCAACAAATGCTGACTGTGCCTTTCTAACTATATGCTCCTACGTTTCCAGAAATGGGAAAAAGCATGATCCCTGTTTATACTAAACATGACAAGACATGAGGAAAGTAGTATAATAATGAAATATTGTAATGAGTGCCATAGGAAAAGCATTCTTAGGCTAGTGTAGTCAACAAACATTTATTTACAGAAATTGTTACAGGTAATATGTTAGTGTGCTGCTTAGAAAAGGCGGGGATCATTTATGATCAGGATAATCAGAGGAAACTTCATGGAGAAGGCATTTGAAAGTAGATAGCATTTTGGTGAGGCAAAAGGGATGAAAAAATACACTAGTGGAGGGAGATTTTGAACACAGTTATTAGAGAGAAAATATTCCATGTGTGGTGGGAATTTTGGGTTGCATCAGCCATTTGTTGGGTAGATTAAGCTTCAGTAACAAATAACCTTTAATATCTTAGTGGGTTACCAGCACAGAGGACTATTTCTCAGCCCCGTTCCAGTCCACCACCCATCAGCTGCTGTTCATTTGCACATCTTCATCTCAGGACCAAAGCTGAAAAAGAAGCTTCTATCTGGGGCATGTGGGTCTTGTAGCAGAGGAAAAAGAGAGAGTGGAAACCCGCTACAGTTGTCAAAGCTGCTCACCTCATTCCCGCTCACTTTTCACTGGGCAAAGCAAATCAGATGGCCAAGCCCCATGTCAATGGGGCAGAAAGTATGATCCTCCCGGAGGGACTGGTCTGGCAAAGAGTAAGGAGGAGTCCCCTATTTTGCAATAATGTAGTCGGTGCCATGGAAAGAGTGTTTTAGAGACCTACCAAAAGTTTCAGGCAGCAAGCAAAATTGTTTAGTAAAAGGAGTGAGTGAGTGTTGAGGGGAAGAGTTTGGTGAGATAAGATGCCGGGAAGTGATAGGGGGAAGGAGACAGGCTGGGAAGTGAAACATTATAAAGTATTGAAGGCTGGGCAGCTGAGTTAGATTCGATGCAAAAGGATGTATGATGGCATGAAAAAACGCAGCTGTGAGTTCTGATCTAAAGTTTGTTTTGACCCATATAGAGCAGACTCATTTAACATTTAATTAGTTTATACTGTGTGTCAGTTGTGGTGGCAGGTAGACATTTGCATAGATCTATATTTTAAATTTTGATCCTCATGACACCTCTCTGGGTTAGATAAGTATTATTCTCTTTGTTAAGCTGAAGGAGGCTCACCAAGGTTGAATGACTTGCTTAAGGACACAAAAGCAGCACACAGAACTGTGATGCAAAGTGAGGTCTTTCTACTGCATCACTGCAGGGCAAAGAAATTAAAATGTCACCTTTCTTTAGTATTGACTTGTTATTCTTTATCTTCTCCTTAAATACACAGTCTGAAAGCAAGGTTAATATGATGCTTTTTCTCATATTAATTAAAATGATGTTTATATAACTAATCCTTGCATAGTACAACTTCATAAGTGAATAAAAAAGAGACAGATCTTTAACTGAGGTATTTATTATAAAATTTCGTGGCAGAGACAGTTACTTCTAACCAAATACAGAATGCTCTCCACTATGTATTTCCCAGTTTTTCCTGCTGTTAGGTGAGGAGCAGCTGAGGCAATAAAGAATTGGTGTGCTTCCTCCATATCTTTCTTGACCTGCTGTGGTGTCCTTGGAAGACACATGCACCAGATGGAAGAAGACAATTCATGCCTCAGAATTCACATGAGCGAAACCATGTCTTGATGGTATTGCACTACAAGATATCCAGTGTCTATTTGTTACAGCAGCATAGCCCAACCTATCCTGATTAATACAGATCCTTCTGACTTTAATTGATACAAGGAAAGTGACCATATCTGTCTTGCACATCCTCTTATCCCTACTGCTGAATACAGGACCTCCCACATAATATATGCTCAATAAAGTTTGATTAGTGGAAAATGAATGAATCTCAAATTGAGTCTGGCCTCTGTCTACTATTTGGTTAAACCACTTATTTACTGCTTTTAGAAACCAGTGGTTGATCAATCTTTTTGATATATCATTTCATCAGATCACTCCTCAGATTAAGACTTTATTATATATTTAATCAATTTTAAACTCCTTCCTTTGACATTCAAGGTCCCCATAATCTCACCTAGATTCCTACAACTTTACCAATTTATTGCTCTAATCCAATCTAACCTATCACTACTGGCCTGTGACCCCTGGTCACTATATTCACTGTTCTAGGGACAAACATTTAGTGTTCTTAAGCAAATCATTTCAAGTCTCTGAGCCTCAGTTTCTCATTCTGTAAAGTTGTTATTTGTAGCAAAAGACATAATGCATACAAAAGTTTAAGTTATGCAGCATTATGAAAATCCAAATTTATTTTGTACTTGTTGTTGGTATATATTAAATAAATTGATAGATCAGAGGAGTGACATTAAAAAATGTGTTGCCATTTCAGTAGCACATTTGTCAAAATCTCCCATGACAATCTTGCATGGAATTGCTGTCTAGGGAGAAATGGTAAAGGAAACCAGGGAGACCCTGTTGGTTATCTACTCCAAATTCATTCCCTCTTTTTTTTCTTAACTCTACCTCTATTTTATTTAAGTTCTGCCCTTCTCCTTGGGACCATATTTATCTAGGGAGGATCCTTTACAATGGCCCTATTTTCACTGCCAATGATTACTGTAGTCATGAACTCTGATGCGTTTCTGGTTGATAAGTTGTGGAAAAGAGTGTAAGAGGGCTTCTAAGAAGGGTTTCTGTGCTTTTAAAAAGAAACACTCAGAAAATATATAATAATTTCTTCTTCTGGACAGTGTCATGTCTCGAAATGTTGCAGCCAGCTCATCAGCATGAAAGGATCTCTAGCCCGAGGTCAGAGCTGACACGCTGAGATGAGAATGGAGGGGCAGAAACACGGAAAGAACATAGATCCTTGATGATGTCAGGAGTCACTGATTAACTAACCCTGGAGCTCCTTCTGTCCTGATTTCTAGTTATGTGAAATAACTCATAATCTTATCTTTTGATCTAATTGAGTCCTAGTTTTCTGTTACGTGCAATGGAAAGCAGTGAAACCCTCTTAGACTGAGTCCATTAGGGTACCCGTAACAAAATACTATAGGCTGGGTGGCTTTCATAACAGAAATTCATATTCTCATGGTTATGAAGGCTGGAAGTCCCAGATCAAGGTGCAGCAGGTTTAGATTCTCTTGAAGCCTCTCTCCTTGGCTTGCGGATGGCCACCTTCTTGCTGTGTCCTCACATGGCCCTCCCTCTGTGAGTGCACATCTCTGGTGTCTCTTCCTCTCTCATAAAGTCACAAGGCAGATTTGATTAGGGCCCACCCTAAGGGCCTCATTTTAACCTAACCACCTCTTTAAAGGCTCTGTCTCCAAATACAGTCACATTCTGAGGTACTGGGGGTTAGAGCTTTGAAATATGAATTTTTTTTTTCTTTTATTTTTTTTTTGAGATGGAGTCTCACTCTGTCGCCTAGGCTGGAGTCCAGCAGTGTGATCTTGGCTCACTGCAACCTCCGCCTCCTGTGTTTAAGTGATTCTCCTGCCTCAGCCTCCCGAGTAGCTGGGATTACAGGCACATGCCACCACACCCGGCTAATTTTTGTATTTTTAGTAGAGATGGGTTTCACCATGTTGGTCAGGCTGGTCTCGAACTCTTGACCTCAAGTGATCCGCCCACCTCGGCCTCCCAAAGTGCTGGGATTACAGGCGTGAGCCACCGCACCTGGCCCAAATATGAATTTTGTGGGGGACACAGTTCAGCCTATAACATTTGCTCAAGCCAAAAAAAGGAGTTTAAAATTTCAGAAAAAAGCCTCACAGACTCCAAGTGCACTTTATCAAAGTCAGACATCCAGAGAACTGGGAAGCCAATAGGCAGCTAATCTCTTCATGTTTTTCCCTCTTCATGGCTTCAATTTTACATTTCTCTCAGCATGCATGCTTTGGTTTTTTCTTTCTCCTCACCCTTCTGCTTATACAAAGCTCATCATGAGTGCCCGATGATGGGCTTCAGCCCCTAAGTCACATGACCCTTATGTTTGGCTACCCCTAGCTAGCAAACTCAGGCTCCATGCCTCTTTGTGAAATTCTTGAGATAGAGAATCTGATTGGCCCAGTTTGTATCAAGTGTTTATCCTTGATCCAATAGGCTGTGGCCAGGGGCATGGGTCAGGCGGTACACAAGGGCTGCCTCTTGTGATCTGTGGCTAAGTTAGCTCACCCAGAGGACTTGAATGGGAATAAATTCCTTAGCAGCTCTAGTGGAAGAGGGTAATGTGGATAAAATTATAGTGTAGTCAAGTGGATTTGAAGCAGATGAAACAGTCATACACAAAGGTGTTGATTCATTACTGACAGGCTGTAAGAAGTCTTTAGTAAAGTCCCACTTTATCTTGCCCTCGGTTCTGATTTTTTTTTTAATGTTCCCAATATTTTAATAAACAGATTAGGACATAGAAAATATACCTACGAATTTTTAGTTGACAAAATGATGGAAACATTTGTTAAGATAGTTAGAAATGAGATTCAGACTCAAAATCATCTTAAAGGGCTAGAAATCTGTGTAGAATCAATAAGATAAAAATTAGCTCACATAAATATTAACTTCCAAATTTGGATTTCAGTGCTCACTTGCAAAGTGATGGAATGGAGTTTTCAAAATGAACTCTTAAATAAATTATAGCACTCTGTGGATATGTGTCTCTCTTTCCAAGAAGGAAGTCCTTTTTAATTAGTCGCATGCTAAAGTTAGTTTGGCTAAGTAAATGTTTTCCTAGGGTTGGGAGATTTCTATAATTTCAGTTTCCCTTTTGTTTGCAGATCAAGTAGTTTAAATGACCCAGTAAATAATTTGGAGTCACCACAGTTAACTCACCAACCTTGAAAATCCCTGAACCAAGAGGCCCCTTGATACTGTAAGGGAGGGCTACCATAATTAATAGCATAAGTCTAACCAGGGTACCATACCTTTCCCTATATTGCTGGATATTCTGTAAGTTTGGCTTTCCCAAATTAGGACACAGAGATAAGGATAAACTCACTTTCCAGCTATTTCGTTATGCCTTTTTTATTTCTTTCAACTTTTGGAAATGACCTTATGAATTTCCTCTTATTATGAAATATATCTTTATTGAAAACTGGAGTCCAAACATTACAAAAAATACATAGCATAGGAAGTGAAATGAAATACTGCATAACCAATGTAAATGATTAGGTGACTCCTCTTTCAGATTACATTCCTGAGCATTTTCTAACAAATTATCAATATTTTTATTTTAATGAATATAGAATCACACCCTACTTATTCTTTTGTAATTTGCTTTTCCCATGTAATAATATGGCCTGCAGGCTGTAATGATAGACTTGTTTTTTGCAGAACAATCCATTAGCCAAGGGCAACTAGAAAAGCCAGACAAAATATTCGATTGATTTGGTTTGAAGGCGTGAGAGAGCTACCATGTCTGCAAGGACTTGAGGGGCTAAGATTTTTGAGAAAAGGGAAGTACAAGGAGTGTGCTCGACATTCAGTCTGCTTTCTTCTCAAGGTCTTTAGCTGATTCACAAGTAGTGGCTGAGAGCAGAGAAGCTGAGCTAAGCTTCTGGTAGTCTTATCATACTGAAGGGAAAAATTAGAATTCAGAGCCCTAAAAGGAAAAGAGTCCGTGATAAGCATCCCAAGGTTTTTGTTGACGTCCACCAAGGGCTATACCCTAGAACATAGGAGTGAACCAGAAATAGACCAACCCTCACAAAGAACAAAGTCTAGCTTTGATTAAACATTATCCGTGATTGGATTAGGTGATCTGCCTCTATGCTAACAGTTTACTAAAAATAAAAATGAATCTTCCTTGAAAGAAAATAAAATTACCAAGAGGCTCAAATTATCTTAATCTTATATACACATCTGGCATCTAATTTCAAACTACCAGTCATTTAAGGAGACAAGACCACATGACTGAAGAAATAGATGAGAGGGGCGGACCCTAAGAGTGTCGGGATATTGGAGTTGCTAGACATTGACTTTAAAATAACTGTGATTACATGGTCATTCTCCACTCACATTACTCAAGAGATACTTAGTACATGGACTTAGCACATGAGCTGTGTATGTAATAGTCCCTCAACAAATATTTAATGATATGAACTGATAATCCAAAATAATGGTACTAATATATTTGCAATTTTAACCTAAGTAATATATGGGCAATTGGGGTTTCTGAACACCCTATTAAGTCTTACTGTCTGAGGGCTCCATTAAATCACCTCAGGTTCCTTGAGATGATTTAATGGAGCCCACAGACACTAAATTACATGGAGAAAGTCACTCTTTTCTATTTTTTTTAAGAGAAGGTTCTCACTCTGTTGTCCAGGCTGTAGTGCAGTAGTGCAATCATAGCTCACTGCAGCCTCAAACTCCTGGGCTCAAGTGATCCTCCTGCCTCAGCCTCTTGAGTAGCTGGGACTACAGGCATGCATCATCATATCTAACTAAGTTTCTAACAAAAATTTTGTAAAGACAGGGTCTCACTATGTTGCCCAAGCTAGTCTTAAACTCCTGGCCTCAAGTGATCCTCTTACCTCCCAAAGTGCTAGAATTATAGGTGTGAGATACCTGGCCCCTTTTCTGTTTCCTTTTAGTCCTTCTGATTATGCCATAGAGGGAGTCTCAGCTTGGTGCTGACGTGTCTTTTATACCATCCTAATGCTATTTGATTTTTTTTTTTTTTAACAGAGAAAGATCTCAAGCTTCTCAGTCAATGTCTTGGTATCTCTACTCTGGTGTTCTTAAGGAAAATGCTATGGGCTCCTTTGGACATCTGGTAAAGTCTATGAACCCTATATCAAAATAATGCTTGTAAATTCTTACAATAAAATACCTAGTATTACAAAGTAAAGAATATGTTGAAATACAGTTCCATCCACCATCCTTTTGCCACTACAGTTTGTGATTGTTGTATTTATTTTCATGGTTACTTTCTACTTATGGAAAGTGCAATTGGTTTCTGTTTATAGTCATGACATACAATTTGCATTTTAAATACATTTGTTTAAATTAAAGAGGGAAGATGAATTAAGGAAATAAGTAAAAGTAGGAAATATGACAAAGCTAAAAGTGGTGTGCTGTGATTGAGTGACGAATGCAGACTTAACCCAAGAGATGACTTTATTAATGGGAATTTCAGGCACCCTTTCACATTGGGGACTGTACTAAACCAGGCTTGACACAAGCCTCACTTGTCCATCAGTCAATGTCCATTGATTGAGCAGCCCCACCAAGTACCAGACACTGTTCCAGGTGTGAGGGCAGGGCATTGAGCAAGGCAATTTATTCTCAAGGTGTTTACATTGTAGGGAAAGGATATAGACAAGAGGCAGGCCAAAACATTCAATTAAAAGGTAACTTCAGATACTGATTTTTGTCCTGAAGGGCAAAAGGGTGACTAGCAGGGTGACTAGAGAGGGAGTGACTTGGGGTAGGTGTAGGACAGTAGCAGTGGGGTTTGTGGCTTGGCCCAGGGCTGCATTAGAAAAAGACCAGGCTCCCACTGCAGCAGTGCCCGGAAAAATGCAGAGACGAGCCAGGATTTCTGGATCATTACCATGAGGAAGGGAATAAATGTGTGTTCTCTTTCAGTTGCTCCTCTTGACACCTGGGTAAATGGCTGTTTACACAGGCAGATCACCCAGCCGCTCCCTCAAAGGTAAACAGCTGCTTTCTGCCTCCCCTGCTAGCACAGATTGGGGCCCTGAAACAGTGTGTACCCAGGCAAAAGAGGAGGTATTCTCCATTTAGGTTTCCATTCATTCATTCAGGCAAGATTTCTTGAGTGCCTCCTAAAATGCAGGCACCAAGGTAGGTACTGGGAACACAGTAAGGAACAATAAAGAGGTCCCTCCTCCCCCACCTCTCTCTCCTCTCCACTTAGAATCCAAGCTAGAGGTGTGCCTCAGAGTCTCAGGCCACTCCTCTCATGATACAGATGGAAATATCAGAATCAGAAGAGGCAAAGTGACTTGCCCAAGACCCGGAGCTAGCCCACTTCAAGCAAGTCAGGTCTCAAAACGGTGCCAGCTGCTTTCATTGCCTACTACCTGACTTGCTCAATCTTGGTCAGTATTTGGATTGGCACTTTTTAGTGTATTCTCCATTACTAGACTATTATGGCTTAGGGAAGGAGAAACCAGAGGTCCATCCTACAAGCACACTGAAATGTAATCCAATTCTAAGTCCCCGTATTACAACATGGACTATTGTGACTGACCACATTTGCCTTATATTTACCTTCTTCCGCAGGGATATGCCCGATTTCAGTTTCCCATGTTGAAATAGCCTACAGTTGAGACAAACATACATTACATTTAAGCATACCTTCCATTTTTTATAAGGTACTATATTTTTAATTGTTTCAATCACTGTGAAATTAACAAATGTTCATGAGCACCCACTGTGGGAGCTCACAGTGTGGGAGTTCCGCCCTGGTGGAGGTACTGGGATTTAATGATAAACCAAAGACAAATATATGCTCAATCTGGTCTCTGCCCTCATATCTAGTCTGGGAGGTAAGCATTTGTCAAATAATCGCACATATATGATTGTGTATGTATGTATAAAACTAAACGCTGTCAGTTGTTTAATTTAAAAAGGTCAAAAAGAAGTTTGCTTTGAAGAATGAGATCAAGGAATAAAAATTAGTCAGTTAAAAAAAATTACATATATAAACATAAATTTACCACCATAATAGATACTTGTTTTAGTGCAGGTCCTCCGTGATGCACACTAAGACAGGAATAAACAGGTAAGGGATTTATTGGGGAAAATGCCTGTGAGTGAAAATTGGAGGTCAAGCACGATGGCTCATGCATATAATCCCAGCACTTTGGGAGGCCGAGGTAGGTAGGCTGCTTGAGCCCAGGAGTTCAAAATGAGCCTGGGAAACACAGCAAAACCCCATCTCTACAAAAAAACATACAAAAATTAGCCAGCTATGGTGCCGCATGCCTGTCATCCCACCTACTGGGAGGCTGAGGTGGGAGAATCACTTGAGCCAGGGAGTTCCAGGCTACAGTGAGTCTTGATCACGCCACTGTGCTCCAGCCTGGGCAACAGACCGAGACCGTGTCTCAAAAAAATAAATAAATAAAATAAAATAAATGAAAAGAAAAAGTAAAAGAAAATGGTGGGGGAGGCTGGAGAAGGCCAGGAAAGCCATCAGACTGGGAAGTAGTTCTGTGAAGAGGAGAGAGGAGGATGGATGGTCTTAGATTCAGTGTCATCCTAAGGAAGTTCTGGCAAGGCCACATTTGCCCATCAGAAGAGTCCCCCTTTCTCAAGGATGGAACTGGCTTAGTTTTCCTGCTGGGCTTAGCTACAAGCTGGGAACAGCCATTGGGAAGTGTGGTCTCTGCAGACATGTGGTGATGGATTTGGAGTACAGCAGCTGGGGCTGTCCATCAGTAAGGGATCTAAGAATTACATGCTCATGGCCACTGCAATGCTAAAATAGAGCAAAACACAATAAAAACAAGATAAATTAGAGGGACATGATCTGGTCTGGGACAAGGAAGATTGTTTCAGAAAATAGTCTCTGTCTTACATTCACAAGGGAAAAGAGCAATGTTCCAGAAAGAGTGGCGAGTGCAAAGGCCCTGTGGCAGAAGGCAGCATGGGATGTTCAAGAAACTGAAAGAAGGCCAGAGCAGCCTAATGGAAATAATATAGGAGAGAGTGGAATGGGAGGCTGAGAGGTGAGCATTGCTGGGGACCCCTACAAGGCCTTTAAGGAGAGGACATTGTTTTAAACACACATCTAAAACTCACTACTTACATGACAGACATAGGGCAGAGGGTGGAGTACTAGGCGTGTGCCTGGGTTTCCAGGTGGCTGAACTGTAGCATGACTGGCGGGACTGAAGGAGTGGAGAGGCTAAGGTCTTGATGTCACCTACTTTTGTTAGGATTAGAACAGGGGTCACAAACTGTTGGACCCCATGGCAAATGTAATTTTCTTTTTCAATTTTTTATTTTTTGAGACAGTCTCACTCTGTCACACAGGCTAGAGTGCAGTGGCATGATCTCAGCTCGCGGCAGCCTCAAACTCCCTGGCTCAAGCCATGCTCCCCCACCTCAGCCTCCTGAGTAGCTGGGACTACAGGCACATGCCACTCCACCCGGCTAATTTTTTTTCTTTTTCTTTTTTGTAGAGATGGGGTCTCACCTTGTTGTTCAGGTTGATCTCGAATTCTTGGGCTCAAGCAGTCCTCCCATCTAGGCTTCCCAAAATGCTGGGATTACAGACATGAGCCACTGCACCCAGCCACAAAGATAACCTAAAGATGTGTTTACTTTGACCCAGGCAGTAGTTTAAAAAAGTTTTAATTTGTTGTTCACATTTAAAAACTGGACAATTTCTACATAAAAATCTGAATTACTCATGTCTCTTAAAAAAATAACATCTAGCAATGGTAGGCCCACATTCCTTCCTGAAAATAATTAGCTGGGAAAGAGTAGGGACTGACCCCTTTAGACACGGTATAAATAGCATGGGAGTTGATCAGTAAATATTTGCTGAATGAAAGAATACATGAATGAAAAGTCAGAGCCCTATAGGTCAGCATGGACGGCGGTAAAGGAACCTGGCTGAGCCTGAAAGAGAATGTGATCTAAGATTAAATCCAGGATATGCTGGTAAATGTTTAACAGCCAACTCTTTGGGGAGGAAAAAAGTCCCAATTTGTAGTGTTTGCCGATTATTGTGATGTAAATACTCCCATCATGACCAATTTCAAGCTACCAACATGCTGACACTGAACTTGGAGTTGGAAGGAGATGAACAGGCATAATCAGGTCTCGTGAGATGGCCCAAGCCGGCCCCAGCACTCCACTGTTATATATGAGGCTAGAATTACTACATAACTGGAATAGCAACTTTCTGGACCATATGCCTGGAACACAGCAGGTGCTGAATAAATGTTTGTTGATCCAGGAACTGACTGTGTTGAAGCCCACAGATGGGAAATCAGTAGAAGGCAGGTAAGAGTAAAAAGAAGGGCAGAGAATTGGGGGTACAGACCCCTGAACCATAAGTCAGAGGAATGTTGTACATGTTTTCAGATCCCTCACTGGTCAAATGAAGGCAAAGGGTTAGATCTCTCCAAATCTTTAGAGGGACATGATGTAACTCCATTAAGTAACTCAGTGATTTTCAACATTAAAAAGTGTAATTATCTTTTCAAACTAAATATTACAAATAAATTCTGATAAAAGGAAATGTACGTCTGTTGAGACCCCTGATCCTATAACTGGTTTAGTATTCCCTGAAGCCACTTGTAGTAGCCTATTCACATGGGGACTCCCCAGTGAACATTTCCTCATATCCACACTCTTGTGAAGGTCCTTCACCTTGAATCTGGACTGGGCCTATGGCCTGATTTGATGCATAGAATGCACAGATGAGAATAGGTGGGTTTCTGGCATAAGCTCAAAGAAGGCACAGTGGCTTCCAGAGCCCTGAGCTACTAGTAAGAAAGTCCAGCTACCCTGCTGGGAAGGCCATGGAGAGAGGCCATGGGGAGCTCATAGAGAAAGAGAGGGACCCTGAGACTACATGGAGCTAGGAAGAACAACACCCAGCCATCCCAGTGTCCCAGCTGAGCCCCACTCCAAACCCATCTGCCAACTGAGCACATCTACAAGAGTAACCACTGACAGGCCAGCACAAGCCCAGCCAAGTCCAGTTCAAATTGCAGATTGTAAGCAAATAAAGCAGTTGATGTTTTAAGGTTTTTAGATGATCTTAGAGTTTAGATTATGTTAAGTATGTGAGATCCCTAAATAGCCATCAATAAAAAAATTGATCAGTACAATGGAGAACTGCACAACTATTAAAAGAAGAAGGCAAATCCATGTTTACCGACATGAAAGAAAATCACCAAGATTTACCCTAACATGACAAAGCAAGATTCAGAAGAATCTGTAGGGTATAGTACGGGATTTGCCATTGCATGAAAAAGGGAAGGTAAGTATTTGTGCATGCGTGCATGTGCATTTGTGTGTGTGTGTGTGTGTGTGTGACTATAAATTTGTAAATGCATAGAAGATTTCTGGAAAGATACATAAGACATTAGAACAGACTGGAAGACTTGAAGAAGAGGGGAGATTGTGTATCCTTTTGTACATATTTTCATTGTGTATCCTTTTGTACATATTTTTACCTTATTTGCAGGTATCACTTATTCAAATCATAGAAATAACATTTTAACAAAAAAGTGAGGCCTGCTTATATAATGTTGAAGACAACTAGCTACCACACTATGGGAACACACTATTATATTAAACTTGATGATTCGAGTTTTGCCTAAATTTTACTCAGAATCGAATACAAGAATAGAGGAAAGAATTTAAAACCCATCTGGCTAATGCATACCCTTGCCAACTATTCTATTAGAAAGGAAGATGGCAGTGGGGAGGGGGTTCTTACAATGGAAAAGGTATTGGCTTCCCTAGTGCCTGAGGTCGGGTTCTCCAAGAAGCAAATTCAGAGTGAAGGATTTTAATGAGAGTAATCTATGTGGGAAGTGGTCCCAAGAAGCACCAAAACAGAAGTGGGGAAAGGACACAGAGAAGGAAAGGAAGTCACTGAAGGGACTGTGAGTTACCTTTGTGGGCAACTGGGGTTTCGTCCCACTGGGGACCTCTGGGAGACACTGTAGGACATGTTTCAGGGTGTCCCATCCTAAGTGGGAGGAATCTGGAGAATTTATACTCTGCTCCCAGGGGCATCAATTCTCCAGTGTTTCCAGTCAGCTCTGCTTGCTGGCTGAGATACCAGAGCAAGTGCTGGTCTGGGGAAGTTGTCAGCGTGTAGAGGAGGTGAGTACTGAGCAGATACAGGCAGGGCACTGTCAGTGCATTTGCTTACCTAGACAGCAAAGCCAGAGACAAAAGCTCGTGTGCTTATGTGGCAGGAGAGAGAGAGCGAACCATGCAGGGAAGTGCATTACTTTATGATTTTTTTTTTTTTTGAGATGGAGTTTTGCTCTTGTTGACCAGGCTGGAGTGCAGTGGTGCTATATCAGTTCACTGCAACGTCTCCCTCCCAGTTTCAAGCAATTCTCCTGCCCTCAGCCTCCCAGGTAGCTGGGATTACAGGCGCTCATCACCAAGCCTGGCTATTTTTTTTTTTTTTGTATTTTTTAGTGGAGATGGAGTTTTGCCATGTTGGCCAGGCTGGTCTCAAACTCCTGACCTCAGGTGATCCACCTGCCTCAGCCTCCCAAAGTGCTGGGATTACAGGCGTGAGCCACCGTGCCCAGCCAACAAGTTGATTTTTTAGTTTTATCAGATGTTTTCTAGGAGACCATAGGAAGCTACTTTGTCTACACATTACGCCTCTGTAAAAGAGGAAGGAAGAAATTTCCAGGGGACTTCGGCTCCTCTGCACTTCTGCATTGTCCATGTAAAGGTGCTTATTGAGTATGGATTGTGGTGTCTTGCACCTTGGTGGCAGCAGGAAAGTCCCGGGGCAGGAAGTGAGTGGTACATAATGCAGGAGAGGGGAGAGGAGGTGCCTGATAACCCTGAGAGTCTGGGAGCTGCTGCCCCAGTGAGCTCCTCCATCTGTAACACTGGCGGAAACTGTAGTAAGCAGGCTTTACAACAGTGGGAAACATGCATGCCGATGTCAGGGCCTCCCATCCAAAAGCAAGGCCAGGATGGATCCAGGGTGGTGAATAAATGAAACCTAATCCAGAACCTAACAAAGGAGACTGCGCCAAGGCTAAGAGGAGTGCCCTGACAGTTCACAGCATCTTAGAGCACATTGCACCACATTATGCTATTTCACCAAGGAGAAAATTCATAAACATTTTTAAAAGTAGATTCTCAAGACTAGACATTATTTTAATATTGCTTATTGATGATTATAAGGTAAAGAATGTTGGTGAGCAGGTAGAAAAGAAAGGTAATTACTAGGACCTAATTCTGGTTCTCCAGAAATAGATCATAGTGTACCAACAAATTTCCATTTTTGATAGAATTACTTTGCTGATATACATTGATCTAAGCATTGCTTCTGGCCATGTCACTGATAATATTTTTCTGGACAACATGCCAAAACACAGGTGGAATGACTGTACAGTCAAAAATATTTTTTGACTATACAGCAGATTTCAATCAACTATACTCAGCTCTCTAGAGATATGCCACAGGTGCTTGTTTTTACTCTTGTGTTTATTGTATTCGATATTCTTTCCTCAATGATTTGGAAGAAGATGTAGCAGGCATACTCACCACATTTATGGAAGGAATCATTGGCATGTTTGATGGCAGAATCAGGATTCAAATTGTACTGACAGGTCAGGATGTTAGGTCAACACCAACCATATGCAATTTAAGAGTAATAGAATCTGTATTTAACATTAAAAAGTCAGTTGTGTTGGCACAGGATTGGGGAGTTGGATTGACAGCAATTGAGTTGGAAAAGACCTGTGGGTTTTAATTAACCCAAAGTTCAATAAGATCCAACAATGAAACAGCTTATTTTTTAAAGCAATTTTAGGCTGCAGTAATAAAAGCCTTATTCTCAGCTGAAGAGCAGTGATGATCCTAATAGATTCTGTGAGGCTACATCTGGAGTATTGTGTACTCAGTTCTGGGTGAAAGAGTGAGCAATTACATACAGGAGGGATTTCAAATGCATGTCACACAAGGACTGGTTATCAGCACCGGGGATAAATGCGAACAAAATGATAATATTTTACAGGAATAATAGTGACCTCCATCTATTTGATGAGTATTCAGGTGTAAAAGGGAGTAAACCTATTCTTTTTGCTCTATGCTTTAGTCAGCTATGGTCACATTAATACCATGTTGGCTTGTAATAACATCTATTTATCTCTTATGCATTCACAGATAAGCTGGAGTTTGTCTGATCTAATGTAGGCTTGGCTGGGCTTGGCTCCAGGCCATGATTGTGGTTCAGGTTTGCTGCATGTGTTTCTTTTTCTTTGGGAATCAGTAGGTGCCCCTGGGAATATTTTTCTTACAGTGATAGAAGAGGCACACGAGGGTGCATGCATTAAAAGCCTCTGCTGATATCATGTCTGCCAATATCCATTGCCCAAGTTAAGCCATCCCAAATTTAAGGGGCTTCAGCCACTGTGAGGCCATGGGAAGGGAACTGCATGTATTCCTATTATGGAGTAGTGGAACAAATAATTTAATTTATTCCACTCCAGACTAGCAGGTCAAAATGAGGGTCAGTGGTCTGAAGCTATAGGAAGATAGATTTTGGTAATAAAAAACTGGATGATCGTTGGAACTGTCCAAAGATGGATGCAAACAACTGAAGTCTTTGTCCCAGAAGGGATTAGACAGAGTTCAATGGGTCATTTCCCAAGAGCATCCCAGATGGAATTCCGGTGTCATTTGGAAAGTTAGAGACTGAGCCAGTTAGTATCTTTCCTACTCCAACATCCTCAAATTCCATAGTCCTGTTCTATCCCATACTCTTCCTCTTGACTCTGACATCCTGAGGCTTTTACTCTCTGTGCCATTCCTTGGGGAACCTAATTATATATGGCTTCTTTGTGTCTCTAAGAGATTCCATGAGTATTTCTTGTCTTCCTAATTGCTTTGGAAGCATTTCAGTGTGCAGGCTGAGTCTTAAGTTTCTCTTAAATTGCCTATAGCTATTAGCTCAGTGTCAGGCACCAAGCCCTTAGCATGGCATTAAATCATCACCCAACACCCAGTGCAGCCTCAAACCATCTTTGCAGCCTCTCTCCTACCTTTCCCATCTTATTATCCAGCCGAATTGAGATACCTGTCCTTCCCGATACACAGCCCCTGCTTTTCAAGTCTTTGCTCACTTATAGACCATTATCCTCCCTTGTCTAGACCCCATCCATCCCACTCAGTGCAAACCAAGTGCTACCTTTTCCAAGATGTTTTCACTGATGCTCCAACCAAAAAGAAGTTTCTCTACCTCTTCTGGGTGGTCTTAACACTTCTCATGGTATTCGAGATGTTTGTGGTATAGAAAAGTGATTCTCCACTCTAACTATCCATGATGACTTGAGAATACTTAAATCATACACGCCCAGGTCCCATCCCAAGATAGTCTCATATTATTGATCTGGAAACAGAAACTCCAAGTAATAGCAGTGTCAGCAATAAAGCAGGAACTCACATAGCAAAGTGTATGGAAATAAGTTATTCCAGGGTTGGTATGGCAGTTTAATGATGCCACCAAGAACCTAGGCTCTTTCTTCCTGATCTGCCATTCCCAATATATCAGCAATGTCTTTCCTCATGGTTGCAAAACAGCTGCTATGGCTCCAAGCATCACATCCTCACACCAGCATACCAGGAAGGAACAAAGCAAGCATAGGAAAAGTGTTCTTCTCACATATCTCTCTTGCTCGAGAAAGAGAACCAAGAAGTTTCCTGCAAGGAACAAAGCAAGCATAGGAAAAGTGTTCTTCTCACATATCTCTCTTGCTCGAGAAAGAGAACCAGGAAGTTTCCTGCAGACATTTCCTCACACCTCATTGGCTGGAACTGGGTCACATGCACATCCTTGAACTATCATTGGCAAAGGGAAATGGGTCATCAAAATTGCTTAAGGCCAAGCAGGAGCCATTGTTGGGGTTAAACTGTCCTGAACAAAATCTAGGCTCTGAATGATAGGCAAGAAAGAAGAGGGGATGGCCACAACTTCCTTTACACGGTGAATAACAAGAGCAGCTTAAGTAAGTAGATGCCCCTATGGGGCAGTAATCTTGCTGTGGGCAGAAACATGTCCATGCACACAGAAGCTTTAGGAATCTTCAGAGAGGTTCCATAGTCACTTGTGAACCACTGAAGCCTCTTTCTCCAAGCCATTGTCTTGAATGCTGTTTTTAACTGATTACAATGCATGCAGCTCCCGTGCCCCACTTATTTTAGCTTTTGAGGATGTTCATTTCCCCGGAATCTCCAAATATAAATCAGGTTTTCACAGAAAACCACAGAGCCCTCACAGGTGTGGAAATCATCTAAAGATATGCTAATGATTTGGGTTTCTAGAAAAATGTATATCTATGAAGGAGGCAGGGATTAAGCACAGCTAGTATGTATGATTTTTTCTTTTCCTTTCATCACCTGTAATAAGGCAGGATGGAGACTGAATGTATCAGACAAAACAGGGATCAAATACTAGTTTCAACATTTGCTGCCTGTTTGACCTTGGGCAAATTCTTTAACCTCTCTGAGCCTTGGTGCCTTGTTCTCCTCATGCATAAAATGAACCCTCCTGCAGGGATGATATGTAGACCAACACTGATAATAATGACAGTAATACCAGTTACCCTGTCATGGGTGTCCATTCCATGACAGGCCTGACTCTAGGCATTTTATACACATTCTCTTCTTTTTTTTTTTTTTGAGACATGGTCTTGCTTTGTTGCTTAGGCTGGAGTGGAGTGGTGCAATTGCAGCTCACTGTAGCCTCAAACTCCTGGGCTCAAGTGATCCTACCATCTCAGCCTCCTGTCTGAATAGCTGGGACTACAAATTTCAGCTAATTTTTTTTTTCATTTTTTTGTAGAGGCTGAGGTTTTGCTATATTGCCCAGGCTGGTTCTCAAACTTCTAGCCTCAAGTGATCCTCCTGCTTTGGCCTCCCAAATTACAGGCATGAGCCACTGCACCTGGCCACGTCATCGTCACAAAAAATGCAATGAGTTAGGGGCTTGTGTTGCTCCCAACGTTTAGAGTATTGAAGGGACCAGCCCAAAGTCACAAAGCTAATGGGCAAGGGTTGAATCCATATGTCTGACTCCAAAGCCAGTTCTGCAGCATATTAATTGCATATTTCTTGGTTTCTTTTTTTTTCCTCCAATTATTTGGTGCTATGCCAAAATCATCAGAATTGTTCCTGTAGGCATTCCTTTTCTTAATTACATATTGCATTGTTCTCTTTCTCACTTTCCCTTGTTTGATCCAAGGTAAATTTTTAGTCTTTTTAAAAATGCTCATACATTATAAATCCTTGCTAATATACAGTTCTTTCAGACTGTCCTGCCTTGCTTGAGGAAGCAGATGTGGGTCAGGGAGAAAGAAGGACCGATGAACTCAAATAGCCTTTTCACTTTTATTCTCTCTTTTCACTTCAAAATGCTGTGTCATCAGTGAATCCCCTCCTCATAATCTCTTCTTTCCTGGAGAATACCAGCCTAGTTTCACTTCCCTTGTAAAATATCCACAGATCTTTGTGCCCCAATCACTTTGGCTGTATTGCACTGGGCCTTGCTAATGGCACAATATCCTTTTCATAATAAGGTATCCCACATGACACAGTAGACTTTTGTACCTGGCCAGAATCACTACATTCATCGCAGATACCATGTGCTGTCTATTGGATACCCTCATTTTCTCTTTTCAGGAAGGGCTGGTGTCAGCTTTCCTCCTGCCTCTTATGAACCAGGAAATTTTTCTCCCTGTATCTTGGGGCTGCTGTTTTCCAGCCTCTGCCAAGTTTCCATTTTTGTGGGACATCAGTTGACCGGCATACCCGTACCCTGGACGGGGACTTGGGTTAACTGAGGGTTGGCATTCTCCCCAAAGCCTGTTCTGCATATATTTTTGAAAACCTATTGGTTTTCTGCCTACCTTCTTTCCTCCATGAGTAGACTTCAATGAACACATCACTCTCTTTCTTCGGTAATTACCTGGTCTCACCTGCTCATCATAAAAGAGCTATTCTTATTGTTAGGGCTGACAGATTCACTTTGCAGGTGATTTAATCTGCATCTGTAGTGTCCACAGAACATATTCTAGAAGTTAAAAGTACATAATATAATGAAAACCCTGATGCAACTTTTGCTTGAAATATGAGTATAGCAAAGACATTTGAGAGAAGAGCCTGAAAATAGGTTAATAGTAGTTTAATTGTATCTAATAAGAGCTACCATTGATTAAGCCTATAATAATACTAGTAACTCCCCTAAATATGCTCTACACATTACTTCATTTAATCTACATAATAACACTCAGAGGAATGTATTACCATCCCAGATTTACAGAGTAAATGTATTACCATCCCAGATTCACAGAGAAAATTAAGGCTAAGAATGTTAGGTAATTGGCCGAGTAGCCTGCAGCTAGTAAGTATCAGAGAACGGATTTGAACCCAGGCCTTGGCTGGTTTCCAAGTCCACAAGCTTAGCTGCTGCTACCCAGCTTCACTGATTTTTGTTCCGTGCACTGCCTCTAGGATGTTTCCGTATTTGCCTTCTGGTTAATATTTACTCCCTCCTCCCTAGCACACCACATTAAGGGTGTGGCATGGGCTTTTCACTTCCTGAATGTTTGTTACTCAGTTTCAACCAGCTTTACTCTCTTTCAAAGTGACATAAAAGTGACAGCCCTTTAAGCTCACAGAAAAACAGGAGCTGATTCCAGTACGCGATTGACTACCATGCAAGATTTTGTCTTTCCTTTTATATTGTTGAAGATTCCTTGATGGCAACATGGCCCACACATTATCTAACCTCCAGACAATCCCAGAGGATCTGCAGGAAACCACCAAGCACCCCAGAGGGGTCACTGGCAACAAATGGATTAAGGAAATGGCCTGATTTATGGGATTATTGGGGGTCGGGGTGGAGAATTATAGACAATTTTGTTTCTACTGCAGAATCAGCATGATAGAGTGAATATGGACTTTGGAGTCAGGCCCAGGCCTGTAGGATGACCTGGGAAGCAGTCTAGGCAGCTTTGGCCCACTTCAGCTTGTAAGATAGAGATAATACATCATCCTAGAAATATCGCATGGATTATCAGATTTTGTATATAAAGTCCCCAGCAGACACCTGGCACACAGTAAGTGCTCCCAAAACCAAAGCAACAGTTCTTAGAAGCTTAGCTTGGCTCAGGCTGAAGTCTCAAATGATCTAGGGTTCACTCTCCAGCCATTTCTAAGCCATTGAGTGAAACTGGACATGTTAGTTCTGGTGTTGACTTCAGTATCCTAAGTTGGGAAATAGAACTCATCATTCCACTCCTCCTTTTAAGTATTTTGATAAGAATAACCGAGAAGTCCATGTAGCATTTTGAAAATATAAAATACTATTAGATTGGTTTTGTTTTGTTTTCATAGGAAAGAGAAAGGAAGAAGGAAGGGAGAGGAGAAAAAGAGAAAAGAATTCAGGACTGATATTTTCAAATTTCCAAAGTGAGCAAGATTGGTGTTTGGTACTCTTTGATCTCTCCTTTTCTTAAAAAAAAGGGGGATGAGTGTGTTAGAGTCCTACCCCATCTAGAATTAGAGAGAGAGGGAAACAGAGAGGTAAAAATATCCTTCCTATTATCCCTCAAATTTTGCCACAGAGAAAACAACTCACTCTGCTTTTGTATCAATGACCTTACTGCCTCAGTGTCCTCATCTGTCGAAATGTGTTTAGGAATAGTTGCCCTGCACACCTGTCCAAGGTGTTAGAAGAGCCAGATAGATAAGACAATGGGGAAACTTATTTTGAAAATCAAGTAGTATTAAAATCAAGGTGGAGAGAAGGAACACCAGGCCAAGAGTGAGCAAATCTGCATTTGAACCTGGGCTTGGATGATCAGCAGCTTTGTGACTTTGGGCAAGTCATTTCACCTCTCCACACTGCAGGTTCCTCATCTTGCAATGTGGAAAGCAGAACCTCTCCGGGTTGGAGGATCCTGTGGGATCCCACGTGAGTCAGCACCTTGAAATTGCACATACAGGGCACATCATTTCTACCATCACCTAAGGTCAATCCCAGGTTATTGCTGGCCTTTTGGTTTGCTATGTTTTCCACCTTTCTCACAAATTAAAAATGCAGACATGTAAATTCTCTATCTATGTGCACTTCAGGAACTTTCAAGATCCCTTTAGGGTTATATCTTTCCTTAGCCTCTTGCAAACCTGAAAGCAAGGTGACTGTAGGACAAACTGTGTGGGCACTGGATGGGGAATGCATGCCTCTGGTAGAAGGGGAAGCCAGAATTCAGAGCCAAAGAACAGGCACCATGCAGGACTATGAGTCCAGGATGTCCAAATCTGACTTCTAAAGGAATGCCAGTGATACTGATTGTTTTTAATATAAAATCTACCATTTACAAAATACAGGCTCAAGAACAATTGTAAACACTGCACAGGGCAAGTTTTATTGTTTTTCTTAAAAGAGCTGAAAACCATAATCAAGTGCATCTGCCCTTTGTTGTAGATTGGGGCCTGCAATCTAGGGAGTAGAGAAAGGCTGCCTGACTGGTTAGCAATTGAAACACAGAGCTGGGGCCATCTAGTCCGAATGCAGTGTTCATCGTTCTTTGCTAAACACAAGGTGACCGTGGTTGTTGTGGTTAGCAAGGTCACCTAGCTTCCTAGGCAGACCTTATTCCACCACAATGGGCTTCCTTTGCTAGAAAGGACATGGAAAAAGGAGTGACAAAAGAGGAGAAAGAGCTAGTGAAGGAAAGAGAGGAAGAGAGAGGAAGGTCCCCAGTTGTTATTACCTAGGGAGTGCCCAGCATGCCTTTCAGAGGAACACAGGTGCCTACCCCTTTCTCCTGCCTGCTACAGCCCACCACCACCAATAACAACTGTGCACCCTCACTGTTGCCCCCATGCATGGAGCAGAGATAGAGCACAGATAGGGAGAAAAGAATTTTCAAGGGTGAGTTGGAATAGTGACTTCTGCAAGCCTGGTAGGTTTGTCTCTTTTCCGGTATCCTTGCCACTGCACCAGGTGAAGGGGAAGCAGACTGTAAAATACTTTGAATATTATCAAGGTTATTTGGGGAAAAAAAACAGCAACGACCTCACCTGATTGTGCCAGGTTTGTGATAGGAATCTGGGGGGAAGTTGTCCTCAATGACCTCCATTTCTTGAATGACCCGTGGCCCACCTGCTACCTCTGAGATGAGTCAGGGGACACAACTTTCTTGATTTCCATCATCATTTGCCTGCTACTGCTGCAGAGACTCAAGTGGAAAATGTCACTTCTTGAAGTCATGGCTTTGGTGTCTGGTGACAGGGAGTAGATAGAGTTTGGACAGAGCCACTTGTGAGCTGCGTGGTTTAATCTCTCTGAACTTCAGTGTCTCTAGCTCTAAAATGGGGGTAGCAGCCTCAATGAGCAAATTAAAGCAAAATAACAAATGTAAAGCACTTATCCCAAGACAAGGCACATGAGAAGTATTCAACAAAGGACAGCTCTAGTTATGGTGGTGATGGTCTCTAAAGCTTCCAGACTCAGATTCCTAACCAGACAGCCATGAGACATGGTCCCCACAGTGGCAAAAGGGTAGGCTCCAGGCTGCCTAAGTTTAAATATCCTGACTCTACCACTTCAGCAAGGTACTAAACTCTGTGCTTCTTGCCTCATCTGTAAGATGGAGATACCTCATTGGGCTGTTGGGAAGATTGACAGGGGTCACCCTTATAATGTGCTCAGCACAATGCTTGGACCAGGATGGATGCTGCTTGGGTGATGTTATCATCCAGGTGGGCACTGTGGAACACAGACTGATACTTAAGTTCAGCACTTGCCTCATGGAGCTTACAGTCCAGATAGAATAGGTGCACATGAGATTTTTCTCAGCAAAGTTGTAGTCAGTGCTGCCCGTGCCACCCATCTGGTCTCAGCATTGCTGCTCATGTGCACTGTCGTGACCCATCTTTCTGCTGCTGACCTTAAGAAACCTTGCCTTAAGGTATGCTTTGGGGAAACCAAATTATGACAGATATAAACTGAAGTGCCAAGACGAATCTTTCAAAGTGCTGTGATGTCCAGATACGTGGCAAGTGCCAGGAATTTGTGTTTGGGCCCACTGGGAGAGAGGTCCTTTTCCCCGGCTTCCCGCAGTGGAAAGCTGCTGTATGTCTGATACCTGTGCTCCAAATCTACCCTCGAGTTCTTATTTGGCAACAGGCTTGCTTAGCAATGTCCCTGGGGTCAGGGAGCCACGGGTGGGCTGATGCAAGAAACTGCAGTTGTGTCTCTAGGCTGCGACAGCATCACAGCTGTGAGCTTCTCAATTTAAACTCAACATCTGGGCACAAGAGGAAGCACCCTCCATCCAGGCAAGTTGAAGTTTTCTTTCCTGTATCTTTAACAGAGGTTAAAATGTAAACACAAAACAAAGCAAAACCCAACTTAACTCTCTGGGTCCTGTTTCTGTTAAAAACATTTTTTAAAAAATAATAATAATTAGAACAATAGACCCAGCTGAGAGAAGTCTGTCTCATAATAACAAGAGAGACTAAAACACGCTCTCCCACAAACAGATAAGGAAATAGTGAGCTAAAAAGTAAAACTTAAGAGTGCTACTTCTCAACTCAGTAATTGATTCATGAATAAGCTCTAGCCCAATTTTCTATGAAAAATAACAACATAGAGAAAAGAAAAGCCACTCAGATGCAGCTATGTCACCCAAGTGTTCACTGGAGAAATTTAATATGTGTCAGAGAAAAATCTGCCTTCTCCAAAACATTGCCCCCTCCAAAAAAAATGCTTCTCGTTGTGGGATTTTTTCCTCCACACTGACAGAGAGTTTGAAAGTAAAGCAGCCGACTAGAGTGTGGGTGCCCACGCCTTAGAACAAAGAGATTAAAGAATAGGCTTTTCTTCAAATAAATTCGATTTTTTTGCAACAAATTCAGGGCCTGGACAGTTTAATGAAGAATAAAAAATGCTCAGACCCCTCTCTTTCAGCTTTTCCAAACAAACACAGTCATTTCCAACCACTCACAGGTGTTTTTCTTCCCAAAACAAACACAGAAACAAATATTTACAGAGTTATGAAAATTCAATAGAAGTCACAGGGGCACAAATTTCCTCACCTGCATCCAAGATCTCTGGCCTGGGATTATCAAACAGAACGTCACACCTACTTTCCATTACGGGACAGGAAATCTTTGAGCCAAAGAGAATCAGTCTGCAGAATGTGTTCGTAAGGATAAAGGCCTCATCTTTTCAAGAAAGTGTTTGCAGCTCCAAGGAAGAATGGACTTTGGACAAAGGAAACACCAGTGACTTTTTCCTCATCTGCCCATACGTGCAGAAATGCCCTTGAAGAGCTCATGACTGCCTTGCGAATTAATCCCTATGTTGACCAACAACACAAAGAGTGGTGCTGACTACCACACTGACCACCAGGAATAATTTCCTACTTAGGTGTTTGCGGGAAAGGCTGTTGTTTGCTTTTCTCAAATGTCCCGGATGTGAACAGGTCTCAAAATTAGGAAATGCAGCTGGGAATGGCTGCTATCAACAACCCTTATTTCATCTTTTTTCTTTCTTCAATAGAGCTAGAGAAGCAGGCAAGAAAAGAAAATAATGCAATTATGAAAGGAGGGAGGAAAGACAGAGGGAAGGCAGCGGGGCAGAAGGGAAGCGGAAAAAAGATGGGAGAGAAAGGAAGAAAGGGAGGGCAGAATGGGGACAAAAGATGGCAGGGAGGGAGCGAGGGAGGAAGGAGCAGAAAGGAGAGGGAAGAAGAAAGGAAGGAAGGAGAGAGGCAGAGAGAGAGACAAAAAGAAAGAATGAGAGAGAAACCTGCTGTTGTCAGAACCTGACTGGTTTACGCTGAGGAACCAGATAGCCTCTCAGTGAAAAGCTGAGATTAAGCTCACAACATAATTTCCATTATGTTAATGTTGCTTTAAAATATATTGCACAGAGTGCTGCAACAATCAAATTATCAATTATAATGTCTACTCAGAGTAGAAAAGTGTTGCAAACAGAGGGCTGATTACTGCTTCAGTACATCCAATCTGCATACTCATTGTTCAGTACAGGGAAAACAAATTATCTTGTGTTGGCCCCAGTTCAAATTTAATTAAATGAGTGCAAAGCAATTATAATAAAGTACAATAGTGTAGTAATGAAAGGAAAATAACTCATTAACCTATTAATCTTTATTTATGTTCCTCTCAAATAACTATGTAATTTCTTTATCACCGCATCCCATAAGAAAAAGTAGGGTCTCGCTGCTCATGGCCTGGTTTAACAGGTTCTATTTGGTTAAGATGCCTTTGTGGGCACCATTTATACTCACTTTGCTTAGCTTTGGGGCCACGCACCCCCCAGCTGTCTGTCATGCTCCCTGCCCACACGTATGCGTACCTGATCTAGATTTAGCGCTCCTCTCCCACTTTTCCCTGACACTTGTCAGTTACAGAAGGTAAATCTCTCTGGAAGTGAGAAGTGCTTACCACAGCATATGGGAAAGAGGCATCTTCCAGCATCTGGTATGTAAGGCAATGCAAAAAAGGGGAGAGGACAGAATCACTTCTGGTTTAGAGAGAGCCCAGTGCTTGACAGCTGAAGAGATTCCACTAAAAGCTAACACTCCACTGTGCTTTCCAGTTAATAAAGCTTTTTACATGTATGATTTCACTGAGGCCTCCTGATAACACTGTGAGGGTGCCTGATGTACAGATGAGGAAACAGAATGATGGAGTAGAAAAGTATGGTGTCCAAGCCTTGCTACTCATGAGTAGCAGATCCAGGATTCTAATTTAGGTCTACAGCCCCTAAATCTTCATTTCATTCCCCTAGAACCTTGCTACTCAAAGTGTGGTCCAGGGACCAGGAGCATTGGCGCCACCTGGAAGCTCATTGGAATCTTGGGCCTCACCCTAGACCTGCAGAATAAGACTCCACATTTTATAAGATCCTCTAGTGATTCTCACACACTGAAGTTTAAGAAGCACTGGAACTATTGGATAGTACACTGCCTTTTGAGAGAATGGTGACTCAGGCAAATCTCCCAGCAACTACTTGGTTAAGCATTTCCTTGCAATTTGCAACACCTTGAGATGACCTTGAGATGATCTTGGGTGATCAAGGTTGATTCTGGCTTCCATTTTCATGTTATCTGAAGACAGGGCTGGAAGTAGAGGACATAGTAAAAGCAGAAATGATTTCTCTTTCTGGATCCACAGCAGACCCGAAAATCTTCCCCTTTTTCTTCCAAAGAGAATTTGTGAAATAGAGAGAAAGGAGAGGGGAGAAACTGATGAATTAAGGAAGGAAACAGACACTCGTTAAGTTTCTACCCTGTTCTTGGAGGTTTTCCATGTATTCCTTCATTTAATCTTCACAACAAGCACCTTTTTAAGATAAGGTGACTGACGACAGGTTTAAGTGATATGCCCAAGGTCACCCACACTGCTGGGTAACAGAAATGGTATTTGGCTTGGATTCAAAGTTTACACTTTCACTGTACTCTATTTTCTCTTAAAAAAAAAAAAGGAAAAGGGAAGGAAATCAAGATGAAATAAAAGGGTGGTGTGGTAGTCATTAGTGCTGTTCACCAAGAATCTCCAGTTTTTAGTCTCTGAGGTATGTGAAGGATTATACTTCCTGCCCTGCTTAGAAGTAGGTGGGAGCCATGTAAATAGGTTTGGCCAATGAATTGGCAGCAGCGGTTTCATGTTTCATTTTCAGATCAAATATTTAATTGCTTGTGGACACCTTACAGAGCTATCTCTCTTTCCTCTGCCATGAAAATTGCCAATATTCAAGATGGTGGTTGCATCATAAACCTGTATCCATAGTGAGTGAATATGCTCACCAGAGACCCCCACCAACCTATGATAGACACATAATGAGAGTGATAAAAGCAATAAACCTTTGTGTTATTTTGAGCCCCTGAAGTGTGATGGTTGCTTGCTACTGTAGCATCACTGAGCCCATCCCCACTCTTCCAGATGCTAGGAAGACGTGTGAAGGGAAACAGTTAACATTTCTACACTGCAACTTTTTCACTTGAGACTCACAGCATTCCTATGAGAAAGGTAAGGAATGGCTATTATTTATTATGTATTTATAAATTACTATTTACAGATAATTTAACACTGACATAGCAGTTTAAGTGTCCTGCCCAAGATCACAAAGTTTATAAGTGGAAGGGCTAGGTTTGGAGCACAAGGCTTGTAATGACTGATCTTTCTTCAATGCAGAACACTTCCTCCAAAAAAGGACTGGAGCACCATTACCTGCCCTTGGGTATACTCAGATTGGTATATCTAGCTTTGTACTCACACTCCTCTTCCCCCACCACTCAGGAGGAATCCAAGTTATTGGGCAAAAATCAGGCCAAGGAAAAACAAGTACATGCAGTTGCCAGCAGATGACGACATTGGGTCTTTGCTAGAGAAACCACCAGAGAAAGTTCACAGTGATAACCCTCAATGAAGTCAACTGTAAGGAGCTTCATTGTCCAGTTTGAGTGTTTTTTGTTTTTTGTTTGAGAAAGGGTCTTACTGCATCGCCCAGGCTGGAGTGCAGTGGCACAATCACTGCTCATTGCAGCCTCAACATCCTGGGCTCAAGCGATCCTCCTACCTCAGCCTCCCAAGTAGTTAGAACCACAGGTGCGTGCTACCCCACCCAGCAAATTTAATTTTTTTTTTTTTTTTTTTAGAGACAGGGTCTCCCTATGTTGCTCAATCTCGTCTCTAACTCCTGGGATCAAGCGATCTTCCTACGTTGGCCTCCCAAAGTGCTGGGATTATAGGTGTGAGCCACCATGCCTGGCCTGTGTTCATCTTTCATGTGATTGTTTTTGCAAGATAGAAAGGCAAAAGTTAGTAGTAGCAGGATTGACCTTTGTAATATGATCTTAAAAATATTGTCTCCTAATTTGCATATGGAAGAATCTCAACTAAATAACCTCCTTTTAACCAGTTCACTAAACAAACCAAAGTTCTCCCTTTTTCCTATAAAACATGCTTCTAATGCAGGTTAGAGGCTCTTGGCAAGTAGGCTACTGTCCAGCATGTCCAAGGTCCTGCTCTCCCATCTTTGAGTGCTATGTTTACTAAGAGTCTATTAGGTTCATTCCCAGGCTTGTTTATGCTCACTGTATTTCTTATTGTCATTATGTACCTTAATGTAATGTGAGTCAGAAAAAAACATATTTCTGTGAAGACTGGATAGAACGCTTTGGAAAGATTTGATAAAAGCAAGTTACTAAAAAGAGTGTTGGCAGACCTGTAACAAAAAATTGACAAAAGTTATGGTCTATGTGGAACCTGCCCTCAGAATGTTCTTTTAGTTTCCCAAGGCTTCACATTCTGTGTTAAAGAAACAAACTGAAATTCATGGACAATGCATTGCGAGTGTGATTTATACAAGAAAGGCAATCTAGACGTCTTAGCAATGGAATGTAACCATGTTTTTTAAAAGCCTAAGTCATATATCAAATGATTGTCAAAACGATAACCCAAAACAATGTATAGGTTTTGTGTTAAAATAAAATGAAATATTTAAAGTATGGATCGTTTTTAATCATTTCTGAATTCAAGCCCTACCTATTTGTCCCAATTGCTTCTGATATAAGGACTTTCACATAATTACTTTTCCTGTTTGCCATTTTCCCATTTCCCCTTCCACAGACATACTGTGCTACCTTTAAGTGCGAGGTCTTTCACATATCTTTTTTTATCCAATTACCTCATTCAACAATATTTATTTTAAAAAATTTTTTAAAGAGATGGGATCTGCCTATGTTGCCCAGGTTGGTCTCAAACTCCTGGGTTCAAGCAGTCCTCCCACCTTGGCCTCCCAAAGTGCTGGGTTACAGGCATGAGCCAACACATCTGGCCCTCTACAAATATTTCCTGGACAATTACTATGTGCCAAGCACTGGCCTGGGTCCTGGGCATAGACCAACGAACTGTAGAGCCAACAGTAGAGAAAACAGACTTTAAATAATGAGAGAATCATCATTTAATAATAACTGTGGTGTGCGTTATGGAGAAATTCAGAGTTCACTCTGTTTTTATATAACTCAGACCTGGGATGGATTTCCTACTTCTGAATGGTAAAGTAAGTGTCTGAGTAGATGAGCCACCAGCCTTCTTCCTTGTATTCTATTTTTAATGCAGTTTCTTTGGGCCAAATGATCACCGTCATCCTTACCAGCTCCAGACTGTGATTCCATAGTGGCTGGATTGCCTTGGAGCTTAGAGCAGGTTATTTCAGTTTACTCCATGGATATTCTCTCCACTCTTCTCCACTTCATGATGGTTAATATTGAGTGTCAACTTGATTGGATTGAAGGATGCAAATTATTGTTCCTGGGAGTGTCTATGAAGGTGTTGCCAAAGGAGATTAACATTTGAGTCAGTGGACTGGGGAAGGCAGACTCACCCTCAATCTGGGTGGGCACAATTTAATCAGCTGCCAGCGTAACCACAATAAAAGCAGGCAAAGAACGTGAAAAGACTAGACTCGTTTAGTCTTCTGGCCTACATCTTTCTCCTGTGCTGGATGCTTCCTGCCCTCAAACATCAGACTCCAAGTTCTTCAATTCTGGCTTCCCTGATCCTCAGCTTGCAGACGGCCTATTGTGGGACCTCATCCTGTGACCGTGAGTCAACGCTCGTTAATAAACTCCCTTTTATATATACATCTATCCTATTAATTCCATCCCTCTAGAGAACCCTAAGATATCTCTATTCTGTTCCCCAAGAGGTGGACCTTTATGGACCCAATCAACTGCCTCCCTCACCCTGTGCCTCCAGGTGGCTTGGAAAGCAGGAGGCGATGAAGGCTGTGGGTTTTGTTCTCTATCTATCTATCTGCAGAATTGTCAAGTGTTGGCAGCCTCTCTCTTGGCAAAGCCACCACCCTTGTCAAGCAGCACTCTCTTTATAGCTACTCTCTAGGTCAGGGATTGTCAAACAAGGCCCAGACTAAGGGGTGGCAAGCAAAGTGCCTTGGAAGCCAAGGTTACCCTCGGAGTTATGCAAATGCAGGGCCTGAGAGTCCATTCTTTCTTAAATTTTGCACCCTGGACACCTCACTTGCCTTACCCTTGTCCCGGCCTTGATGAAAACTTCCTTTGTAAAGGACTAGAGAATAAATATTTTAGGCTTTGTAGGACACACAGTTTCTGATGCAAGTATTCAATTCTGCTTTTGAAATGTGAGGGCAGTCATAGACAATATGTAAACAAATGGGCACAGCTGTGTTTCAATAAAACTTTATTTTCAGAAACAGGTACAGGGCCAGGTTTGATCCATGGGCCATGGTTTGCCAACACCTGCTCTAAGTGATACAGTTCCCCATGGTTGCTTACTCTGGGACAGCACGGTCCCTTGTGGTTTCCTTTAATCCTGCTCACATCTTTGCAAAAAGCCCCTTTACTAAGCTCCCCTCGAATTATCCAAATTGAGTGTGCCATCTGTTTCTTGCTAGGACCCTAATTGATGCACTTGGCTTTGCATTTCTCCAACACAGGCTTTAATTGCAAAGTAACAACAACAAAAAAAACAAGAAAATGGAGACTACAACCAATTACTCTGTAGCAGGGAAGTGGTGGTGTTTACATGTATTCATCCATTCCCAAATATGATAGAATATTTCACAAAGTTGCAGTACACTCTTAAAGTTGATGGGAGCTGAAATAAATAAGCCTTTTTTTTTCCCCTGGGGCCTGCACTCTCAACCCTGCTGCCCTACTTGTCCTCTTCTAATGGAATGGAGGTCTATTCTAATTAAACAAGAAAACACATCTTTTCACAAAGGGAGAACGGAGGACATTGTACTCTGTTCCTCAAAGAAAGCATGCTTTAATAAGAATCCTTTTATAATCCCTGCTTTTATTTGTAGCTTCCCAAAGCTTTTGCTGGTAATAAAAGGATTGTAAAGTTGACAAATATAAGCAGGGACAAAGAAGTTTGGGGAGATAATGCTCTAGTGAATGGGCTAGTATTTGAAAGTTTATTGATCCTGCAACACCTAGAAGATGATCACGAAGAGCCAATGCTGCCATCAATCAGGGTGATATTTCTATTACAAAGTAAAAGCCCTTCCAGGCAGGGCTATCCATTTCTCATATCATGTAAGAATTATGCTTTGTGCTGAGAAAAATAATTCAGGCCAAAATGCAGGGCTTGGCATCTGAAGATCTGGATTCAAATCTGGCTTCATAGAACTTCTAACCTACTTCTTTATCATATGGAAGCAGCAAATAGAGCTGTAACAAATGCAATGTGTTCTGTTGTGGGGTTGCAGACATCTGCTGTCATTCCACCACTATGACTATCACAAGTAGCATCCATTACTCCTGGAAAAAGCCACCCATTTTCACTGAGGTTCCCTCACTCTCACACTTAAAGCCTCACACTTTCCACTTCTGGTGGAGCTCCATCTCTGTGGCAAGGGTGGAACATGTGACCAAGCCTAGACCAATTAATATACTGTATACCTTGGGCAGAGAGATTTGTTTAATTATAGGCAAATGATCCAGTTACAGCCAATGAGACTTTCTAGGAAAGTGATTAGACAGGCTGTCCTTTCTCACTAGGCTTGAATGTGAGGGCTGGAACTGCTGCAGCCATTGTGGATATATGGGGAGCCTGAGGCTGAAGTCAACAGAGTAGAAGGATGACATTGTTCAAGCCCCACATAGAGCCATGCCTAAAGCTGGTATTGGTTGGGAGAAAATATAGACAAGTTTTCACAATTTCCTTTATCTAAACCCTTTGTAATGTGACTTTGCAGATTCTCCCATTGAGAACATTAAGAGATGGAAACTACTTCCTACTCCTTGAATATGGACTGCTCTTGTAGCTTGCTTTGACCCATGCATTCCAGTGGAAGTGATGGTGTGCACTTTTGCTGTCAGAATCCTGCACCATGCAGAAAAGCCTAGGTGAACCTGCTGGAGGATGAGAGACAATGTGGATGAGAGCCAAGGCATCCCAGCCAACAGCCAGAAGTAGTGTTGCCTAGCTGACCCACAGCTAACTGCAGATCAATAAGGGAGCCCAGTTCAGACCAGAAGAAACATCCAACTGAGCCCAGCTTAAATTGCTGACTTGCAGATTTTCTGCGAAATAAACAGTTGTTTTAAGCTACTGTATGTTGAGGTGATTTATTATTCATCAATAACTGATACACATCCCATCCCTGAATTTTTCATTTATATGAACCGATAATTTTATTTTTGATGTAGTCAGTTAGGAATGGGTTTTCTGTGACTTGAAATAAAACAATTCTTAACACATTAAAGATGTGTCTTTATTTCCCCCACTAGATAGCATCATTAGGGATTCTGTCTTATCCTTATCCAAAGCACTTGCCCTATCTGGATCCAAAGCTGAGTGACTGATCAATAACTACTTAGTGATTGACTATGTCATATTGACAGATTCACAAATCACATTTTGAAGAGCAAAGAATATATTTGCTCTTGAGTCTCCAATGTCATCTGTAGGGCAATTGTACTTTATTTGGCTTAGAGCCTCAACAGAAATTTGGAAGATACAAGGTGCTTCTCCAACCATCACAATAGCTGAAAACAAATACATCTGAGACATTGTATCTAAGGAACCCAACTCTGCCATCTCCCTCAAGGGAACCCAGAAAAATCTGGGCTTTAATCCTACCCTCCTTGCTATAAAAACCTGAAATGATGTCATCTTTTTCTTTCTAAAATAAAATAAAGGCATGTAGTGCTTCTAGGCAAGAGGTCTAGATGTATCTGCCTTTCCTGTCCTCCAGGACACCATCCACTTATTGCTACAACTTGCTGCATTATTCCTGCAATTTATTTTCTTCTTTTTGCACAAAAAAAAAAGGAAGAAAAAACTAAAGCAGGGATTCCATAGAATTCATCCTCTACTTTAGTAAAAAGGTAGAATCCACCTGACCTATTCTGTATGTCAGAGTGGAATCCAGCAGCCATTTCTCTCCAATTATTGAAAAATTGTGTGTGTGTGTGTGTGCGTGTGTGCGTGTGTGTGTGTGTGTAGAGAGAGAGAGAAAAAAAAGGTAGATATACACCAGCATTTTTATTCTTAAATAAGAGGATAATCAGGCTTACTCCCACCCAAGTGAGTTTACACTTTAAATTCTTAAATGGCTGGTTTTTTTTTCCCTCAGATCTGCAGACGAAGGTCCAAAGGAAGAAGATTTTGTTGAAGACTGAAAAGAGAAATATACTTGGTGGACAGAGATAACTCCTTTCAGCACAGAGGTCAGGTAAGGGAATCACAGACTGACATTTACCCTTCTCTCTGAACTCTCCCAGGCCTCAACAGCTCCTAATCTTTCCTTTCTTCATTCTCCCTCCTCCTCATTCACATCTCTTTCCCCAAGAAGACTCAAGAAAAAGTCCAAGATAAGAAATTCCATTTATAAGAAAAGGAAGGCACAGGTTAATTTGGTTTATCTCCTCCAACCTCAACAATGGATGTGAGTTCTGACAATTGCTTGTGGCCAGAACCAATCAAACTTTCCTTCCTCATTAGATGACAAGGCTGCAGCATGAAGAAGATGCCATATTGTGGAATTGGGTGTCAAGGAGAAGACATTCGAAGGTGCATGAACAGAGTGAAGGTGGTGCAAGCAAGTGCAGAGGAGGTGGGGAGACTGGAGTGCTGGGAAAAGGGTCAGCAGAAGCTAGCAAACATGAAAGACACAACACAAAACAAGCAGTTGTGCAAATTAGGATGATAAGGGGGGAGTGGTCAAAGGTGTGTTTCTCATGGCTCAACCAGTGCAAACTCAGTCTTATGACCCTACATGACTGACTGCACCTGGCCTCTGCATCCCTTCAGCCTCTTCCCCAAAAGGACTCCTCCTTATTGCCAGCCACACAAGCCTTCCTTCATTTCCTCTAACAGGCCAGACTTGTTCCTGGCTCCCGGTCTTGGCATTCACTGTTTTTTCTGCCATAGCTGGCTCCTTCCCAAACATGGAATCTCAGCCCAAACAATATCTCCTCTGAGACACCAGCCTTGATCACCTTTATACAATACAGATCTGCTCCTGCCCATCACTTTCTATCTCATGACCCTACAATGTGCCCCTTCGTGATAGCTCACACCAGCTAAAACCATCTTGTTTGTGGATTGCTCACTTGCCCCCTGCCTGTCTCTAGCTCTAGGAGGTCGGCTCCCTGTCACTGTCTGGTCTACTGTGTCGTACCACCCATGCCCAGCACCTAGCCTTGCACATTATAGGACTTAATGCAAACTTCTTGACTGAAAGAAAAATGAAGAAACTCAGCCTTGGGAGAGAAAACAACCATTAAATGATTATTTAATAAAATAGAGTATTAATCTATTTTATATTAATTATTAATTTAGTTCATAAAATATTAATTGTCTTTACAACGAATGTGTCCTTAGTCATTGGTGTTTGTGCTTTGTGAATCTTCACATCCCATGGGGCCAGTAATGGGGGTGGGGGTGTAGTGTGGGAAGTGGGGCAGGGAACCAATCTGGCCTGCAGGGGTTACCTGCCCCATGGGTGCCTGCAGGCTTCATGTGGTTTCAGTGGCATGGCACCCTGATGGGAAGAGTGGCTCAGAATTGGTGGAGTATGGTGATAATAAAAAGCAAAACAACTTTTAGTTGATTATTGTTTTTTAATTCTATACCGACTATGGCCCCTTCACTACCTGCACCCTGTGAGGAGAGTTTTCCCACATCTGTCCCACTCCCACCCTCACACTCCACTGGTTTTTTCCCCCTTCTTGAGTGAACACACGCACTGGAAGAGCAGGTGTCCTTGAAGGGAGGACCAGCTCCATGACAGGACACATGTCCTCCCAAACACAAACATACGCAAACACAGAACAAATTAGAATCTATCCTGGCTCCTGAGAACACTTGCTCTCAGGCCACTAAAGCACCTTGATAATAAATTGTCCTGTGCCTGCTACCTCTGTCTCCACCTGCTCCTGGCAGAAATCTCTTCCCTCATTCCAGCCACTCTCTGGAGGGCAGGCAGGGTTCTGTTTATCCATGTCCACAGGCCATGCCAACCAATGGCTCATGGCTTCCCCACTTCCAGGAAAGCCACATGGCCCAGGATACAATAGAGTAGGGAATGAGTAGGAGGAGAACTGGTCTCTTTATCCCAGCAATATGGACCTTGTGATGGAAAGAGACCTAAAGACAGTCACATTTACTTCTCATCTCTACCCGGGCCCTTTCACACCTAACAGAGTATGGCAATTGGTACATGGATAGCACTGAGCTGAGTGACCCATCATTACTTCCTGCCATCGGACACTTATGTTCCATCCCAGTAGGGTTCCCTAGTCACAATGAAGATCCAGTCTCTATGCTACCTCCATCTGATTTCTTCCTTGATCTCTACTCCTTTTATCCCACTAACAAATTTTGTATTATTACTTTTCATTTATTCAAAAGTATACATTTGTTTGTGCACAAAAAAATACAATTTCTTTTTTTGTATGGTTCAGATTTAAATCCCACATACATGATATATGCAAGCAAGTTGCTTTGCTGGGGAGATTTGTGAAATTTCCTCACACTCATGTTGTAAGCTACTTTGTGGTCCTCATCTCTTTTCACATGGACAGCACTCTTACAGAAATTAAGAACTTTATTTTTTTGTAGAAAACCAGATGTAAGCCCATTGAAAGGAGAAACCTTGGCTATCTTTGTCATTATAATAAATCTAGTATGAAATTGTTGGTTAGAAAATATTAAATGAAAGGAAGACAGAGAAGGAGGGAAGAGGAAGGTAAGAAGGGAGGAGGGAGCTAGAGAAAAGGGGGCGGGAGGGAGAAAAGAAATTAAGTTGTCCTGAAACTCAACTGCTAGGACAGTTACTGTGAGTAAAGAGGAAATAACAGTTTATAGAAAAATATGTTTCTTATTTTGAAAAAAAAAAGTTTGGAATAAAACAAAAAATACAAAGACCCCTATTTTTTAGAATTATGAGGAGTTGGAGGAGTCACTTAAATGTTTGTTAAACATCACTACTTCTACCTATAAAGGGGAAAATACTTATAAAGGGAAAATTTTAACTAGAGTGATATTTGGGACTTAAAATGTCTGGTACCAATTTTATCCATTTCTCATCCCAGAGCAGGAAGTTTGCATTGTTTATGACTGAATATTCAAGTATCTTTCCCCCACTAGGATTTACTGTAGGTTCGTGGTAGTGACAGGGGATTTAAATGAAAATTTTTAGGTCTCGGTCAGTAAAACGACCTGTGTCAGCCTAGAGAAAGAGGAAGAGAGGAGACAGGGTTGACCCAGCGCTGGACGAGTCTGAAGATGTGCATGGGGAGAAAATAATTGAGCTCATGTGACCCAAAGTCAAGTGTACTCTGGGTTTAGGTCTCAGCTGCAGTATTTATCGGACTGTGAGGATCATTTCAGCTCCCTGAGCCTCAGTTTACTACTCATCTACAGAATGGAATTAATAACATTAAATGAGATGATGCATCACTAGACATTTAGCTCAGATCATGGCATGTATTACATATGCCACAACTGTTAGCTAGTGTTATGATAATCTTTGTTATTATTATGGTCAAGATGCCTACTGCAAGACTAAATATATATCAAATGTTTTCTGTTGAGCATACAACTTGAGCATATTTTCCAACTTACCTTACAGTTCCATGTACCCACGTGGCTGGATTCTGAACAATGACCACTTCCAGACCGGACTTACAAAATCTCTCTCCACACTCTCTCATTTCCCTCATCTTCCGAGAAGATCCAATGGAGGACTTCAAAGTCCTAGAAGATGGCAAAGCGACAAGACAGAAAGAATGTCATCCATGAATGACCACGTGGAGCAGAGCTCCCACTCCCTGCCCTGCTGTCCCACATTGCACAAGAATGTGACATAGAAACACAATTTCATTTCTCTTATGTCACGGAAATTTGAGGACTCTTCCTTATAGTTGCTAGTATTAATTACCCTAGCTAATGCCAAGGAAGACCAAAAAGTCTTTCCAATGCTTTGTAAGGACTAACCAGAAGACACACATAAACACAGCTTTGCTCAAATTCATTTTTGTCACAAATCACTTCTTCAGGGCCTCAGAATGTGAATTCCAGCTGCTCTGTCAACCAATGTCTAGAAACATTTTTGCTGTTGAGTGCAAAGTCTTCATTCATGAGGGTGCTCTCCAAACGCATTCATTCCATGGTGTTCATTTCTTGGTATAGAAGCATATGAGGAACAGCACACTCCCTGGATCTATATACTACATTACCTGTATTAATAAGAATGCTAGGCTGTACCCATTCATTATCTACCAGCCCGCCAGACAAAATGATTCACCCTAGACTTACAGGTTGAAGTCAATTGAGTATCCTTTGAACTGGAGGGAGAGGCGCTTCCATAAAGTGGTGAGAGCTTTATGGCAGAAAGTTCTATTAATGACCCCACTTCAGTGCTTATCAGGAGCAGGCCATATAATCCCTTCCCGGAATTACATGCTGGTCGGTTCAGATAAATAACCCAGATCTCTGTCATTTATAATCCAAAACGTTAACAATTAATTTCCAAAATCAATCCTGAAGGGGGCTAGAAGCCTAAATCGCTAGGTCCAGGCAGACCCCACTCCATGAATTTCTCATGAGTCAAAATTTAAGCCTCGAAACTTGTAACTAACTGTTGTCAAGACACAGCTGACTTAGGCAATCAAGACAACAGTATTCAGCAGTAACCTGGGTGAAACATACTCTAAGTGTGAATTAATAAGTCGGCTGACACCAGGCCCCAGATGTTTCCCACTCTGGCAATATGCCTGAAGTGATGATAAGCAGATTTACATACTTAACTAATATGTTTATTTAAAAGAAATTTCCAAATCCAAAATAACATCCAGATTTCTTATTTGGCTGCAGATCAAAAGACATCCTATCAATAAAGACAGAATCCAGGATAAACCTTTTCAACATCTGCTTAAAACCAAACAACAGATTTGAGAGTTTTGGTAAAACTTAATTGCAGACAAATTTCACTGCCTCTTACATAAATATATATTTTCATGTCCCTGGGGTGGTTCTGACCTCATCAATTTTCGTGTTCACAATACACAACATTGTTCTTTTACCAGCACCAACAATTCTGCCTTTATGGAGAATTCCCATCCCAAGGTTTTCTTTCAGACTGAAGGATAAACAGACTTTCTCTCTGGCCAGGAAAAGTCGAACAAAAGTCAGGGGCATGTGCTAACACTTGGAATGTTGTAGAAAAGAAAAATCGACCCCTCTACCAGTAAGATCTTTGTTTTTCTATAAATATTAGAAAGCATTTATTTGGTCTCCATCTCCGATAAATCTGGAAGGAGAATAGAAAAGTAGAGATGCTCCTTGAGTATTACATTTTTTTTTTTTCTTTTCGGTGGTGTTGATTCCCCAAGGGAGAGCTTAGTAACTGGATCAAAGTCTTAACAGATCTGTGTGCTTGTGAAGGAGATGATAATAGGAGGGGTGTTGGCCATAGTAGCACTTATCCCTTTAGTGTGAATTAGTTCACTTTCTTCAGGTCTTAGCTGTCTGAAATTGGACCATGATCCTTGGGCACTGAGACATTTTTCTCCCATCTGGCCAGTGCTGCAATTGAGCTAAGGATTTGGTTCAGAGACTCTTGTTGCCTGGGGATCTGTTTAATGTCAAGACCGATATTAGCTGGTTGACCCTGGGGTCGGGTGACTTAGAGAGTCAGAAGTCATCCATGTTTGCTGCTGCTCCACCCTTTGAACTTAGTCATGATAAACTCCTGGGTCCAATCCTGTTACAGCCAAAATAGCAAGAAAAGAGTGGTAGAAGCAATCAGAAAAATGCATAGTAAGGCACCAATGAGATACCATCTTCCTCTTCTCAATTGGCATACACTTTAAAATAGCGGTGTTCAGTCTTTTGGCTTCCCTGGGCCACACTGGAAGAAGAATTGTCTTGGGCCACACATAAAATACACTAACACCAATGATAACTGATGGGCAAAAAAAAAAAAAAAGAATCACAAAAAATTTCTCATAATGTTTTAAGAAAGTTTACAAATTTGTGTTGGGCCGCATTCAAAGCCATCCTGGGCCACATGCAGGACAAGCTTGCTTTAAAATATCCCATTTGAAGACAGTTCAGATCTCCCCAGTTATAGATGATTTATCAAATAACTATGTATGTATGAAATTAATATATCAAAAGCCTTAAAACATTTCCAACCTTTGACCAAAAAATTGTTCTTCTAGGATGTATCTTAAGACATAATTATGATTTGTGCACAAATTTAGCTATGAAAATGTAGTTTTACTTATGATATGACAAAAATATCACAAATGACCTAGGTGTCAAACAATAGAGACCAGTTAATTAAATGATGTTCCACAACTTATATAATTATTAAAAACATTTAGGATATTTACATTTAATAAAACCCATAGTGAGGGCATTTAGATTGTTTCTAATTTGGACTTTTATGAATAAAGCTACTATGAAATTATTGTATAGTTTTTCTTTTTATAAATAGATGCTTTCATCTGTTTTGGGTAACCCTCCATGAGTAAAATAGCTGGATTATATGGGAAATAAATGTTTAACTTTATAAAGAACTACCAAACTTGTTTCCAAAGTGATTATATCATTTTACAACACTGCAACAATGTATGAAAATTCTAGTTGCTCCACCTCCTTCTCAATACTTGGTTTCCCAATCATTTTAATTTTAGCCATTCTGGCAGGTGTGTAGTGATATGTCATTATCGTTTTAATTTACATTCCCCTAATAATTAAGAATGTGAGCATCTTTTCATGTGCTTATTCTCCACTTGGGTATTTTATTTTGTGAGTTGACTATTCAAATCTTCTTTTCATTTTTTATTAGGTCATTTGTCTTATTGAGTTGTAGGAGTTCTTCATATATTCTGGATATAAGCCCTTTGTCAGATGTTTTGCAAATATTATCTCCCAACCTGTGGTTTTCATTTTCATTTTGTTTATAGTTTCTTTCTTTCTTTCTTTCTTTCTTTCTTTCTTTCTTTCTTTCTTTCTTTCTTTCTTTCTCTTTCTTTCTTTTCTTTCTTCCTTTATTTCTTTTTCTTTTCTTTTTTTTTTTTTTGGTGAGACAGTCTCACTCCATCACCCAGACTGCAGTGCAGTGGCACCATCTCACCTCACTGTAACCTCCACCTGCTGGGTTCAAGTGATTCTCATGTAGCAGCCCGGATTACAGGCACTTGCCACCACACTCAGCTAATTTTTGTATTTTTAGTAGAGACAGGGTTTTGCCATGCTGGCCAGCCTGGTCTCTAACTCTTGACCTCAAGAGATCTGCCCACCTCGGCCTCTCAAAGTGCTGGGATTACAGGCGTGAGCTACCGTGACTGGCTTCATCATAGTATCTTTCTAAGTACAGAAATTTTGAACTTAAGTTGCTTTTGAGAAAAAGAAATGTTGTGGTGCTTAGTGAAAAGATTCAAGAGCACCTGCCTTTCAACCCCTGCTCAGCCTCTGTTTTTTTACTTGGCTGCCAACTCTCTTGCTGTGTGGACTTTTCCTCATCAATCCAACCATCTGGTGCCTACTGGTGGAAGCTGTGAGTGGGTAAAGGCCAATGAGGTGTCAGGGAACAACAGTAGAAACAGAAGCCAAACCTAACCTGCCCTGGAGCTTCCCATGTGCTCTAGAAAGGGAAGTGCCTTGTCTGCTGAGGCACCTTCTAGTACTTTCCAGCTTTAAACGAAGCATGGATCTTTTCCTTCACAATTAACAAAAGCCCTTGTTCAGGTATGTTTGGCACGTGCTGTCATGCTTCTTTGTCACAAGCAAAACAAGAAACTAGGGATCCTTCAAAATTCTATTAGAAAATAGACCTTTCAGGAAATGTTGCAGAATTGGCTTTCTGGGATATGGGACCAAATATTCCTTCATTCCCTGAGAATTGACTTCTTTCTGCTGTATGCTCCAAATGAACTCCATATATACATACCTCATCATGCCTCTAAATTTTTAGGGCACACATTTCTTTACATGTCTACCTCCTGCAATTACACTGGAAGCCCCTTGAAAGCATGACCATGTTTTGTACATCTTTGTATGTATAGTGCCTGTCTTAGTCCATTTCTATTGCTGTAAGAAAATACCTTAAATCTGGTAAATTATAAATCATAGAGATTTATTTCTCACAATCCTGACGACTGGGAAGTCCAACATCAGGGCACCAGAAGATTTGATGTCTGCAGAGGGCTGTCTCTGCTTTCAAGATGGTGCCTTCTTGGTGCATCCTCACATAGCAAAATGACAGAGAGTAAAAAGGACTAAACAGACTTCTTTAAGATGTTTTACAAGGGCACTAATTCCATTCATAAGGGCAGGGCCTCATAACCTAATCACCTCCTAATGGCCCCACCTCTTAATACCATTGCATTGGTGATTAAGTTTTACAAATTTTAGAAAGACACAAACATTCAAACCATAGCAGTGCCTACCACAGAACTGATACAGAATGAGAACTCAATGGATACTACTTGAATGGCTGAATGAATGAAGTGAATTAATTGTTCGTATCCCCAAATCTGAGAGATATCTCTCTGTTTAATAATCTATTTTGTTAAAACTTTGCTCTGGAGTTGGACAGACCTGGGATCACATCTCAGCTCCAGTTCTTGCTAGCTGTGTAACTGAGACAAAGTTCTCAGCTTCCTTTGAGTCCCATGGCTTATTAAAGGGGAACAATGGTTATAATTATAATAACTACCTCATGAGTGTGTATGGACTCAATGAGTTAACACAAAGTGTGTAAGCCAGTGCCTGGTTCTTAGTAAGTGCTCTGTAAATGTTAGCTTTGGTTATTTACATGCTGTGTTTTATGTGACCCATTTCTTATGAAATAATGTTTGCTACAAGTAGAAGATGATGGTGATGGCCAAATGTGCATTATATATTTTAGTGTTCATAACAACCAGTTATTATTATCCTTTTTTCAGTTGTAATTGAAGTGACATGCGTGAGGTCACAAAGCCAGTGATAAAGCTGGGATTCAGACTCAGGCTGACCATACTTTAATCTCTAAACATAGTCACTCTGTCCCTTCACACAGGAAAGCATTCTCTGATTTGGAGGAGAGAATTCCTGTAGCCAAGGATGGTGGCATAAGCCATAGACATGGGGCTGTCAAATTGCTTAGCCTAGAAGAACAAGAGTCAGCCAACTTTGGGGACTCCCTGTTCTATCCCCCTCCCTCTTATGGCAATAGGATTAAGTTCTGTGTATTAGTCCATTTTCATGAGGCTGATAAAGACATACCAAAGACTGGGTAATTTACTTAAAAAAAAAAAAAAAGAGGTTTAATGGACTCAGAGTTCCACATGGCTGGGGAGGCCTCACAATCATGGCAGAAGACAAAAGTCACATCTTACATGGTGGCAGACAAGAGAGAATGAGAGCCAAGTGAAAGGGGGATCTCTCTTTATAAAACCATCAGATCTCGTGAGACTTACTCACTACCATGAGAACAGTATGAGGAAACTGTCCCCCATGATTCATTTCTCTCCCACCAGGTCCCTCCCACAACACTTAGGAATTATGGGATCTACAATTCAAGATGAGATTTGGGTGGGGACACAGCCAAATCATATCAAGTATATTGCAGAAAACATGAATAACAGTGGCTAAAACAAGATACAATTTTTTTTCTCTTACATAAGAAAAGAGCAGCCTAAAGCTTATTTAGCCTAAAGCTGGTATGGTGGGTTCCAGTCCACAGGACCAGGGTTCTACTTTTTTGCTCCTTGAAAATAAGCATCCAGGAGAAATGCTGTTCTTCCTCACGGGGCCTGAGATTCTCCTCTCCTACCAAGTGTCACCTTTCTGCTGGTCTGCAGAAACTCCTCTGTCTCTTCAGGCAGCAGCACCAGATACACCAAGCAGACCAAAACAACATCACAAAGGCTCTGAAAATTAAACTGTCTTTGTAACCACAGTCCACGAAACTATGCCAAGACCTCCGTGCTAAACCTAAACAGGCTGACTGCCTGCTAAAATAAAAGATTAAAACAGGATCCAGAGTCTCCTAATATAATAGCCAAAATGTTCAGTATACAGTAAAAAGCCATGACACTGAGAACCAAGCAAAACACAAGTGAACTAAAAAAGACCATCAACTGACAGCCATGCTCAGATGAATCAGATGCTGGAATTGCCTAACAAGGATTTTAAAGGAGACAGAAATGCTTCAACAATCAATTACACATTCTCTTGAAACAAATAAAAAAAATATAAAATCTGGGCAAAAAATAGTTTTTTTATTTTTTTAAAAAAAGGAAACCACAGAACTCTAAAATATGCAGAAACTCTAAAATAAAACAGAAATAGAAAGGGCATGTCTCCTAGCCAGATCAGCCATTCAAAGAAGTGCAGAAGAACTATTCAATGATTTTCACCTAATTTCCTTGGCTACTTTCCAGCTGCAAGGAATGCTGGGAAATGTAGTCTTTAAGCAGGCACACCAATGATAGACTGGATTTTTGTTTACCAGGTAAAAGGAAAGAATATGTATCGGGTTACTAAGCTACCCAGGTCTGCCCCTGACACAAAGGGCTCATACATTGGGAACAAAATCAAGGCTCTGGGAGTTTACATTGGAATATGATCTTACTGTGGATAAGACCAAAGAAATCCTGTGCACACGGATGAGGATTATAAATCCTGGTTCAGGCTGGCATGATCCACAGTTGCCACGATTCCTGTATGCCTGCAGAAAGACAACTTAATGTGGCCTAATGTTACTAACATCTCGACAGGCTCACCTTTTGAGGGAAGGCCATTTAATTACCTGATTAATTTGCTCATCTTAATTAACTTGTTCCTATTGTTGATAACCTTGTATTGATTGCTCTGCTGGTAGTAATTAGAAAACTGGTAAAGAAGTAAGGAGAGAAGCCCAAAGAGGGGGGCAGCACAGCACACAGATTGTCTTCCTGTCTCCTAAGAATCTACTGTGTAGGCTGTGAGCTTAGCATATTTGCTTCTCTTTTTAGGTAAATATGTTATAGACACAAATGATGTTCTCTGTTGATTATTTATAACCACTCCACGTTCCTTCTTAGAGTATCTGCCCTTTTCATTTTTTCAAAGACTCAGCTCTCATGAGCCCCACATGACCTGCTACCCCCATCAACCACAGCTGATTGGATAAGCACCTGACCTAGACTGTGCCAGTCACATTTGATTGTTTCAGATTTCTGAATCAGAGCATGAAGAAACAGTACCAGTTAACTTTGGATGCTGAAACTATAGGACGATGCAGACTTGGAAGGTGGACAAGGTAGCTATTTCGTGATAGCCACCATGGACCCTGTATTCCCACCAACAATCAGAGAGCACTTGTCAGTTAAGTTCACCAGACTCCTAATGGCATTATAGTTCTCCCACCAAACTTCTTGCCCCAGGGTGTATGGACTATCTCTGATTATTTGATAGAAGTTTCCCTGTACATTAGCTGACTCAAGTTCATTGCCATTTTTTGCAACCCAAAGAGTCCCTTCTATAACAAAGCACTCTCATCATTGACTTCTCTCTATCTTAGTTTTAAGTGTCTCTGGTGAAAATGCAAATTTAAAGGACCTATTAAAAACAACAGAGTGGGAGTTGCTATCAAATAAAGTATAAACTGCTAAACTGCTAAGGCCTCTATCAAGACCAATGCTGTGCTAACTCTTTCCAACCCAGTAAAACGAGGCTTTATTGTCCACCACTAACATGTCACCACCTCCCCTATTGACTTCAGTCCTTTGGGACCCCCTAACTCTCATACCCCACCCAGCTTCCGAGAACTCTATTGCCTCCCAGAAGTAATCATAGTCAACACTTAGTGGTAGTTATTTTGGCTTGAGGCCATGGCCTTGCAAAGCTGGTATTGAAGTGATGCTCTCATATCTAATTTGACTGAATTGAGTGTTCCAGTAAGACTGGTGATGTTTTCCTTGCTTCAGGGTCCATCCTAATGAGCAAATGCTGCCTTACTTTCACAGAAGGCTGCAAATGTAGACTTGTAAAGAAAATCTTTACAAACACTTCTTGGTGTCTTAGAGATCACCCAACACAATTACACATGGGGATATGCTGGGAAGTACTAAAATAAACCTGATTTATCCTTCACATATGCCTTTCATTTGCTATTGTGGCTTCAAAGCTCAAAAAAAATAGAGAGATGTTTCTCTAAACTTTCACTATTTATTAACTGAGAATGTAACGGAAGTGAAACAGCCAACAAAAATTAAAAGCAGCTTACTCAGGGATACAGAGTCATGACTATGTGGAGCCCCATATCTTTACTTCTTTGTCTAAAGTCCTCATAAGCACTGTCTGAGTTTGCATGAGTCCTACAAACTAGAACAACTCCCAACTTCATTGAGAAGAATGAGGACATCTTTGCAAAGAAGGCAGAGGAAAGCCACATGCTACTTGTAACACTTTGATGGCTACCCAGTGCCAAGGTTTTTTTTTTTTTTTTTAACAATCCTGACAGCAGAAATCTGGAAGCTTGATCCTAGAAGACTGAAGAGCCCCCAACATGACCCTGAACTCTCACATAAGAGAGGAACTCTTAGTTCGTTTGCCATTAAGAGAAAACCACAGACTAGGTCATTTATAATGAACAGAAATTTATTTTCTCACAGTTCTAAATGCTGGGACATCCAAGATCATGGGACCCGCATCCGACAAGAGTGTTCTAGCTGCATCATTCCATGGTGGAATGGCCAGAGAGGGTGAGGGAGAGAAGCAAAAGGGGGCCAAACTCATCCCTCTGTAAGGAACTCCCTCCTGAGATAACAGCATTAATCATTCATCAGGGCAGAGCCCTCACGGCCTAATCACCTTTTAAAGGTCCTATCTCTTAATACTGTTATAATTAAACTTCAACCTACATTTGGGAGGGAACAAACATTCAAGCCACAGTAGAAACCAGCTTCTTTTTCTGTTGTTAAAGCAACACTTTTTTTCTTCTCTGTTACTTGCAGCCTAACCAGATCCTAATAAATACACAAGCTTCTATGTCGACAAATATGTCTACAATGCTGTTTAAATGGCAGCATGGTATTCTAGGATAGGGAAGGGCCACCATTTACTCAACCAGCCCATTCTTGGAGGATGTTTAAGCTATTTCCAATATTTTGCTATGTTCAACAAAGTATTAAGGATCTCCCTAGTAGCTAAGCACCCATGTAAATCCTTAGATATCTTAGGATAAACCTGTAAACTAGTTTATGTGTCCTAGTTTAGCTGGGCCCAGCTGGACCATCACACATATTTAAATTTTTTTGAAACTTATTGCCAACATGCATCTCCAGAGAGGTAGTACACCAAATTATGCTCCTACAAAAGTTGCAGAAACTTGCCTGTCTATCCATACTGTCACCCACAATGGTGATTATTACTTTTTATCTGTGACAATTTGATTTATGCTGGGATTTTGCAGCCAGCACCAAGGTAGCATGTTGTCTCTCAGTCTAATAATAATTTCCCTCTCCCTCATCATCATCACCAGCACTACCAATTTCTCTGCACTATGGGTACTAACATCAAAAATGTTCCCATCACATTTACTTCATTTTGAGGAAAAGAACAGTTACTACCATTCATTCATTCACTCATCACACCAATATTACTGAATCCTACCCTGGACCAGCATTGTTATGGTAGATCTTGATAATATAGTGACAGACAATACCATCCTTCCCACCATTTACATAGTAGACTGCCTGGGGCTCATAGTCTACTCACATCTCAGCACATGAGATAGTCCCATTATCACATTCTCTTCTATCTCTCTCACAGGCACTCACTCACCAGCCATGGAGAACTTAATGGGCATTAGGTTCTTAATCCTGCTGGGTATAATTGGAGATAACCACCCTGGCTGACTGAGCACTATACCAGGCTACTCATGGATGATTTGGTTATTAGACGTAATCAGAGTGGCCCTTGTATGCTAAAAAGGAGACTCAGTCTCCATCCCATGGAAGATTACATTTTTCTGACTGCCATCCCTCAGATCTAGATGGTATTGTCTCCCTGACATCCAAATATCTTCAATCATATAACCAAGCCATGGTTCCCATCACTCTTCAAACCCCTGAGCATTCAAGCAACCCAAGGAAGTCAGAGCTCTGGAATCTTCCAGGAATCACAGTCTCTAAGGCAGATGGAATCTTAGAAGAAGTAGAGGATCCTATGTGGTAATTTCTCCCAAGTCACATTTCATGTGCCCTGATTCTACAGTAGCCATTCTCCCACCTTCGCAGCTTTCCAGGGTAGATACATGGGGGGACATGACACAGAAGCCACGGCCCTTTCCCACACATATCCAGAGTCAGCACGCAGGTGTTAGGGCTCCAAAGAGATGCCCAGATGTTATGATTTGAGGTACAGAAACCTGACAACAGATCCAAGCAAACTGGGATCTCTCTGGATTCTTGACAAGACCCCCAGTCTAGTCATAGAGGTATGCCTTTTGCACATTTGACAGGAAAAACTTATGTATCTCTGAGCAGCATTCCAAGTTCAAGAAGACAGTATGTGTACATGTGAGTGTATATGTTTACATACATGAGTATGTGTGCTGTGGCAGGGGGCTCTTTGGAAACCTTCTAGCAAATACAGGTGACGGCTTAACAGGTTGATATGGTTTGGCTCTGTGTCCCCACCCAAATCTCATCTCCAATTGTAATCCCCACGTGTGGAGGGAGGGACCTGTAATTCCCACATGTCCAGGGAGGAAGGTGATTGGATCATGGGGGCGGTTTCCCCCATGCTATTCTCATGATAGTGAGTGAGTTCTCACGAGATCTGATGCTTTTATAGGTGTTTGAAAGTTCCTCCTTCTCTCTCTTTCTCCCTCCTGCTGCCTTGTGAAGAAGATCCTTCCTTCCCCTTCATCTTTGCCGTGACTGTAAGTTTCCTGAGGCCTCCCCAGCCATGCAGAACTGCGAGTCAATTAAACCTCTACTTTTATAAATTATCCAGTCTCAGGTATTTCTTTATAGCCGTATGAAAATGGATTAATACACACATGTATGCCAGTTTCTATTCTGCTATTTTCCACAGGGCAAGAGAAAAGTTTTTGAGCTCTGCCCAGTTTTCATTGCACATTCATTTGTTTGTTTTTGTATGTTCACTGATAGAAGATAAGCCCTCTGAGAGCAGAGGGCTTGTCTATCTTGCTTGGTATTACTTCCCAATAGCCCAGAAGGGTCCCTGGCATATAGTAGTTGCTCAAAATATAAGGTAAAGAAATAGGTCATCACATTTCATTGACAAAGCCATCTGTGAGGGAACCTCTATCATTCATTCATATTCTCATTCATACTGTGTGGCTGATGCTACGCCAGACATAAGCCATAGTTAATTTTCTACCTCCACCCTGCCAGGTGCATTTTGGAGCCTAAATGTATCACCAGAGATGGAAATGTGCCCTTGTTAGCATATTTTATCTGTCTCTTCAAATCCATTTTGGAACAAGGGAGGGAAATAAAGACATTTGACTTGTCACTGGCGATGTAGATGAACTTAGTCCCCCCACCCCACATATACACACACTCACACATATGGGATTCAGTGGAAGAGATGTGGTTCTACTCTACACTGACATCCCTGCCTTTCTCCACAGTGTAGGCAGGCAGGATCCCATTTGACTTAAGCACATGTCCCAAGTTCACCACCTCTCCTCTCCCTCCAACACAGAGTCTCAGCTTAGACTGGGCCTCATCCTCCACAGGACAAGTCTCTCTCATCCTAAGCTGGGAATCTCCAACAGGGAGTATACCTCCAGCCAAGAATCAGGCTAGAAAGCCGGAAGCATGCCTGCAGGCTCAGTCTTCTCAAGGCAAAGTTGGGAGAAGGATCCCCAGAGGGCAAAGTCTCCTGCAGCCAGCTCACTGATGATTGACACCTAGGTTTACTGGGGCTGGCTTCAGGGCCTGGGATCAGGCACACTGCCATCTCAACAGATGGGCACATGGGTAGATAGCCAACAGATAAAGCATGAGCAACAAATGTGTTTGTCAAGGGTAGTTTTTCCAGGCAGAAACATCAAAACAGGCTCATCTTTCTCTTTTCTTTTTTTGAAACAGAGTCTCACTCTATCTCCCAGGCTGGAGTGCAGTGGCACAGTCTTGGCTACTGCAACCTCCACCTCCCAGGTTCAAGCATTTCTCCTGCCTCAGCCACCCAAATAGCTAGAATTACAGGTGCACACCACTACACCCAGCTAATGCTTATATTTTTAGTAGAGACGGGGTTTCACCATGTTGTCCAGGCTGGCCTCGAACTCCTGAACTCAAGCTATCTGCCCACCGCTGGGGCCTCCCAAAGTGCTGGGATTACAGGCATGAGTCACTGTGCCTGGCCCAAAATGGGATCATCTTGAGTCTTCACTCCTGTGCGCCTCTGCTGGAGGCTGGAGCCTGAGTAGCGGGAGGAACCTGAAGAAGAGCTATCTAATTCCTGCAGAAGGAGGAAGGGGTGACACCAGGGAGCATGAGGTTAGGACACCCCTGGGGGGAAACAAAAAATGCCACCCCTTATTTTTTATGCAGTCAACAAGAGGGAGTGAGGTTAGACATGAAATAGATCCCCGGGGGTCTTGCTTCCTCTCACAGCTGAGAAGTTGTTAAAACCCATTTTCTGACACTCACATAGCTATGATGAGCTTTGAAAAAGATCTGGAAATGTGCAAAACATTGACAACTGCCCTGCAATCTTCTCCCTGGGAAATAAGGAGCTCTATCCTCATGAGCTATAAATTATGAATCTCATGAAAAGTATCCAGAGGTAAGAAATGTCAGCCCGTGTACTGATACTGCTTTATCCCCACTCACGGCAGACACTGCTAATCGGTTACAATGTATTTAGTATTTTCTCACCAACCCAAGGTTGTACTTCAGACCTTCTTTTCAATAGCCCATATATTCACAGGGTACAACATTCAAAAAAAAAAAAATACAAAAGGAGAGATATACTTGAGAAACCTTCCTCCCACCCCTGACCCCAAACCACCCTGTTCCCCTCCCCAAATGGAGACCAAGGTACCTGGTCTCAATCTCTTGTGAGACAGCATTTTAGGAAACCAATAGCTTTGAAAGGTGAAACTGATCAGATTTAGAATCTAGTTCCATTTCAGAAGAGTGACCCCACTGTGCTTCAGCCAGCAGTGAGCTGAGATGGAGCAGACTTAGTTCTGTAGCAATGACAGAGGTCCAGAAAACACTTTACATCGAGGGGCACTCCTTTGCCTACAATGACCAATATGTTCCTGAGCAACATCTGGACTTCACAGGGGCTGGTGTCCACTGTGCAGGGCGGCACTGTCAGGGCTCTAGCCTCTGCCAGCAGGACCTTTTCATGGACTATCTTAGGCTTGCTCTTAGGGATCGGGGTCAGATACCACACTGGGAAATTTCACAGGGCCGTGAATGTTGATGAAGCCTTGGGAAAGCAAGGGGCAGCAGAGCAAGCACTTGGCCCGGGAATCAGAAGAATCTGGGTCCTTTAATCAGTTCTGGTATCTTTCAGCTGTGTGACCTTGAGAACATCATTTCCCTTGTCTGGCATAAAACGAGGGGGCTGCCCTGTTGAAGAGCAGTAGAGAGAGTGGTTACACCCACAAGCTTTCAAGCCAGGCCTGTTAAATTTGAATCTTCTTTACATCACCCACCAGCTTAGTGACAGTATGCAAGACACAGAAGCTTTTGTAACTTTCGTTCCCCGCAACTTAAAGTGAGGGGAATAATAGTACCTACTTCATGAGGTTACTGCAATAATTAAATGGGTTCACAATACATTTAAACCATGTGGCAAATACCTAACACATGATAAGCACTCAATAAATGGCAGCTATTATTTTATGATGACTTCCAAAGGTGGCATTATATCATAACAGGAATAGACAGAGGAATGAACTACCTATTTTAATACTAATACTCCTGATGACAACTGGCTACCAAGTTATTAGAAATTTCTCACTTGGCTATGGCTGCCACCCGCATACTCCAAAAATAGTGTCATTAATTGTTGCAGTCAATGATTACCATTAGGGAGGTTTAGGGTGATGACCATCTTCCACCAAAATAAAGCTTTTACCTTATCACCAAAATCACCTAGGCCAATAGAGAGATTAGAAAATGCTTGCAGGGAAACCTGGCATTTGGATCCTAAACCCTAAAGATGGGGTCATGACTTCTCTTCTCTGTAAACAAAATGTAGGAGATCTGTTTGGTGGTGAGAGGGTTCGGGTCTCATGTTATCAAAGTGGCATCAGACTTCCATTAAGGCCTCCTCTTGATATGTATTATTAGGAAAACTGTTATGAGTTCAATCGTGTCCTCTAAACAGATATGTTGAAGTCCTAATCCCTGGTACCTGTGACTATGCTTTTATAGAGTCTTTGTAGATGTAATCAAGTGAAGACAAGGTCATACGGAATGAGAGTGGGTCCCAATCCGACATGGTTGATGTCTTTGTAAGAAGAGGAAAAGAGACAGACATGCATGGGGAGAAAGCCCTGTGATTACAGAGGCAGAGCTTGGAGAAATGTGTCTACTCCAAGCCGAGGAATTACAAGGATTTCCAGCTAACACCAAAAACTATGAGAAAGCATAGAACACATTTTCCCCTACATCCTTCAGAGAGAGTATGGCCCTACAGACACCTTTATTTCAGACTGGTAGCCTCTAGAACTATAATGAAATAAATTTCTCTTGTTTTAAACCACTCAAGTTTGTGGTAATTTACTACAGCAGCCCTAGGAAACTAAGACAGTCCTTGATGAAGGTAGATTGGGAGCTTGGTTTTAAAAAAAATCAAGGAAAGATAAAGGCACAAGATCTTTGGGGAAATCTATGACTATTCTCATGTGCACATATTTAGAGAATTATGCGCATAAGGACTCTACCAGTAACATCCTGCTAACACAATTCTCATTGTAGGGACGACCTGGCTATTCCTTCACACTGGAAAGCTCTTGGTCCTGGACCTTACCAGGTAACCTTCCTTCTAGCATTCAGCTTCCTGTGTAAATTTCACCTCCTCTGAGATGCCCCCATGGACTGTCCTCTTAATAGTAGCTTAAAACTCTAGATCATCTTTGTTTTTTTCTATTATGTTGTTCCAAAATGTAATACCATATGAAATCCTCTTGTTGACTTGCTCTTGTTTGACTTACCTGACTCCACTGTGGTGGGATGTGAACACCACTAGAGGATGGTGCTGTCTTGGTTTCCACCGTCTCTAGAACCCAGACAAGAGCCTGGCTTGTAACAGGCACACGATTCCATATTCCATCATGTCTAAGATGATCTCAATTGTGAGATGCATCACCATTACTGTGTGTGACATTAAAAAAAAGTGCTGCTGATTAAGCTCCAACCTGACAATGATGAAGAAACATAACCCAACCTTAGAGATGTTAAATTTCAAAAAAAAAAAATGTGTCTTAGATACAACGAAATATGGTAAAGGTTTCCACACAGCGTTCTGTTCTTGAAATAATCACTCAAGCCCTGTAAAGACCAATGTGGAAGTTGTAGCGCTGCCCCTGAGCACAGTTCTCAGAGTGTGAGTGGAGGGAGAGAGTAAGGTAGGTGTCAAAGAGGACCTGCAGATGGGGCCAATGCATCTGCAGCAAGGAACATTCTGGCCATTTCTGAGACTCATGATGATGTCACAGAGCTTTAGAACCCTAGTATACCCTAGACCACCCAAACGTCCCACAACCTATTGAATCTCACAACATATGTTTGGATAGCACTTCCCAGCCTACAACGCACTTTCTCAGGGATTCTCAAACTTCCTCCCACCTCACATCCTTTTAAGGCAAGTGAGTGTGGGAACTCTGGTTCAGGGAAGTTAAATCACTTGCCTAAGGTCATGCAGATCATTAATGCCATAGCCAAGACCTGAGCACGTTCTCCTAAAGCCAGGTCAGGCCTCTTGTCACATACTCCATTGACTCTAGTGCCTAACCCATGCTCATCACAGAGCTCACATTGGAACCATTGTTAAACAGACTCTAATGGAAATGACTTCGTTCAGCTGGTGAACATTTTGGAAGATTCCAGAAAAACATGAACAAGTGTTTGAGTGCTCTTAAGGGGATTGTCTAATATCTTGGCTCCTGACTCATCCTTAGAAGTCTTCCAGCCACCTTGTACCCATTTCAAGCCCAAGGGCTCTTTAACGTAAATGAGTTACTGAGCAGGTGAGAGAAAAAGTCTGGGCCCCTTTGAGGGGGTATATTTTGGAGCAGTTTGCTGTTTTCTTAAAGCTTGGGGAAGAGTGAGCAGTAATCAATAGTGAAATCTGCCTGAATCTCGGAAGCTCGATGAAGGTGTTTTTGAAGCACATCACAGAGCTTGATTTTCTGTTATTTAGTGCCAAAAGTTATTACCTCAGCAGCAGTGCAATGTCTAATTTATACCAAATTGTTAGCTGAAATCTATTAAAGTTTATTAGCCCCATCTCAGAATACAGTAACATCTCACTGCTTCAGTTCCTCTTTAAATTGAGCAGCTGGTTTAACTCTATTAGCTTTGAGGCTGAGATAAACTGGAGTCCACAGGAGCCATCCACAGCGCTGGGGAGAATGAGTACAGATGAAGCTCAGGGTATTTGGGGTGTTAGCTGCTACCAAACTGCTTCAGGCTTCATCTCTCTTGCTGCAGCCTCTACCCTGTTATTGTATTACCTACAGGATAGGGAGCGTCCTCACAATTCAGAAAGCAGTTGTCAATGGGCTGGAGCTTTCAGCTGATAAGGAGGCATTTCTGGAATTGTAAGGGTGTTGGCCTACCACCAGGACTTGGGGCAACTTGAGTTGTCTGAAAGGAGAAGGGATTTTTTTATTTTTTTGAGACAGAGTTTTGTTCTTATTGCCTAGGCTGGAGTGCAATGGCACGATCTCAGCTCACTGCAACCTCCGCCTCCCACGTTCAAGGGAGTCTCCTGCCTCAGCCTCCCAAGTAGCTGGATTATAGGCACGTGCCACTACACCTGGCTAATTTTGTATTTTTGTAGAGATGGGGTTTCGCCATGTTGGTCAGGCTGTTCTCAAACTCCTGACCTCAGGTGATCTGCCCTCCTGGGCCTCCCAAAGTGCTGGGATTACAGGCATGAGCTACCACACCCAGCCAAGAAAGGGATTTTTTAAGACATTCCCCAAATTGCCAGCAAGCCCATGACGTCTAGAGCGCACTTCCAGCTGGATGGAGGAAGGACAAAAGATCTAACTTTACCAATAGAGAGATATTCTGACCTTAGGTCTATCCTATCTGTCTCCAGGGTAAGGATCCCAAAGAAATCGGGCCACGCCCATATGGAAGCATTTAGGTAGAGGCTGAACGACCCTCCACAATGATACACAATGTTCAGTCATTTTGGACAGCCTGAAGCAGTGGGCATATTGGCCTTAAAAGTCACCCAGATCTGGTTGGAAAGCCAACCTCATTGCTTACTGGCTGCACAGTCTTGAAAAAGTGACCTGGCATTCTTGGTCCCAGTTTTCTCTCCAGGAAAAATGGCTTTTCATGACAGTTTGAGTATTGCACATGAAGCATCTAGCAAAGCCTCAAGCACATGGTAAATATGTAATCAGCATTAGTTTCCTTATCTTTACCTCTCTTGGCATTTTACAGTCATTGAGTTAATTATATTTTCATTTTGCTCTATGCTTCTTTTAAGCTCCCTCGTGCTCATTATCTCAAGTCTGAAAAGAACCCAAAGAAGTAGGTGGAGCAGGAATTTATAGCCCTGTTTTACATGTTAGGAAATCCTTGATTTAGAGAGGTTAAGAAACCCACCCAATGTCACACTGTTCCTGTAGAAGGAGGTAAGAAGGCTGAGTTCCTAAATTCCACTCCAGCTCACCACGTGGTTATGATGCCGCAGAGTTCTATAAGGAAGATGGACTTCAGAAAAGCAACTAGCACACCAAGCCCCAATGTTAGGGCCAGAGATGTGTTGTCTCAGTGGTAGCAGAAGCAAATGTTATTAGCTCCACTTTATAGCTAAGGAAAATTAAGCCCAGGAAATGAGTCCAGTGGAAGGAAGGCTTTCATTCCTTCATAAATATTAATTCAATAATTCAATAGAGTCTCCATACCTGCACTGTCTTAGGTGCAGGGAGATACCATGATAAAAGGGCAGACAATGTTGCTGCCCTCAAGGAGCTGACATTCTAGTGGAGGAAGACAGATGCAAAAAGGAATGTATGCCCACATCACACAACTAAATTGTGGCATGATGGAGTTCAACAAAATATGGATACAGAGAGCAAGGTTTGAGGGTAAATTTAACCAAGGTAGGGTAATCAGAGGAGCCTGATCTGAAAAGGCAGGAATTAAAATAAGCTCTAAAGGATTATTAGAAACTAGGGAGAGAGGAGCTGACTGGTAGAAATGGGGAGTGTTTCAGGGAGAGCAAAAAGCCCATTCAAAAACCTCATGCAAAGAAGAGTTGGGCAATTTGAAGAATTGAAATGAAACTCTAGGACTGGGCACGGAGAATGTGAAGAAGTGAGGAGGGGTTGGAGCTGGAGAGATAGGTGGGACTGGATCCCATACAACTTGGTAGGTCATAGATTTTATTGTAAGTAAAACTGGAACCTCAATGGCAGGGTATTAAACAAGGAAATGACATGACTAATTTATAATTTAAGATTACCCTCTGCTGTAGGACGAAAATAGAGTGGGGGGGTTGTGGAAAATGGACCTACAGCATAGTAGGTCATGGGTTTTATTGTAAATAAAATTGGAACTTCAGTGGAGAGGTATAAAACAAGAAAGTGACATGATTAATGCACAATTTAAGAAGATTGCCCTCTGCTCTAGGGTGAAAAATGGATGGGGCAGGGGGCCAAGCATGGAAGCAGGTTGGCAAGTTGGGAGGCCATTCCAGTTGGGGCAAGAGATAATGATGGCTTTTCTTGGACTGGTAGAGACTTAAGAGGAGGCTTTACTGCAGACAGAGAGTGGTTAAAGCTACAACCAAAACCAGAGCCTGGGTCTCCTAATTGTCCAGCTGGATCCTGTAAACTGACCATGCTCTGATGGTATATGGGACAAAGGAAGATGACTGGTGGGGAAATAAGAAGGTCATTAAGAGAATACATCTAGAACACTGCACCCAAACTAGAGTCCACAGCCCCTCAGGGTCCACACACATTCTCTCCAAAATAAATTTTCATTTCACATGAAGTTTCAGAGACAAGCAAGAATAAATCAATGGAAGCATGTTGTGGATTATTTGCATGGCCACCTTCTCATTGAGTTCAGCCATATGATTTCAGAAAAGACTTTGCTTTTGTAATTTGCCATCCTCTAGGCTCCTAATACTACTACCTGTGTTACCTGCAGAAAAGAACAGAGAAAGATCCAGTGCAAAAACTCATAGGAAATGATCAATTCATGCCAAGTGATGAGAACTAGAGAAGAGAGATGAGAGCATTGTTCATACACGATGGTCTAGGTCTCCTACCCCAAGAGAACTTGCAACAAAGCCCAAAGTACAACAGCCACGTTTAAAGAGAAGATTCCATTTCAGCCAGACAACATGATTCATCATATTTATTTAATATTGTTAATTTGAATTTTATTAGATCTGTACTGATGTTTGTATTTAATTTCTAATTTGTTTTGGTTTCATAATTCACTAAAACAATAAGCACAAAGAGTTTCTATCTGACTTTATATATTAACATTTTAATAAAAGTCTTTTATATACTCATTGGGATCCATGGTAATTATTTTCCTCTCAAAAGGGTCTGTATATAACTCAAGTTTGAGAAACCCTAGTCTCAATGAAATAAAAATCAAACAATGGGCTGCCCTATTCTAGACTACATGATTTTGCTTTTTAGTGGTGGCAGGGAGGAAGAAGGAGTACCAGGAAGAGGAATCATTTATTCTTCCTGGTACAACTCCCAGAAGGTGCAAAATCTGCTAAAAGTTAAGTTTAAAAGAATGGGCTTAAATTATGTTAATTTATTATTGGACTCTCCCATTACAGTAGAGTATAGTTTCTACCTCTTAAAATGAAAAGCAAGTCGTGGTTTTCAGAATCCCATAGGAAGAAGCTCAGTGAGTTCAACTCATGAAGTTCTCCTTCTAACACTGGAATGATTGTGGATTCTTGGGTCTGTTTCCTGACAAAGTAGTTAGCTTGAAGGCAAGCGCCATGCCCTGTGGAAACTAAGTTCCTATTCCCCTTCTCAGCCTCACATGGAGTGGAACTGTGGGTAAAATCATCAGGACTTTTAAATTTTTCTTTCTCCTCCTTCTTTTGGTTGTCTCCTGGGCCTATCATGTAAATAAACCATGCACATAAGCAGCAGAATTCTGAAGCTATTGTACAGGGTAATGTTGACTTTTCGTGAAGGAGAGGAGGTCAAAAACAGTGGGTGTTATTTTCTATGTGGCACTCAAAGTATTCAAGGTAAGCTTGAGTATTCTGGGGTGAATATTTTTTAAAAGAGACAAAGATAATTTTTGCCCAAGACTTGCACTGATGAACAGTGCCATTCATCAGCTCTCTGATGAAGCATATAGAAATTCCAACACCTAAAAAATGGAGGCAGGACATCAGAAGACCCAGACCAGGAAAGTGAGCTTGGACAGAAAGAACAGGTGACTACTGATGTCTTGACAGTGCTTCTGTTCACCCAGCTCCAGGATGGAATGGTCCATCCAAAATTCAAGAGAGAATGAAAGCCAGTTGTGATAGCCCAGAGAAGGTGGTGGCTACTAAAACAGATTTCCTTTGTTTTGTTCATCCCACTGACCTCTGTCACTCGTCATTCCCAAGGTACACAGAGCGCATTCCTGCCCCATTGCTTTTTAGGTAAACATTAAACAGCACTTCACATGGAAAGAAGCCAAAGTGTTTGATAATTCATCAGCAGCAGCAAACCTGAGTGTTTCTGTGCAATGCAAATTGCTTTGGCTTCCACACAGCTCCTGTCGCTTCAAGTGCGGATGGTAAATAGCCTTCCTTGGGATTACTATCAAGTATTCATTTTAACAACATTAATTTACAACGTGCTATCCCACTTTACATTGTGCTACATGACTTATTCACAGAGCCAGCCCTTCGGCGCCTGATGTTGATTCATTCTAATCACCGCACTTGCCTGTGATTTTTAGGTTAATGGGACCTGGACTGGAAAAGGATTGTTTGTGTGGGAATCATTCATGGCAAAGGCAGTGACACCTCCTTCAAAAACCTGTGTCTTTCTGGCAGAGTGTTGCTGGAGATGGCCACTGGAGAGGCTGAGTCAAATCAATCTCCTCACCTGAGGACTTCCTAAGACCAGCGCACTGAAGGACCAGCAGCAACAACAACAATAATGCTAATGCTCCCTTATGGTAAGTTACACTTTCCAAGTCCCATCTAATCTATTATTCTCACAATAACCCTATAAGGTAAATACAGTGGGTGGTTTAAGAGTATGGGATCTGGAGACTGTGTCTTGGGTAGAAACTTGATCTATTACTTTCTAGCCAAGTGACCTTGGGCAAGTGACTCAATCTTTATTTCCCTCAATTTCCTCATCTTAAAAAATGATATATAATAGCTGTACATATTTTGGGGGTACACGTGATATTTTGAGACCTGTGTACAATCCAGAATGATCAAATCAGGATTGGGATACCCATTACCTCAAACATTTATCATTTGTTTGTGTTGGAAACAGAACAATTTTTCTCTTCTGGCTACTTTGAAATATGCAATAAATTATTATTAACTATAATTTCTCTACTGTTCTATAGAATATTAGATATACTATATTATATTAGTAATATGTAGTATATTAATACTATAATACTAGAACTTATTCCTTCTATTTAACTGTATGTTTGTATTCATTAACCAACTTCTCATCCACCCTCCACACTACCCTTCTATGCCTCTGATAACCATCACTCGACTATCTAACAAATATGGTATTTGTCTTTCTTTGCCTTTCTTATTTCACTTAACACAATGACCTCTAGTTCCATCCATCTTGCTGCAAACGACAGGAGTTCTTTCTTTTTTATGGCCGAATAGTATTCCACTGTGTTTATATGTAACATTTTCTTTGTCCATTCATCCACTGATGAGCACTTAGGTTGATTCCATTTCTTGGCTCTTGTGAACAGGGCTTCAGAGACCATGGGAGTTCAGATACTTCATCTTTAAAATGGGGATAGCAATCATAGTTACTACACAGGGTTGTTGGCAAGTAAGTGGATTGTTACAGTAAAGCAGGTAGAACAGAAACTGGCACGTGGATTATGGTAGTTCATAAACAGTACTGTTTCTCTTCTTTCCTGTCCAGGACAAGACTGCAATTCTCTGCCTGCTGAAGCTCAGCTATGACCACGTGACTTGCCTTGGCCAATGAAAGAGGAAGAGTATGTAACACTGCTGAATGGAAGCAAGTGGCCCCTGCCCCTGCTGCAGAGATTCTAGACATGTGTGCCATGCTGGAGCAAGGAGACAGGGAGTCCTGGAGAAAGGAGACATGGAACAGAGCTCCCAGCCCAGTCAATATGTAACATGAGTGAGAAATAAATAACACTTTGTTGCTAGAAGTTTTTTTTAAACTGAAGTATAACTCAGCTTCCCCTGACCCATGCAGAAAGTCATCTATCAATGTTAAGTATCACTAAATTTATTTTACAGAAGAAGAATCTAAAGCTCAGAGTAGTGGTCTCAATATCACTCAGCAATTATGTGATGGAAGCATACTGAAGGCCCACGTTTTAAAGTGGACACCAAGGGGAATATAGCATAAATAGAAATTTTCTAACTGCAGGGAATTCTTGCTATACAACTGCAAAGAATAGGCCCCACTACTTCCTAGCTGTGCCTCAATTTCCTGATCAGTTAAATGGGACTAATAAAAGAGCAGCTAGTGGCTGGGTGCGGTGGCTCACGCCTGTAATCCCAGCACTTTGGGAGGCCGAGGCGGGCAGATCAAGAGGTCAGGAGATCGAGACCACAGTGAAACCCCGTCTCTACTAAAAATACAAAAAATTAGCTGTGCGCAGTGGCGGGTGCCTGTAGTCCCAGCTACTCGGGAGGCTGAGGTAGGAGAATGTCGTTAACTCGGAAGGCGGAGCTTGCAGTGAGCCGAGATCGCGCCACTGCACTCCAGTCTGGGCGACAGAGGGAGACTCTGTCTCAAAAAAAACGACAACAACAAAAAAAAAAAAAAAAAAAAAAAAGAAAGAGTAGCTAGTGCAAGAGATGGAGAAGGGATTAAATGAAAATACATGTAAATTGCTCATAAGATTATCTAGAATAAACCGAACATTCAAAAATGTTAGTTACTATTATTATTAACAATTGCTATTATAATCCTAATATCACCTGTTTCTCATCAGTCGGTGGATACAAGCAATTACATTTACATAAATATGTAAAGCAATAAAGCCAAACCAGAGACTCCTAATCGCCTTCCTGCTTAGTGCTTCTTCATCCTGTTAATTTAATTCCGGTCTCTACCTCCACGGGGCCAATTCCTCCTACTGTGGAACATCTCCTTTACCAAGAAGCCTTTCCTGCTCACTTTCACCCAAGACTGTTATGTGCTCCCATAGAACCTGATACCACATGTTCATAAGATGCGTCCTGCGTCTTTTTACCATTGGTCAAGGTCTATCTTCCCAGCTGGATTGGAAGCTCCATGAGGGAATATACCTGTCACGTTCACAATGGTAGGAGCTCGATATTTATTCATAAGAAAAAATAAACAGATAGACACAGGGACAGATGCTATCAGCAGCCACTTACAGAAGAAGCACCTTTAGCAACAAACATGTCAAATGGTGCTCAGTTTCACTAATATTAAAGAAATGTACAAAAAAAGAGATTATTTTCACTAAAGAGATGGGCCAAAAACCAAAAGCCAACATTGATAACATTAAGTGCAGGAAACAGTAGGGAGAGGAGAGCAGATTCATACTGTATTAAAACATTGGTACAATATTTGGAGGGTAACTTACCAGTATCCATTAAAATGTTACATGTGACCTAATAATTCTATTTCTGGGATTCTACTCTACAAAAATAATAGCGTGAGTATGTAAAGATAAATATGCAAGTGTTCTCATTACAGTATTTTTTGTAACAGTAAATAAAATTGAAACAATTTAGAATGCCCATCTTTGGGGAATTGGTTAAGTAAAATCTGGTACATCTATATGATGAAATATTACATCATAATATAAATTTTTATTGTATGATTCACTAGAGTAGAAGCTTTGTCTTGTTCACCACTAAAAAAACACCAGGCATATAGACAGTGATCACTAAATATTTGTTGTATACATTAATGAATATATGGTAATTGAAACATTTTAATGATATAGAATTAAGAGAAAAGATTTAGCCATTTTGAGTAACATCCAAATATTGTTTTCAAATGCATGTAGTTGAAAAACTTGCTCAAAATTGTATATGTGAATAGATAGATAAATAGATGGGCAAATAGGAGGTACATAGATAGAGGAATAACTTTGCTCCATAATTTTAACAATGCTTTTCTTTGGAAGGTGAATCTGATAGTGCTGGAGTTTGTAAGGAGTGGAGAGGCAATTCTTTCCTTCTCATTTTGAATAATTCATTTAACCCCTGATATTACAGATTAGTTTTCTTTCTTTTTGCTACTTTTCTGAATGTGTCAAATGAAAAACATTTTTATCATATAATAAATAATGATTGTTTGTCGGAACAATCCTAGTATGGAAAATTAGGAACTAAGACCCCTTCAAAGTCACACTCACTTATTTCTGTAATCCTCAAAGGAAGTTTTTGCCCCTACCCAACCTATTTTTTTAAAAAGCAGCCAAGTATATCAATGGGCATTCGTTGATGGAAAAGGGAAGGTTGCTTATACAAGTACTTTCTGGACTCAGCTCAGCTAAGCAAATACACGCATGAGCCTTTGAATGAGATGGAGTTGGAAGGAGGGAGATAGAAAGATGAAGAAATCATCCTCCAAAAGATTACCATTTTGTAAATGGATCATGAAAATTGTGATTTACCACAAATCACTACAAGCTAGCAGACCTTGATTTGAACTCTCTGTTCCAACGTAACTGTGTGACTATGCAAAAGTTATTTCAATTCTTTGAACTCAGCTCTCTTATCTGTAAAAGGAGAGTCATCTATTAGGGTAATTAGCATTAACTGCTCTGACAAACAAACCCCAAATTTCAATAGTTTAATACAATCAAAATTAATTTCTCACTCACACAAAATTCAGTATTTATGTTCCTGGTTGGGTGGTTCTACCAGATAGCTTTCTACCCAGTAGTGTGTCTTAAACTGGGTCCCACAGTGAGAAAAGGCAAAGGCTTATGTGGAAGTGCTTTGTTAGGAAGTATGGTATCAGAGAACAACAGTGAAAACAAGGAGAGTATAGCAGGTAGAGGAAAAGTGAGCACAAGGATGCCTTGTTGCATTGTCTGCCACTGAGGGCAGTGGGCTGTGTGGTCCTGCGGACTCAAAAAAAAATCATAAAATGGGCCATAAGACTATATGTCTTGTAGGATAAGGGTGAAGTGTTTATCCCATTGGCTCCCATCCCCTTGGATCAAAACTTTACCCCAACGAGGCTTTCCCACTTGTCCCCATGTCTGTCCTCCATATGTTCTCCAGCACCACTGAAGCCCTTGGTGTACATATAAGAGTTGCATGACTGAATTCTCATGGAGAGCCGGCAACCATAGCAGTGGCTGGAGCATTGTCCAAGTGAGACCTTGAGAATCTGAAGGGGTGCATTTGAGATGTCTCATGCATAGAGACCCAGGGAGGTGAGTACAAAGGGTATAGGCTTCTTCCATATTACAGCCTGACCATCTTCACCCATGGCCTCCATGCCTCGGAAGGGGAAGATGGAGAAAAAGAAAAAGCCAGGCCTGGAGGTAGCAAATGTCATTCCTACCCACATTCCACTGATCAGATCTTGTCACACACACCTCCATCTTCCCATCAAAAGGAATATCTTAAAAATATACCCTTCCTGAGAGCCCAAGAGAAAAAAAGAAATGATTTGGTGAAAAGATAACCTGTTTCTTCCACTGGCTACACTGGCAATCTCTCGTAGCTGTTGAGGGCTCTGAGATCACGTATGTTCCAGGAACTGGATGTTCCAGGCACATAGAGGGCAGTTGACAAATGATACCTCTAATTAACATTCTGCAAAATGAAAATTATATTTGGCTCTAAAAGGTATTCCTCTATGAGAAAGCTAGAAAAATGACCTCAGCTAGCAGAGATCTTATTCAAAAGTAGGAGGATTGGTGCTAATTTTGCCCATATAATGGACTTACGGTTACACTCCCTATTGTCTGAGCATCACGAAATGAAATTGCCAAGCATGACTTGGGCAGAGGGTTACACACAGGAAACCAGCCCCCTTGCTACCAAGTTAGGCCATTGCTGTGGACCTGTACAGGCAAGTATCACATTCTTATTGAATGTCTCTCCCGCCAAGTGGACAATTACTAACCAGATGAAACAACATTACCCAGGGGTTCAGGAAAGGAGTGCTCACCTTTATACTCTGCCTGGAATTCTCTTACCTTGTAGCTTCACAGGGATAAGGTGATCTTTGCCTATACCCTGGTTTAAAGTTGGGGAAATAGGATAAGTGTCTGGCATCCAAACTCTGCTTGGCCTCTGTGATTGTTAATTTTAGGTCTCAATTTGACTGCATTAAGGTATACCCAGATAGCTGGTAAAGCATTATTTCTGGGTGTGTCTGTGGGGGTGTTTCCAGAAGAGACGCATTTAAATCAGTGGACTGAGTAAGGAAGATCCACCCTCATCCTATGTGAGTGGGTACTATCTAATGAGCTGAGGGCCTGGACAGATTAAAAAAGCAGAGGAAAAGTGAATGCTCTCTCTCTTCTGGAGCCAGAATACCCTTCTACTCCTGTCCTTGGACATCAGAGCTTCAGATTCTCTGGCCTTTGGATTCTGGAGCTGGCATTAGCTCCCCTGGTTCTCCAGATGACCTATGGTGAGTCTTCTCAGCCTCCATAATCATGTGAGCCAATTCCCCTAATAAGTCCCCTGTCACATATCTATGTCTATCTCTAGCTGTATCTCTATAGCCACATCTATATCTCTATCTCTCTATCTATCTATCTATACATCTATCTATCTCTCATCTCTCTGTCTAACCTATCCATCTATTTATCTATCTATTCATCTATCTATCTATCTATCTATCTATCATCTATCTCTGTGTCTGCCTGTCTAACCTACCATCTAATTATCTATCTATTCATCTATATACACATCCATCCATCTATTTATCTGTTCATTTGTCTATCCATCTATCTATTCATCTATCTGTACATCTATCAATTCATCTATTATTTATTATCTAATATATAATTTATCTATCCATCTAATCTATCATCTATCTATCTATCTGTCTATCTATCTATCTACTTATCTATATATCCATCCATCCATCCATTCATCCATCCTATTGGTTCTGTCTCTCTGGAAAACCTTGATTAATACAGCAGCCATTTTAAAAATACTTACTGATCAGGTGCAATGTGCCAGGCTCTCTGCTAAGTGCTGGGGACACAGCAGAAATGAGTCAGAAGGTCATAGTTTTGGTCCAGTGAGAGAGAAAGACATTGAGTAATAACCACACAAATAAAGATCTAATTACAAGTTGGAGAAGTGTGATAAAGGAAAAATACAAAGTTCTATGACAGTTGCCGTATAGTGCCCATCCTCCCTTTCTCATTCACCACCAGAACTCTACTTTTTAGCTGATATAAAGCCTTCAAAAACAAAACAAAACAAAAAAAGATTAGATTCCCTCAGACTCTTTTGCAGATAGGTGTGGTCATCTGACTAAATCCTAGACAATAGGATATGAGTAAAAGTGGAGGGTTGTTCTACTTTCTTTTCTTCCTTCTAATTGGTTGGAAGTCAGATGTGATGGCAGGAGCTACAGCAACATTTCTGGACTTCCAGTCAGAAGCCATGTTGAAGAAGGAGCCTGGTCCTTCATGACCGTGCAGCTGCCTAACACCCTTTAACCCACACTTCTGCATGCGAGAGAAAGAAACACTGTTATTTGAAAATCTATTTGTTGAGAAAGCAGGGCCTGTTTTTAGTAAGACTGTCTAACATGAGAGTTGAAAAGGAACTAAGCACATGAAAAGTGAAGGGGAAGTGCTCCAGGCAGAAGGAATCTCAGGTGCAATAAACTGAAAGAAAGTCAGAGTAGCTTAAAGGCAAACAGCAAGAAGAAAGTGATGTGGAGTGAAGTAAGCAGGGGATGGCTTTGCAATTAAATAGGTGTTCATTCCTGGTCCTGTCATTTACCTCATAAGTCCTCAGTTTCCATATCTGTTAAGTGGGAATAACGAGCAGCCTTCTGCTCCCAGGTTTGCTGTAATGATCCAATGATAGGTTGAGAGGAGGAAACAGCATAACACATTGATGCAGAGCACTGGCATTCCAACCAAGTTCAACCAAGTGCAAATCCTGTCTCTCCACTGACAGTTGTGTGACTGTTAGTTACCTACAAACACCTCTGTGCCTGTTTCCCCATCTATAAAATGGAAGTAGTAATAGGATTTACTTCATAGGGATGCTGAGAGAATGAAATTAGTTAATATTTGCCAAGCACTGAGAATAGTACCTGCCACATACTAAGTTCTATATATATGCTTGTTAAATAAATCAAAAAGTGTTTATGACTTTGAAGATTTACATTAGCTATAGTTACCATAGACTTTCACTGTAGATTGAAACTCTTGTGGATTTTGACTTTTTCCAGTCACTTTTCACTACTTCCTAGCACCTAAGGAAGTGCTTCCTTTTAGAATAGTCTCATTAAAAGAGGCTTTTCAAGGAGGAAATTAAGAGAAGTACTTCAGGTGCAGTGACTTTTCTGGCCCCCATTTCCTCTCCACCTGCAGCAATGGGGATAATCTTAGTCCCTACTTTCCAAGACATTTGTAAGAATAAGGTGTTGTACATAAATAGGGATTGGCAAGCTTTTTCTGTAAAGGTCCAGACAGTAAATATTTTAGGCTTTGTGGGTCATATGATTTCTACTACGACAGCTTAACCCCGCCTTCATAGCCCACAAGCAGCCATAAATAATAGGTAGAGATGAACACAGTTCATTGAATGGATGAATGAACATAACTGTGTTCCAATGAAACTTTACTTATGGACATTGTGATTTGATTTTCATGTAATTTTTATGAGTCATAAAATATTCTTTTTCTGAATTTTTAAAAATTATTTAAAAATATGTCAAAACAATTCTGAGCATGCCGGCTGCACAAAAAGAAGCAGTGGATTAGACTTGGCCCATGAGCCATAGTTTGCCCACCCTTGTCTGTAAATATTTGGTACAATATCTGGCACATAGTAAGTGTTCATTAGCTATTGTTAACTTGTTTGTTATTACTATTAACAAGGGAGCACTGGACATTAGTTCTGCAACCTGTCATTCTATAAGCACCAGAAAATCAGTTCTTGCCTGGGCCTTTACTTTTTCCTTTTGTCTTTTAAGCAGCTGAACCTGACCTAGGTAGGGGCTGGGAGTTGGGGTGGAGATAGAAGAGGAGGGCTGTGTGAAGTCAATGCCTTGGTTCAACGGCTTCCTAAACATCCTGACTGCTTGGACCAAAAACTGCCAGCTTGAAAGGGGCTTTATAAATGGAGAGCCTGTAAAGCAATTCAGAATCTGATTTTGCTGCAAAAGCATGATTTTAACAGATCTGTAGCTTTTCCCAACCTTTTAACACTGTCTCCTGTGAGTCCAGAGATTTTGATCTTGTAACTAAATTGACTCTGTCGCAGGTTTGCCATCCCCCTGGGTAAATTCTCTGACATGCACAGCTTCAGACCAAACCCCCTTTCACAAAAAAAATAAATAAATAAATAAAAAACCTCTTCTGTACCCAGTCATCAGTCATCCCCTATTTCCCTTTCTCCAAATTGAAATATTTTTTAAAATACTATAATGAATGTCAGAATCAACTCCCTTTGGTCCTAAACCTAGTCTTCTTTTTTTTTTTTTTTTTTTTTTTTTTGGCAGGAGAAATTTCTGTTTAATCCTAATGCTAATACTTAGAAAAGTCGCAGCAGATTTAAAATGGTTATTTGCCTCATGTTAGAGATCTATTGTGTTTCGTGGTCAGTAATCAATAGGTGGCAATCAGGTCTTTCTTTCTTTTTCTTCTTTCTTTCTTCTTTCTTTTCTTTATTTCTTTCTTTCTCTCTTTCTCACCCTCTTTCTCTCTTTTTGTCTTTCTTTCTTTTTTTATTTTTCTTTCTTTCAAGACAGACTGTTGGAGAATCCAACAAGACATGATTTCCAAATAAAGAGCTCAAAGAGTCGCTTGGCCGGGGCTGAAAGTGGCAGCTCTGGAAATGCAGGCTTTTCTGGATGGAGCAATATTGTCCAAATTCTACAGAGGAGGGAAGAGGCTGCTCTGCTGTGTTCCAGTGCCAGCATCCCTCCGGGCATATGCCTGCCCACAAAAGCTGTGCTCACGCATGATGAACACAGCCCCGGGGGCTGGTTTTATGGAGCTGAAAATGCATCTCATCTTCTAGAGTTGAGAATAGAATATGACCAGGAATGAACATGCCTCTTGAGTAACTGAGAGAGAGGGAGGTAGGAAGAAGGAAAGAGGAAAAGAGAGGGCTGGGGAGAGGAGATACAGAGGGAAGAAATGCAGAGAGAACTGAGATGAAAAAATAGAAGAAACAAGGAGCAAGTGCCTGAGGGGCTAGAGAGAAAGCAAGAGAAGGTGGATGAGAAGGGAGGCAGGGGAACTGCAAGCCTTCAGTCCTTGTACCTTTTAGGATGTAGGGACACCCAGAGAACAGCCCTCAATAAGATCTGGAAAGAAGAGCTGTCACCACAGACTTAGAAAGTAGGTGTATTTTTTTACAAATCCAAAATTCCTATATCCCATAATCATAGGTGTGTGTTGAGCAGGGCAGATTTCCTTTCCTAATCTCTGTTTTCTCTTTCAGAATAATAGGTTATTCCCCTGTCCTGAGTTCTGCTTGAAAAACTGAGAGTTCTAGAACTTTGCAAAAGCTCCTCTATTGTTCCAAGATGAGCATTTTTCTGGGGTGAACTGGGCAGAGGTTTGACTGGCAAGCAGCTCTGGGTGTACATTTCATCCAAGAGTCTCATGGTGGTCGAAGGAGATCCCCAGATGCAAAATCAAAGTTGCTTGGATTTCCATTTCTTCCCCATCTAGGAAAAGGGCAATGGAATCAAAGCCTTTAAAAAATGTAGTAAGAGAAAGACTCTCTAATTGATCAGAACCTTCTGGCAACCAGCACTTTGGCCCATCTACTGAAAAATACTTTATCAGTGTCTTTAGTAAAGGCCCCCAAGATGCACAATACATTTTTGGTTGTTGAAATAGAGTGTCTTCTAAGTCATCAAGTAAAAGAGAAATTCTGCTCAGAAGACTTTTGGATAGTACCCAACATTTGGTGAGGCTTACTATATTACATGCATTACCTCGCTAAATCACCACATTAGAACACTTACAGGTAAGTCTTATGATTATAATCATTTTATAGTCATGGAAACTGGATGTAGAGGGTAGGATAACTTGCCCAGGGTTACAGCTAAGGATTGGACAAGTTGAGATTTGAACCCCAGCATGTTCATCTGGCATGAGAGGGCTCGTGCTTAATCTCCAAGCTATAACACTTTCTTGCACAAAGGTGTGTGTTTGCAGAGGAACAAATATGAAGATAAACAGAACAGAGATACCCTAAGGGAGCTCAGAGTGTTGTCTAGTATATATGAATAATGTGTGAGTAAATAAAAAGAGAGGAATGGAAGGTGGTGCTATGCAATGAGGTATCCAGCCTCAGAGTGCTACTTTGTATTAAGCCACTTCATCATCTCATTTTAGTACAGAAGACAGACAGAAAAGAAAGAAAGTCTCCTTCTCAGGGAGGGCTTTCTGGAAGTGAGGTAGGGAGTGGTATATGTAAGCGAGGTTCTAACAGGTGAGTAGGAGTTAATGGGAAAGAGGTTCAGATGGGAAGGAGGCTTCAGAAAGAGGAAACAGGATGTTCAGAGGCATGGAGTCACAAACACCATGCAGTTTCAGGGATTAAAAGCAATTATAAATGCCCGGAACATTCATTGCAAGATCAAGTGTGGTAATAGTTCGGGCAGAAGAAGTAGTCAGGAGTCAGAGTTTAAATGGCCTTGTGTATAATACCAAGAGTTTGGACTTACTAGGGCCTTCCTGAATCTGCCTTATTCAGAAGCATCATATACACATCTGTGAGGCAGGATAATAAGACTGGTAGAAAATGAAGTTATTGAGACCAAGAAAATAGCCTTTTATGCACAGCAGGAACAACCAGAAACACAACCTCGATGTGGTGAAAGCTTGAGTTTATGAAAAAGAGAAGGCTTATATCACTGTTTTCTTAAAGGATGGCATCCCAAATCAGCAGTATTCTTTTTTTCTTTTTATTTCTTCCTATAACTGAGCTTTCCCTAAACTGATGATTTGTGATTCACCTGCAGAACAGGAGCTTGGGATGGGGTAGATGGCATATCCTTTTGAGAGCTGAGGGTGGCAGGGGGTGATGTGGCCAGGCTTTGAGCAATCCTTTTATGTTTTAAGAACAACATTTCCACCCACAAGGATAGGATCTTGACAGCCACCCTACAGGCAAAACGTATTGGACCAAAGAGAGACAAGACACATGGCTTAAGTTAGTTTAAACAGATTCTCTTTACCAGAAATGTGAATAAAATAGGAACTCAGAGATAACCACATAGTCTCTGTGAACTGGAGATTTTGAAGGACATGGTAAAAGCTTAGAAACTCTGGAACAGTCATATTTTTTATATAGACTAAGAAGCAGAAAGAACTGCTGTATAAAGAGAAGAGTCATAGATGCTCAGAGAGAAGCAGAGATGAGTGGGAGCACTGCCTGGACTCCTAGCTGCTTTCCCAGTTTTTGAGAGCAATTTCTTTCTCAGACTCAAATATATTCCTCACCTCGGGTTCCATGAGACATTCATATTCTTAGTAAATCTATATTTTTTTGCTTGAGCTTTCTTAAGTTGGCTTCTGTTACTTGAAACCCAGATAGTTTTGACAGTACCTAAATCAGAGTCCCCACCTGCTAGTGGCCACCAGGAATCATAAAGACTAAGAAGATATGGAGGAGGAGAGGAGAAAAAGTCTCAAGTACTAATATTGCTGAAACAAGTCACCTGCCTTTTGTTTTCTTTTGAGACGGAGTCTCATTCTGTTATCCAGGCTGGAGTGCAGTGGTGTGAACACAGCTCACTGCAGCCTCGACCTCCTGGGCTCAAGAAATCTTCCCAGCTCAGCCTCCTAAATAGCTACAGGCATGCACCACCATGCCACACTACTTTTTAATTATTTTTCTTTTTTTTTTTTTTTTTTTTTGATAGAGACAGAGTCTCACTTTGTTGCCCAGGCTGGTCTCAAACTTCTGGGCTCAAGCAATCCTCCTGACTTGGCCTCCCACGGTGCTGGGATTACAGGCGTGAGCCACTGTGCCTGCACCTCTCTTTTCTAAATAGCATGAACACACCCCATTTCTAGGACCTTTTCTCCAATCTGGCTTGCCAGATACTCCTCAAATGCCTCATTGATCAATCTGGTGCTGAAGCCATGGCTAAAATGTAATGGCTGAAGCTATTGGTTTCATCACCATGGATAGCCCTCATTAGATTGTCTTCCTCCTCCAAGAAGTTTTCTTAGATCCCTCAGCCCTCACATATCCCTTCCTCCCTGCTCTTTGAGTGAACTTCACTTGCACATATATTACTACACTTACAACAGTTAGTCTAGAGCCATAATTGAATTTGTACAGCTGTCTCCGCCTGCAGATGGTGAGTCATTTGAGAAAAGGATCACATCTTACTTGTTTCTATTTCTCCCATAGTTATTATTACAAAACCTTAAAACTACAATCCTTTCAATGAATGCCATTAAAAAAAATTTTAGGGGAAATTTTCACCAATGTATGTGGCTCATGTTGAGATACGATTTTCTCAGCCCCCTTCTGACATCATTTGAAGGAAAATGGAGTGAATTCTATGAATGGGGCTTCAGTTTGGAGCCTGCAGTTTCCCCCACATTAGTTTATGTTTAGAGATGTGTCAGTTCATGGGAACAAGGGGAAACAGTTGCTTCGGCCAGGGTGCAGAAGCCAGGATCTCCCATGGGGGCTGGCAATCCTGATGTTATCTCTTTTCTCTGGACCAGCCTGCACCTTATTTCTTTTACATCACAATGAGGTGGAGATTCTAGAACTACCAGGTGAGATTGACTGAAAGGATTCACCTGCCTTTACTCCCAATCTGAATAGCCAAACCATATACAGCCACAACACACATTTCAGCATCTACCTAAAGATGAAATCTTCAAGCATCTGAGTGGCTCTGAGCCTCAGGGCCAGTATTAAGGCCTTTTAACCAAATTTCTCTCCCAAGCCACCATTGCAATGAAGGAAAATAGGGTTGTCCACAGTGAAATCCATTGCTCTCTTCAGAATACAAAGGAGGGGTCATTTGTGGAGAAATACAAAACCAAGGAGTAAGTCAACTGAATTGTTAATCAAATGGGCTCTGCTATGGTTTGAATGTGTCTCCGAAGTTTATGTGTTGGAAATTTGATCATCAGTGCAGAAGTGTTGGGAGGTGAGACCTTTAAGAGGTGATTAGGTTGTAAGGGCTCTGCTCTCTTGAATGGATTAATGCCATTATTGCAGGAGGGGGTTCCTTATAGAAGGATGAGTTCAGCCTCCTCCCACCTCTCTTGAGCCCATATGATGCCTTCTGCTAGGTTATGACAAAACAAGAAGGCCCTTACAAGATGCCAGCACCTTGATCTTGAACTTCTCAGACTCCAGAACTGTAAGCCAATAAATTTCTGTTCTTCATAAATTCCCCAGTCTCATGTATTCTGTTATAGCAACACAAAACAGACTGAGACAGGCTCTCCCCAAAATTTTAGATGTTTCTCACTTTCCTGTAGTACAGACATGTCACAACCTTACAGGAAATAATTCAGTGACATCTGGCTTATCAAATGGTCTTCCTAATTTATTAGTATTCTCTGTTCCTGAAAGAAGGGAAAAGATCATCTCAGAGTTTGTGTTAAAGTTTTAATTTTAAGCCCCACCCAGAATCTTTCCAGAGAATATTCCATAACGAAGCTTTCAACTTAGGCTCTTAGAAAATTGTAAAGGAAAACCTAAACCCACCTCTCTGAATCTTTGTGAAAAGTACAGATGCAGTCATTAAATCCTTTTCATCCTGATTAGGGCTTGCTCTGTGTATCTTAGTAGACCTTCCAGAAGCCAGAACTGGTGAAGGGTGACTTGGGGCATGAAGAATGAACAGACATTCTAATTAACAAATATTTGTTGATTTCCTACTCCGTGTTCAACCATTTTCTAGCTTCTGTGGGGGAAATAAAAGCAAGTGTAGGACAAGCAGCTAATTATTTTTGATACTCGTACACATTCCAAAATTTTCAGTTTGTGAAATGTTTTCACTCAATTAGTTCACTTAATACTAATAACTATTTGATGAGACAAGCAATATAAGAAATGCCTTCTTTTGATAGGTGAGAAAATTGAGGCTCAGAATGGTTAAGGTGCTTGACCAAGGTTCACATGATGCATAAAAATGGTGAGGGAGGAAAAATTAGAATCCTAGTTTGATTCTTCTTGGTGCACTTGTCTTTCTATCCCCTATGCCTCCGCTTAACCTACAGGAGAAGACATGCTGTAAAAAATAAGGCAAGGCTATGTCTGATGGATTTCTAGACTGCACAGTCCAGTAGATTACATGAGAGGATCAATAATGAAGACCAGTTGTGATGGCTCATTCCTGTGATACCAGCACTTCGGTTGGTCAAGACTGTAGGATCACTTGCGCCCAGCAGCTCAAGATAAGCCTGCACAGCACAGGGTGAACCCGATCCCTATGAAAAATAAAAATTAGCCAGCCATGGTTGTGTACCAGTGATCCCAGCTACTCGGGAGGCTTAGGTGGAAGGATCACTTGAGGGAGGTCAAGGCTGCAGTGAGCTATGATAGAAAACACCACTGCACTCCAGCTTTGGCAACACAGTGAGCAAGATCCTGTCTCAAAAAAGCAGAAAAATGAAAAATTAGGGGGAGCCAGAGGGTCATGGAAGGTTTGAGGAAGGACAAGTGTCTTGAGTTGGACCACAAAGAGTGAAGACAACATTTCCATGAAAGGAATGGAAGCAATGAGAAGAAGAAAGTTTCTCAAGGATGCTGTTAGTTTCCCAGAGTATGAGACTCAGAAAAACAAAAATGGAAAATGCTGAAGTCCATTAAGAAGAGGCTCTCAGAACACTTTTATTCTGGAACATAAACTAGTACTACCACTAAGGAAAACAGTATGGAGATTTCTTAAAGAACCAAAAATAGAATTACCATTTGATCCAGCACTCCTACTACTGGGTATCTACCCAAACGAAAGTAAGTCATTACATGAAAAAGACACATGCATGTGCATGTTTATAGCAATGCAATTCTCAATTGCCAAGATATGGAACCAACTTAAATGCCCATCAACCAACAAATGGATAAACAAAATGTCATCTATATAGTGATAAAAAGGAAAGAAATAATATCTTTCTCAGAAACTTGGATGAAGTTGGAGGCCATTATTCTAAGTGAAATAACTCAGAAAAGGAAAATCAAATATCATATGTTCTCTCTTATAATTGGGAGCTAATTTATAAGGATGCAAAGGTATAAGAATGTCATAATGTACTCTGGGGACTCAGAGGGGAAGGGAGTTGAGGGATAAAAGACTACATATTGGATACAGTGTACACTGCTCAGGAGATGGGTGCCCTAAAATCTCAGAAATCAGCACTGAAGAACTTAATTATGTAACCAAAAACCACCTGTAACCCCCAAAACTATTAAAATAAAAATTAATAAATTAAAGAAGAGAAGAGATCTTCAGGGCTGAGGATTGCTTGAGGCCAGGAGGTCGGGACCAGCATGAGAAACACAGCAAGAGCCTGTCTCTACCAAAAAAAAAAAAAAATTTTGGCCAGGCTTAGTGGCACATACCTGTAGTCTCAGCTACTTAGGAGGCTGAGTTTGGAGGATCAGTTGAGCCCAGGAGATTGAGGCTGCAGCTGTGATCATGTCACTGCACTCCAGCCTGGGTGACAGAGCGAGACCCTGTTTCAGAGAGAGAGAGAGAGAGAGAGAGAGAGAGAGAGATCCTCAGGAAGCAGGGCTGGGCAAGCTATCTCCAGCACTCCATCCTCCAAGGTGCAGAGGATGCACAATTGCCACTAGCCCTACCTTGAGTATAATGCAACTTTTGTAGTGTGGTCATGACTAGAGGATGGGAAGTGGTAGCAGAGAAATTAGTCAATCTTTGACACTGGAGAGAGAATTTAGGGAAGGTTCTATTTCTTCTCTCCTGAATTTCTGTGCTAGCTTCTTTCCTTCAGGTTAGCTCTCCCAGCAACAACATTAAGGTCAAGAGGCCAAGTAGAATTTTGTGGAGAGTCTGGGCCTCTCATTGGATACGTGGAGGACCAGTTTGCAGGGTCTCTGTTCTCTATCTTCTAGAGCTGATATCCACTGAACCAAAGGGGCAGTTGAGTTGACCTTGAGGTAGAAGGGCTTGAATCACCTATTCCTGAGTTGCCCAGCTAGAAGAATTTATTGCTGTCATCAGAATACATAAAAAAGAGTCAAGGTCAGAAAAGCAGGAGTCTGTTCTCTGCCTCCCCCACCTGACCCACTTCTCCACAATCCACCTGCTTCAGCTACCTCAGGCCTGATCCCAGCTGCCAGACTCCAACGGAGTCAGATCCTCAAATTGCCAGGAGATCGCTATCCAAACTGTCACCCCCTGATCAGAAAAGAAGGAGTTATGTAAGTAACTGACAGCACCTGAGCGATCTCTCATTTGGATTAAATCAAGTTCTTTAAATATTTATAAAGTTCTGGTATCTGAAATAGCCAGTCTTTGCCTTGCACGTGGGCTGTTGAAATATGGGCCTGGTGCATTCTAAACTGAATACTCATCTGAACAGTCATATATTTTGTTTGTGCATGAGACTGTGTGTGACAGTGTGTGTGAGTGTGTGTGTGGGTGTGTGTATGTTGAAAAACCTATTGCATTATGTTAAATATCCCAAGGGCTCGGTGTAGAACATGACTGGAATGAATACAGGACGAGAATAACTTTTTTCTATCTCATTAGATGGTCTGAGTTTTGAAATCTGCTCTAAAAGTGTGGTAAAGTGTGCAGTGTTGTAGATTAATGCACTGAATACATTTCTACAGTTCTTGATGTGTTTCATAAAAGGTCCATTTCAAAAGTGTGCTGTATTATAGGTGAACACTCGCAGTAAATAATCTTGTTACAGAAACCTAAGCAATTTTTACAAGGCGTATTTCTGGCTGACTGAACAATTTATTCTCCAGATGTCACATTGTATTTTTCCAATATAAAATGAAACAGCTTTTTTTTTTTCTTTTAAGGCCGACTGTGCTGCTTTGTCTGAATCTAGAACAAAGGATCGGCCCTTAAGGAGGCTGATGCGATGTTAAAGCCCATCACTCTAAAATTGACACCACACCTGGGAAGAGCAGGCAGCACCATCACTGGCTTTCCTGTTCAAGAATGACACCTGTCAATCAGGCAGGACATCCCCTTGGGTCGTCCAGTCCAAGAAAACTCACTGGCTTCTTGAAAAGCCAAAGAGAACAAGAGAAAAGGGATGAGGAGAGTGAACAGAGGGGAGGAGGGAACAATAGGAAAGGGAGGAGAGGTGAGAATAAAGAAAAGAGGGAGGAAAAGAGAAGGAGAAATTGGAAGCAAAGGTAGAATAATGAGAGGATGTGGAAGAGCAGGTAGAGGCAGAAGAACAGGTGGGAGAAAAGGAAAGAAGACAAATGAGGAGAAGAAGAAGACAAGCAGTGTAAAAGATGGTTAGAAGAGATGGGAAATACAAGAGAAATATGCAAAATTCTGCCGCCACCAGAGGCAACATTTGCCAACTTTTTTGCAGAGTGTTAAGCCCATGAAACGCTCTATGATCAAACAATTTTGGAAAACAGTGAATTTATGTATACCCTCTTTTCTTGGAGTTTCACAATGCATGTTAGCAGATTAAAGGCTCTGAGAAGTCTTGCTGGAAAGAAACCTGTTTTACTTCATCGAATCCAGTGTTTCCAAGCTTATTTGAGCCTTAAACCTCTTTTTTTTTCTTGCAAAGCATCTGTGATCCTTCCATGATTTGGATACATTCTCTTACAGGTTTCTGACACATCCATCACTTGTTATGTTTAGAAAGGGTGGACCATCCATGGCCTTCATATCAACGTATGAAAACCAACATACCCTCCAGCAAGCTCTACGGCTATATGACCCTTATCCACAGCAAGTCCCTGGGGAAAATTATTCCTTAACATGGTGTTGAATGCTGACAAGGTATATCAGTCAGCTTTGGCTAGGTAAGGCTACAGTAACAAACATTCCCCAACTTTTCAGTGCCTTATGGAGGTCCATTTCTCACTCACTTTATTTGTTGCTGCAGCAAAGTGAAGGCTCTGTACCTCTGCTCCACATGTTTTCTGCAACCTGAGATGCAGGTCTCATGGTTCAGGGAGAAGAGCACTGTGAATGAACCATACAAAGTCTTTTAAAACTTCTGCACACAGATATTGTGTGTCACATTCCATTGGCCAAAGCAAGTCACATGACCAAGTTTGAGGTCAAGAGGGCAGGAAAGTACACTTCTTCAGGGAGTACTGCAAGTCACATGGCAGTGGGTGGGGAAAGTATAAACCTCCTACAGGGAGGAGAGTGAATAAAGGAGAACAATAACACAGAAACTACATGGAGGTTAGGGGAGAAAGCTATGGTCTATTGGTATGTCTGTTAGGGGCTCCTTTTTTTTCTGTCACCCAGGTTGGAGTGCAGTGGTGCAATCTCGACTCACTGCAACCTCTGCCTCCTGGGTTCAAGCGATTCTCCTGCATCAGCCTCCCAAGTAGCTAGGACTACAGGCGTGTGCCACCATGCTTGGCTAATTTTTGTATTTTTAGTAGAGATGGGGTTTCACCATATAGGCCAGGCTGGTTTCGAACTCCTGACCTCATGATCCACACCTCGGCCTCCCTAAGTACTGGGATTACAGGTGTGAGCCACAGCATCAAGCCCAGGGGCTTCTTATTTTAGGTTCAGCCACCTCATGGTCCCAGAAGGTGAAAAAAATTAGACAAGGTCCAGAAATGGAGCTGGTGCTGTGGTAGATGTGTTAGCAAATTAATGAATGCAGGTGAGTCCCACTGCAAGAAAATTCAATACATGAAAAGTGAGTTTATATTATGACTTAAGTGTTCTGAGAAGACAAAGAGACCTTTGCTTAGCAAAAGATTTCCCAGCAAGGGTCCATTGAACAGAGTTGTATTTAATTCGATGCATTAAATTGGGCCATATAAAATAGCCATTATTGAGGATAAAAAAATTGCCTATCAGCAATTTCATGTGGCTCAACCTAACACAAAAATGTAATTTATAGGTGTCTCATCAGAAATCATCATCAAGGTTGGCCAAAAGGTTTCATGTTGGGTGCCAACCTTGACTGACTGGGGCTGTTGAGAGATTTCTGAAGTGGCTTCTTGTCTCAGCAGGAAAGACCTCTAAGTCGATATGTGCCATCTACTCTGAAATCAAGGCATATGTGTCATGCATTTGCCATCCCTGATCTCCTGCAGTGGGGTATGGGGTACAGTCCCCTTTTCAAGCCATTAGCATTTCAGTAACAGTCCCTGAAAGTAGGACAGATGACATCCACATGCCAAACTCAAAGGATTTCTGCTGGAGTACGAATAGAATCTTATTGTAGGATGCATCATGGACCACTCAAAATTTCCCCTCTTAGGAAAGAACTTTATTTCTGGGAATTAAAGAAAACACTAAAAACAATAATCTATAGGGCAGGCAAGCCATGAGAGAGAAAGAGTTACCCAGGTGAAAACCATCTCTTTGGAGTTTTCCACTTGAGCTGTCTTCCACAGCAAACAGGTTTGCTTCTGCAAACACAGCAGGGTCTTTGCACTGGATGTCCCTCCACATGGAATATTCTTCCTCTCAATAGCCACATCTCTCACTCCCTTACTTTTTTCAAGTGTGTGCTCAAATGTTGCCTGTGCAGAGAGGCCTCCCCTGACCACTTCACATGAAATAGTTACCCCTGTCACTCTTGGTTTCCCTTAGTCTGCTGTATCTTCCTTCAGAGTCCTTATGCCCATGACATGACAAATGATGTGGACTTATAACAGACACACAGTAAAATACTCTTGAGGTAGTGAATGAGTGAGTGAATGAATGAAATCTGATCAGTAACATAGTGGTCCAACAGAATAGGAACATTTTGGAGAAGCAGCCTTTCCTATACAGATTTATTGTTGAAAAATTGAATTCTGAGTAGTGATTTCAAAACTATTTTTGAATCTGTGAAATTAGACTAGTCAAAAAGGAATAACCTAAAATTAGAAATAATTTCAAAGGCATGAACAATAGGATGAATAATGAAGAAAACTATCCAATGAGTGAAGTAGAAGACAAACTTGACAAAAGCAGCCTCATCTCCAAAGAGAACAAAGAGTTTGAAAATGAAAACAAGAGAGAAGAATGATGAGCGGGCACCCTAAGGAGGTGCGGTTTAAAAGTAAAGGGAAGATCAAAAAGGAAAGAACAGAGGAAGCAGAAACAAAAAAATCAAAGAAAATAATAATAGAAAACTTGTTTGAGCTAAAGGAAAGTCTGAATCTGCAAACTGAAAAGGTTTTCTGAACACCAGGCATATTAGTAAAAATGAGTCTTTTAAAAATCTGACTTAATTTTAGGACTTACTGTGTGCCAGTCACTGCGTTCAGTGGTCACAATACATCATCTCATTTAATCCCCACAACCATAGGCAAGGTTGTACTATTATACCCATTTTGCAGATGAGGAAATGGAGGCCTAAAGAGGTCACGTGAACAGCCTGAGGTCACGTCGACAGCCATCAGCCAGGTTTCAAGCCTCCCTGGCTCCCAGGCCTTGCTCTGACCATCCCGCCAGTCTGCTTTTTGATTAATGTGAAAGATTCAGTACAGACTTCCAGGAAGCACACTGCAGGCCCAGGTGCTAAATGGGTGCCTATAATGCTGGCAATGAGGAATATACGCTGCCTTCCCTCAGAGAGCTGTGTGGGCTTTGAGTTGATTTTCCAGGGGTGGGGATTTTTTCACTGAGCCATTCTCTCTCTCTCTCTCTCTTATCTTCTACCCTCATTGCCAGCATCTATGAGCAAGGTCAAGAGGGCAGTATTTGTTTCTAGAGCAAATCACAGTGTGGTGGTTAAGCTTGCCTTCCAAAGCCAGGCTGACTGGGTTTAAATCCTGGTTCTGTCACCAACTAGCTGTGTGACTTTTTAAAAGCTAATGAACTTCTCTGTGCTTCAATTTTCTTATCAGAAAAAAATAGTAATATCTAACTCATAGAGTTCATGTAAGGATTAAATAAGTTGAGACACGAAGTCCTTGGATCAGTGCCTGGCATATAGGAAGCAACCATACACGTAAGATTTCAATAGCTTTCTGGCTCTGATCAAGCTCTGGCCTCAGTGTCTTGCACCCACCTCCCAAGCCCCTGCCACAAGACACTGCTGGCAAGTGGATTCTGCTCCACGGAAGAGATTCTGCACCTTGTTTAACTGGTTTCTAGCCAACGCTATGTGACATCCCTCCAAAGTGGGCCACAGCAAGTCCTGTGCAGCCTGGCTCTCTCTCCTTGGGCCTTCTGAATGGCCTCTCCCCCTTCACACCAGTTAGTCAATGCCATTAATCAAAATCCTATAGCAGAAAACGCATGCATAAGTCTGACACATTTATTGCTATGGCAACAATTCAGGCACTTGTCCCAGTGTCAAGCTATATCAGTGGAGATAAATTCTATTGTTTTCACAGTGACAGTTTTCTCTGTGTTGGACTTAATCCATGGAAAAATATAGCCTTTCTCCTTATTTAAGAGAGTGAGAGAGAGCTGGAAAGAAAAAGAAAGTGACCTCTGGGTTTCTTACCCCATGCATTCAGAACTGAAATAAAATTTTTTCCTTTCTTCTAAAAATGAAGGAAGACATTCAGGGATTTGAAGCCGCATCATACTGATCAATTGATCAGCAGTATCCCCATAACCAAGATTCTGTTATTTGGAACCTGGAGTTCTGAGTGGAGCCAAATACATGAAGAAAATTTGCGAAATCCTGCTCTGCAATGGCTTTCACTGTCTTAGCCTATGCCAGGGCCCAGCCCTTTGGACACACTGGTGACTTCAAACTGATGCATCTGCAAACAGTGTTGGTAAATAGAAACGGGCTTGCTCATAATACACGTTTTCCCCCGATGAATAGCATCTCTCACCCAGAGAGATGGCCTCTTGTGTTTTGTGGAAAAGAGTGAAAGGTCTTTCCCCCACATCTTCCCCAAACATTTTTGCCTGGAATCTCAGGGCACAGTGGTATTTATTTATTTTTTTTTTTTTGCAGTAATATTTTTCAGCTTTTTAAAATCAGGGATACATGTGCAACTTTGTTATAAAAAGGTATGTTGTATGATACTGAAGTTTGGGATATGAATGGATCCATAACCCAAGTAGTGAGCAAAGTATCCAACAGGTGGTTTTTCAGCCTTTTCCCCCTTCCCTCTCTCTCCATCCATCCTCAGTGTCTTTTGTGCCCATGTTTATGTTCATGTGTACCCAGTGTTTAGCTCCCACTTATAAGTGAGAATATACAATATTTGGTTTTCTGTTTCTGCATTAATTTGCTTAGGAAAATGGCCTCCAGCTGCATTCATGTGGCTGCAAACAATATGATTTTTTTCCTTTTTATGGCTGTATAGTATTCCATGGTGCATATGTACCACATTTTCCTTATCCAATCCACTGTTGATGGGCAACTAGGTTGATTCCATGCCTTTGTGATTGAGAATAATGCCGTGATGAACATGAAGTGCAGGTGTCTTTTTGGTAGATACTTTATTTTTCTTTGGGTATATTTAAATCTGGCTTCTGTATTATATGCCTTTGAAGGCAAACTAAACCCACATTTCGAGAGAAAGCCGATTTGCCTTCTATAACCCGTTTGTTCCCTTTCTACACTGAATCTCTTTCCCATCCTTCCTGCCAGAATCAATGCCCAAATCTAAAATTAAATCTGAGTCTGGAAACTTTTTTGAGCATTGGTGTGTCCCCAGTAACCTGGTAGGCACTGAGAAGAATGCAAAAGAAGCAAGAAACAGCCAAGCACAGTGTCTCACACCTGTAATCCTAACATTTTGGGAGGCTGAGGTGGGAGGATCATTTGAGCTCAGGAGTTCAAGACCAGTCTGGGCAATACAGCAAGACCTCATCTCAAAAAAAAAAAAAAATTAACTAGGCATAGTGGTGTGCACCTGTCATCCAAACTATGTGGGAGGATGATGGTTGGAGGATTGCTTAAGCCCAGAATCCAAGGCTACAGTGAGCTGTGATTGACACTGCACTTCTGCCTGGGTGACAGAGTGAGACCTTGTCTCAAAAAAAAAAAAAAAAAAGGAGTAAGAAACATTGTCTCTAAGTTGCTGATAGTCTAGTGGGAAAACACTAACAGTCTCTGCCTACCAACTGTTCAACCACCCACTGTATGCCAGGTGCTTCCCACACAACACCTGTGTATTAGTTTCCACTTGCTGCTGTAAGAAACTACCACATATTCAGAGGCTTACAGCAACATAACTTTATTCTCCTACAGCTCTGGAGACTGGAAATCCAAAATGGATCTCACTGTCCTGAAAGCCAGGTGTCATCCAAGCTGCATTTCCCAGCCTTTTCTAATTCCCAGGACACCCACATCCCTTGGCTTGTGGCCTCATTCTTCCATCTTCAAAGTCAACAATCTCAGTCTTATAGCACCTTCCTGTAGTGCCATCTCTCTGGTTCTCTTCTGCCTCACTTTTCCCTTTTTAAAGATCCTCATGATTACATTGGGCCCACGAAGATAATTCAGGATAATCTCCCTGTTTTAAGGTTAACTGATTAGCATCCTTAATCCCTTCTGCATGTTTAATTCCCCTTTCTTTACTATGTAACATAACATATTCCCAAGTTCCAGGGATTAGGATGTGGACATCTTTGTAGGGAAGGTATTGTTCTGCCTACCACACTTGTAAGTTTTTTAACTTCCCTGTAAGGTAGGTATTATCCTGATTTTACAGATGAGAAAACTCAGGGTCAAAGAATTAGTCTTACAGGGGACCATACAGCTAAATAAATGGTGTAGATGAAAATGGAACACAGTTTCCAAAGAATTCCGCAGTATTTCCTACCTAGATCACAGTTCTTCTCGTTTGTTTACTCAACAGATAGTCTTTATTAAGCACCTACTACGTGAATTTCTGAGAAACATGCATATTTGAGGGCAGAGCTGAAAGAAAAACAAGGCAATGTCCCTGAAAGAAAAACAGGATGGTGTATAATTAGATTAGGAGTTGTGCCATTCCTACAAAAAGGAAACTCAGTATGAGCTAAGGTCATCCAGGAAGGCTTCTAGGATGTAGTGCTGGGCCCACATTAAAAGAAGGGTATAGAAAAATGGCTCTTTCCTTCCAGTTTCTTTGGTATATGAACATGGGGGAAGAGGTACCCTCAACTCTTGTCCTCAGATTTTTGGGGAGCCCATCCCAGGGCAGGAAGACTTCATTCTTTCCAATCCTGGAGTTCAGAGTTGCTGTTCCAACTTCCACAGAGGCCTCAGCAAATTGCAACCAAGGTCATTCCCCCTTGGATTTAGAGTGGAGTTGGATGCTGTGTTCTGTCAATCCAGGGTGCTAAAGGCAAGAGCTGATAGAGCCAAAGCTCTCCATTATGTTGCACAAGACCTGCATTTCCCATGATAAGCACAAGGCCGAGGCCTCCTTTACTTTTCATTTTCTTTCTTCCCCTTCCTTTCTGTCATCTTTTCTTTTCCTTTTTTTTTCCTTTCCTTTCTTTCTTTCCTTTTGTTTTTTGGCTTCTTTCTCAAAAAAGGAACTGGGACCACAGGATAGGTGTTGTATGTCCTGAAGACTCTCTTGGGCATCTCAGACATACGAATGTGGCATGTGGTTCTTAGTGGATTTCCCTCTGTGGATCACATGAGCTCCTTCTGTGTTGGGTCCCAGTTAGGCCTTTGTTCTGGTGAGGCCTCTGGCCCCTTAGTCCCAGTGTGCAGTAGCAGAAGGTAAGACGGCACTGCCCTGCTAGCCACAGTCCTCTCCAGGTCTGGCAGAGGGGGAGTTGCTTGGGGGACAAACCTTTTTCTCCTGAAATGCAAAGAGGAGCTCTGCATCTGGATCAAGGCATGGGTGCAGGAGAAGGAAGTGATGGGGTATTAGGGGAAGGGCCTTTGCAATGGCATTTTCTAAGCCCTGAGAATCCTCTCTCCATGAATTATGGAAGAAAGGTGGCATTTAAACATCATGCTTTCAGGACACTGGGTAAGCCTAAAAAGAGGCCCAGAGAACCTGAAAGAAGAAAACCAGGTGAGAGAGGTCTAGAGTGAAAGAGGGAGGGAAGGGAAAGAACCTAGAGAAATGGCAGATAGCAGGGGTGGGCTAGAGCAATGAGCCACAGGAACGGAGGAAAGGATTCAGCAGAAACTACAGAATTTCTAGATAGGAGGAGTCTAGGAAAAGCAGGCTGGTAGAAAGGAGGGCTTGAAGATGGCCTTCAGAGTGTGTAAGGCTATTTCTTGCATTGCTGTAAAGAAATATCTGAGTCTGGGTAACTTATAAAGAAAAGAGGGTTAATTGGCCGGGTGCGGTGGCTCACATCTGTAATTCCAGCACTTTGGGAGGCCAAGGCGGGCAGATCACAAGGTCAGGAGATTGAGACCTTCCTGGCTAACACAGTGAAACCCCGTCTCTACTAAAAATACAAAAAAATTAGCCGGGCGTGGTGGCGGGCGCCTGTAGTCCCAGCTACTCGGGAGGCTGAGGCAGGAGAATGGTGTGAACCTGGGAGGCGGAGATTGCAGTGAGCCCAGATGGTGCCACTGCACTCCAGCCTGGGTGACAGAGTGAGACTTCATCTCAAAAAAACAAGAAAAGAGGGTTAATTGGCTCATGGTTCTGAAGACTGTACAAGCATGGGACAGTAATTGACGCAGCTTCTAGGGAGGCCTCAGGGAGCTTTTACTCATGGGGAAAGGGGAAGTAGGTGAAGGCATGTCACATCGCAAAGGCAGAAGCAAGAGAGAAAGTTGGGCAGGTGGGGGGATGCCATAGTTTACAACAACCAGATCTCGAGAGAACTCACTCACTATTGCAAGGACAGCACCAAGCTATGATGAGGGGTCTGCCCCCATGACCCAAATGCCATCCACCAGTCCACCTCCAATATTGGGGATTACAATTCAACATGAGATTTGGGCAGGAACAAATATCCAAACTATGTTGCAGAGCTGTATACAGAGACTAAGAGGCCATCAATTACCATCTCAAATAATGGTGGGGCAATAAAGATTATGGGAATATAATGGCAGCCTTGGGGCCAACACTGGGTCTACTAAACTGGAATGAAGATGAAGAATGGATTGCAGTAGGCCTTGCAGTGTGAGCTGAGATGGTACGACTGGGGCCACACCAGCAACCAGACCAAGTTCAGAGAAATTGCTAGGGATCAGAGTGGTAGGGGAACATGTGAATAAAGGGAGAAAACTCAGGGGTGGCTGTGGGGGCCTACTTGTTCTCTGGCAATCTTGTTAGTTATTTCAGTGCCTGTAGTTCTAGACAGTGGGAAGTATGAATCTCACTGTTGCACTGTATAAAACACAGTTGCCAAAATCTGCTTAAAGACTAGGGGATGTCTGTACCCTGGGGAGGAAAGGGGCCACTTAGAGTGTGTGAAGATCTCAGGGAAAGGCTACAAGGAACAAAGTAGATTTGGAAGTGAAGGTTGAGGCAAATTGTTGTTGCTCCTAAAGCATGAAGAAAAATCCTTTGCTCTAAAGCAGTTTCCCAAATTCCAGCTGATCATGTTTCACCTTCATGGGTTAGGCCACATCCCTGTCCTATACACCATGTGTATATTTCTGTACTATCCCTGATCACCTCTCTGTGTTATTTGGTTAGTTATTTTTAATTGACTTTTTGTAGTTAAATTTATTTGAAAGAAAGATGTGTATCACTTATAATCAGAAAATAAGTATCTCCCTAAAGAGAAGCTAAACACAAAATAAATAAACTGGAAATGAAACAATGTGATTAAATGATATGTGCTTATGATTTTCACTGAAAGCTTTCCTCCTGAGAGCAGGTGTCTGTTTGTGGAAGAGGAATTTATTAAGAGTGGTAGAGAATTACCTAAGACAAAACAGCTTTAAACAGAAACTTTCTCCATGGGGCAATTAAAAGGATTGAAAGCAAATTGAGACAGAAGTAACATCTTCGCCATCAGATTCAACGTTGTATCTGCTGTAACATCTAAAACCATCTCCCAAACACTGGTGGTAGCGTCCAGTATTGGGGGAGATGCTGCTGACAGGTGGTGTCCTAGCACAGTTCCCTGGAGAATGGCCTGAGGAAAAGCTTATGGGCTGGGGCTTTACTGGAGCACACAACACCAGGACAGCAAAAGTGAGGAAAAAGAGATGAGCATCAGGGAGGAAGGAAGAAAAAAATACCAGGAAGTGCTTTACTGAGCTGGCCACAGCCTTGCAAGAAACACAACCCATCGCTTGGTCAAGTAGGACATCTCTCAAGAAACTATGGAACCTCTGCAACTTGCAACTTGTCTGTGAGAAGAAGGAAGAGGGAGGGGTTTATTTGCAGACTTTTTCCCATCTCTTTCCTCTCATTGGATAGAGTTTGCTTCACAAAGGTTTCTCCTCCACGATTCCAACATGCATTCTACTCATTGCATTCTGTGGGTCCAAACTGGTTAGACTGAGCACTGGGGGTAGAGCAAAGACAAGGACAATGGAGGTCATGCTGAAATGCAGCTTCACCCCCAGGGGAGGCGGAGGCAGCCAACAGTGTTAGGAGATGGGGTGATGGTGGTGGAGACTGAAGCACCTCCATACCCTCTACTGTACACTAACAGGCTCAGTAAGTAATGTGGGAAACCCCATCCCATGCTGAAGCTTTTTGTATCTGAGCTGTTCTATCACCTCCGTTCCTTCTTTTGTAGAGTGAGAGACAGGACAGGTAATGCAGGATTTCCATCCTGTGGATCTGTGGATCTAGGAAGCAGGCAGGGGCAGGAGCGAGCAAATCCAACAAGACATGTCCACTCGTTCCTGCACCGGTGTTGACGAAGGTCTACAACTTACTGAGTTGAAATGAAAATTTATGGCAAGAGGAAATGGGGAGATACATAATTAGCCAAAAATTGTGATTTGGGAAAAGAACAACACACTTGCTTTGCCACAACTTTCTGGCACTGAGAATCAGGGAACAAATTCGGAGCTGGAAGGTGATGCTAAAATCACCTCCTCTAACTCCTTCATTTTATGGTAGGAGAAACTGAGTCCCAGAAAAATAAAGATCTGTGCACACAGTCATGGGCATGGCTGAGACATGAACCCAGTTCTACCAACCTGAAAGCCAGCACACACACCACTCAGGCACACTCCAGCCACAGGAATAATGACCTTCTCCACCTCACCATGAAATGGCATGGCACTTATCAGAATTACATTTCCAGCTTACTACTTTGCTTAATAATGTATTTAAGTGGAGTTACCATTAAAAGTCCATGATACAGAAGCAAGAAATTAGGAGATGGGGTAATGGTGGTGGTGGCTGAGACACCTCAATCACTCTGTGACTTATTCTGTTTACTCTGTTCCTAGCCTACCATTCTATCCAATATACTGCATTGGTTTAAATGATATGTATTTTCATATTTTATATATATATATGTCACAGTGTATCTATAATGTGTGTACACATACACACACTATTATATTAATAAATATAGATGTAGATATATACACAAATACACACACACACACACACACACACACACGTTTTAAATTGTCAGAATGTTCCTGGTCAAGGGCCAGTCTCCTTCACTTACCTCAATGACATTGGTAAAATCACTCTTTGGGCAACATGGCATTATACCATGTATTCCCCATGGCAGGTTTACGTTGGTTTTTTTTTTTTTTGGTTTGGTTTGGTTTTCCTTTTCTTTAGCTGACATTTTAAAATGTGCATTTATTTTTCTTTTTGTGAAATGTTCTTTTGTGGAAATGAAACTGTGTTTGCATAACAACTAAGATCTTTGTTTTAAAATTGTTGTTGTTCTAAGGAAGTTTTGTCTCTGGGGAAAAAAATAAATTCATGAGACAAGCCCAGATAGAGAGTTGAATTGGGGAGCCGAGTTAAAGGGGAGCTATGTGGAGAGGAAGATGAGGGAAAGTTTGCTTTACTTTAGGATATTACAAGTACACAGCAATCTTTTCCATTAGAGTGGGGAATGGGATTTCGTTTTGGTTCCAGTGCTGGTATGGAACTTTCTGTTTTGCTCTACTCAAGGAAGCAATAAGATGTCAAAATGCTATGGACACAGGGTTGTGTAGTAAAAGGGGAACTTTCTCAGGAGTCAAAAGAGCTAAGTGCTAGCCCTCATCAACCCTAATCCTCAAATTTTCAGGTGCAAAATTGGGAATAACAACACCTTTCCAGTCTCACTGGGAACTTTTGCATCAGAATCCCGTTGTAGGGGGGAAATATATGTTGGCAAAACTAGAAAAATTCTCCCTCCTGAAATTACCTGTGCTCAAATTAGGGAAGTCCATGACCTTCCCAAACTCCATAGTGGACCTTTATCCATTGGAGGGGCTGTCAATCCATCTCCATCTCCCATTTCCTCTGCTGTGGCAAAGGTTAGTCTCCATCCTCCAAAGGTTCCTGCTTCCCATTCCATGATGCAGAGCATTGCTAGGAAACAGCTCTCCCAGGTGGGGTTGTATTTCTCACTTCCTTGGCAATTCAAAAGGGATCATGTGAGTTCCGGCCAATGGAATGTGAACAGAAGTGATGCCCACCACTTCAGATGTAGCCCATTAAAAAGAGGCAGAAACGCTGGGTGCAATGGCTCACGCCTGTAATCCCAGTGCTTTGGGAGGCCAGGGTGAGAGGGTCACTTGAGCCAGGAGTTTGAGACCAGCCTAGGCAATATCCAGAGACCCCATCTCTACAAAAAGTAAAAAAAATTTAAAAAAGTAGTTTGCCAGGCATGGTGTCATGCACCTGGCATATAATCTCAGCTATTCAGGAGACTAAGGCAGGAGGATCTCTTGACCCCAGCCTTTCAAGTTTTCAGTGAGTTATGATTGTGCCACTGCACTCCAGCCTGAGCAACAGGCCTTGTCTCTAAAAACAAAAACAAAAAACTCTTTACCCCAGGAATATAGAAGACCTACAGTGTAAATTTGGGAGCTACATGTCAGGATGCAGAGGTATCAGACAAAATAACCTAGATCCCTGAATTACCCCTTGAAAGTGAGCCTTCTAATTAGAAACAACCAAAATGGACTATTATGTAAGTTGGAAATAAACTTGTACTGTGTTAAGCCAATACAGAAAATTGAGGATATTATCTTGTATGGCAGCTGGCATTCCTTTCATTAATACCACTTTTGAGCAGTTCCATAATTTCCTTTTGGGAAATTACCTTGTCCGTTGTGTGTCAACTGGATGAGATAGCAAATCAGGTGCTCATTTCCCATGATGGAAGCCAAAAAGGCCCTATCTTTTCCTCTCCTCTCCTCAGCACAGCCAGGGAGCCACCAGGGAACATGACTTAAACTCAACCAATCGCATACTGTGTTAGGAGAGAGTGAAACCAGGAGAGAGGTATTTTCATGTTTGGAGGTGGTAGTAGCTTTCTCGTCCCTCTGCTCTGCTACAAGATACTTTCTGTAATTCCTATTTTCTAGCCCTTCAGAGTTGTCCTGGTTCCTGTCCATTTCTAATCAAGCTCAAAGCTCTCAGCAATTCTGTGAGCTTCTGATATCCTTCCAATAAATGTTCACTTCTTAAGTTAGTTGGACTTAGTTTCTTTTGCCTATGACTAGGATGCTCTAGTTAATACTACACCCTTAAAAGAACAAACACTAAAAATAAAATTTAAAAGAGCCCATGTTCCAATAGGTAGCTTAAATATTGAGTTTGTTAAACAATATTCATGGCAAACCTAGATCTCTTAAAATATAAATACGCTTTACCTAGATGTCTGCTTGAGTTTTGCAGGTGTATGGTGTGGGAAAGGGAAATTAGGAAAGAATTAATTGTGTGGTTTTCCATAAGTTGCAAGAAATATAAAGACAGTGTAGTCAAGTCAGAGAAACTGTGATTGATTTATTACATTACAGTTCATTAAAAGTGTTCTATTGCCTTTTAAAAACCATCTAGTCATTAAAAAATCTTTGCGAATACAGCTTCCAACATCATTATAAGGGATTCTTGACAGCTCTTCATTTTTAATGGTGCTGTTATAAACAGACTCCATAATGGTTCTGCTTAGTGGGAGGCTGGTCTGGAGGCCAGTGACTAAAGGAGTCCGGGCTTACGTGGTGGCCCTGTGCAAAGACTGAGTCTGAAGCTAATTTGTGCAGAGTGATTGAAGAACTTCAGTTTTGTGGTGTGATACTGAAGGAACTTTCTAAAAGGAGCTAGAATACCAAACAGGGCTCTAAAATGTATTTTCTCCTGTAAATCTGAGACAAGAACAAACAACTGAAGTGTCAGATTGTTCTTAAACGTCCAACAGGAAGAAATGGGACTTATATGCAATTCAAATTGGAAAGGAAAGACTGTGCCTCAGGCCGACTGAAGGGAAAATGGTGGTTTTCTAATTTGTAGCAAATGGAGATGAGCTCTCAGCTGGTTTGGCCAGGGTTCCCAAGAGATCAGGTCGCAGGACGTGGGAGGGAGGCTGCACTTGGGCCACTGCTGCTTCCCTCTTCTCTGCCCACTACCCACCCTAGGGAAAGTACGAGAAATATAGCCTGCATCCTCAGGATATGGAAATGCCCATTGCACCCCAGAAATGAATGCAGACTTCAATCAGTTGCACCCAATTCATTTCCACAAATGTTTACTGAGCACTTACTATGTCCCTGGCACCGTGTCAGACATTGTGGGGATATGAAGATGAAGGGGGTATAATGTGTTGTCAGAACTAGTTTGACCACTCAAGACCAAAGGGAAACTTGAGCATGGCTGGTAACAGAAGTGCTGAAGGGGTTAGGGAAGATGTCTATTATTTGTACCTGCCCAGCATCCCCTCTTCTGGAGACAAAAACCTTTTTTTTCTTTAGATGAAATGCCTTTCCACTCAGATGAGGCTGACTCCTACACCACCCTACTTCATGCCCTGGCTGCAGAGCTGGGCACATGTTCCAGGTCTGAACAATCAGAACATCTCCACTCTCCTGGCTCTAGTGGTCAGCTCAGGCATGGACACTTGACCCAAGCCAGAACAATGAAACTCAACTCCAGCACTTTGGCTGGAACTATTGAAGTTCCTATGGAAGAGGTGTTGAGTTTTCACTGGGGTTATGCAGCCAATGGATGCAAACTTGGAGTTCCTGGCAGGTGTGTTGTTCCTACATGAGGAGCTTTTGTTTGAAAATAAAAACAAGACAGGGGAGCAGAGTTAAAAGATGGACAAATACAGTTACCTGATGACATCGTTGAACATCTGCTTCCTTCTCTGCCTGAAGCCTTTTTACACTGGATATTTTTAAAAAGTGGGCCACTTGCAACTGAAAAGAGCCCTGATTGTTACTAGAACAGTGGCATTGTGTGGAAAGAATTAAGTCAGATCTCCAGGAATCAAGCATGGCTATTGAGCAGGTGCCACCTGAACTGGCTGAAGGGCAATTTATGAAACTCCACATGCCTTTCATGTCCTCGATTCTGCGCTCAGCCATTGTGGTCACAGTCATTCCTGGGAAGTGCTTTGCCTTGCTTTGTGTCACATGGTCCTGTGTACTGGTCACTTGCCCCATTTGCTCTTCAATCCCTTGCCAGCCTTGGCCTTGCCCTCTTCTGTATCCCAGGGGACTGGCCCTTGACAATTATGATGCCTAGGCTCCATAGCAACAGGCTTTTGGTAGGAGTCTCATGGGAGCCCCAACAGGAGATTAAAGACTGGGAGAAGGGATAGAGCTAAAGTATTGATATGCCCCTATCTCCTTGGGACTCTCTTTGGCAGTAGCTACATCACCTCTTGGATTCCAGCTCCCACCAGGCAGTCCCTACCATGGCTCCAGCTCTCACAGGTGACTCTGGTTCCTGGACACTTGTAACTCGTCCTGCTCTCTTTGTCCCTCCAGTCCTATGAGCAGTAATGCTTCCTTACCATTGCTAAATCTGGATTGCCTCACCATCTCCTATTTGCTTTTTGTACTCTTCTAATTGTCCGAGGCATTCCAACTAGAGCAAGTCCATCTTAAATAGGGGATGGGTAAAATAAAGCTAAGACTTACTGGGCTGCATTCCTAGGAGGTTACATATTCTAAGTCACAGAATGAGATAGGAGATTGGTACAAAATAGAGGTCATAAAAACCTTGCTGGCCGGGCGCGGTGGCTCACGCTTGTAATCTCAGCACTTTGGGAGGCCGAGGCGGGCGGATCACGAGGTCAGGAGATCGAGACCATCCTGGCTAACACGGTGAAACCCCGTCTCTACTAAAAATACAAAAAAATTAGCCGGGCGTGGTGGCGGGCGCCTGTAGTCCCAGCTACTCGGGAGGCTGAGGCAGGAGAATGGCGTGAACCTGGGAGGCGGAGCTTGCAGTAAGCCGAGATTGCGCCACTGCACTCCCACCTGGGCCACAGAGCGAGACTCCGTCTCAAAAAAAAAAAAAAAAAAACCTTGCTGATCAAACAGATTGCAGTAAAGAAGCCCTTCAAAACCCACCAAAACCAAGATGGCAATGAGACTGACCTCTGGTCATCCTCGCTGCTCATTACATGCTAATTATAATGCATTATCATGTTAAAGACACTCCCACAAGCCATGACAGTTTACAAATGCCATGGCAACGTCAGGAAGTTATCCTGTATGGTCTAAAAAGGGGAGGAACCCTCAGTTCTGGGAAGTGCCCACCCCTTTCCCAGAAAACTCATGAATAATCCACACTTTGTTTGAGATATCATCAAGAAATAACCATAAAAATGGCCAACCAGCATCTCAGGCTGCTGCTCTGCCTATGGAATAGCCATACTTTTATTCCTTTACTTTTTTTAATAAACTTGCTTTCACTTTACTCTATGGACTCGCTCCAAATTCTTTCTTGCATGAGATCCAAGAACCCTCACTTGGAGTCTGGATTGGGACCCTTTCTGGTAACACAGTTTTTTAAAAACTGATTCTCTGTATTAATTCCCCTCTATTTAATTATCTGGTATGGATTCTGTTCCCATTCTCTATTGCCATATAACAAACCACCCCTAAACATAGTGGCTTTAAACAACAACAATTATTTTAATATCTCTCACGGATTCTGTAGGTCAGAATGAGGGAAATGAAAAAAGTAAGATGAACTACCATAAAAAAGACAACCTAAGAATAAATGCAAAATAATATTATTCAAGTCTAGCAACATAATGTTGATTGCTGAAGGCTCTTAACTTAAGCCCTATCCTCTCTTTGTTGAAACAGGAAATTAGCAAGTCTTAGGTGTTAAAGACAAGCACCAAACTGAGATAATCAAAAGGACTGAAAGGGAATTTCTTTCTCAGAATGGAAATCAATGCTGATGTTTTAAAAGGCTGCAGCTATGCACCATGTAAAAATCATCTCTCCTGCTGCCTAAATATCAGCTTGTGCACCCCAGGGGTACACATTCCAGATTTGGGGAAGCAGTTTGGTTCAAGGCAAGTTTGCTTGCAGAGAACAGAAGCCCAATTAAGCTAGATGAAATTAAAGGGGCTTTATCTTGAGAAAGCACAGCCAATTCTCTCCCCAACCCCTTTCTTCAGAAAAGCATCTCTGCTCCACCTGCAAGATTGAACTCTTATCCCTCACATCTAAATGACCTGCTAAGCCTAGTCACACCTGCTAGAGATTCAGTCATTTAATACTGAATGTGGGGAAAGAAAATCCGATTGGCCAGGGTGGGTGAGAAATCCAGCCCTGACTCAGTTGACCATAGCGCCAGTAGGGGTGTGACCCCTGGGGGTAAGCATCCCTAAGATTGAGACAAGCCTTGGAGGGAGTCTTCAGTGGCCTATCAGTCACTGTGGAAATCAGGAAATTAGCACTGTCCAGAGTATTCTGAGAAGCCACTGGCTATATGGGGAGAGCCCGAGGCAATGCAGTAGCTCTGGGTCTCTGAATTATGTTTGGCTAAAGCTTCTAGTCCCTGCCCAGAGGCCACTTGTGTCTTTTAATCAGTGGTAGATGAGTTATGGTTTTGCATGTGGTTGCTCACTTCTGGATAAACATACCAATAAGAATGCAAATGCTCTCATCTTCAACTACTCAAAACTTACTTTTAAGTAAATTTGCTAATTTGTTTTTGTTCCCTGTTCATCAGATTGTTCTTATATCACTGTCTTATATCCCCAGGAGCAAAAAGTAATAATGACTTACCTACTCCGTGCCCTGTATTGACTCATCAGATGTTCAGTTCCAGGATCACAGCCTAGGGTGCCTGGGGAGAAGTAATTAGGCTGATTTTAGCTAACACTCCTCATTTTGTTTTTAATGATAACATAGATGTTTAAATAACTAAAATGGCAAGCCCTTCTCCTAACTCCTAAATTCCTGTTTATGTTTGCCTAACAGTCATGCCATTTGGTTCTTTTCAAACACATCATGATATCTTCATCCTTCCTCCATAATTAGTTAGAAAATTCATCCCCAACCTGCCACCCTAATACCAATCATTTGAGAACCTAGATCAGGGACTGCAAATAGCATTTTACATGCCAGCTTTCATCAGTGGCAGACGCTTCATAGAGTGTTGTGTTGAAAAAGACTCTAAAGTTGAGCCAGAGAGGTTGAGCTCAAGCAAGTTGAGGCAGAAAAGACTGCTAAGATCTATTGATGATGTCTTCCACAGGTAGAAAGGAGGCATGGCCTTCTATATGGCAATGTCTCTCTCCCAGGGCCAAGACACACTAGTGCAGGTATAGATGCAGCTACTTGGGGCATTTGAACAACATTTAACAACATTTAAAGATCTCATTAGATCCTCATGACACCTCAGTGAAGTGGGTGGGACTGAAATGATTATGACCATTTGATAGACAAGAAAGACTGAGACATGGAGGTCCTCTAAAAAGAAGTCATTGAAGCAGAATTCCTGTGCATTTGATTCCTCCTGAGAAGGAGGACCACACAAATACAGGGAAAGGCCCAATGCTGAGCATTACATGATGTTCTATTACCATCCTATTCTGTGATGATCTCTTGAATTAATCAATTAAGTAATTTAATTGATATTCCAGCAATAATTCTGGTGGCTTTTCTAGTTGCCCCACCTCCTCCTTCACACATGAGCTCTTTGCTATACCTCATCTCACACTCCTACTTGCAACATACCTGGAAAATATTCTCTGAGCCTCAACCTCATATAAGTTGGAGGCATGGGTCATAGCCTTAATCTTTTTCATCTCACAGTAACTGTGCATGTAGTGGTCCTTAATAAGTGCTTACTCACAGTCAGCACCATCAGCCCAGGGACTATTCCAAGCAAAATTGTGAAGTAAGTGGGTCACTGGAGGCCCCCACTTTCATTCCTAGGATCTTTTATCAATGGAAAAAGTACATAATCAACTCCTTCCCATTCACACCAGGGCTTACCACTTTCTGAGCCATCCCTCCCAGAGGCCATGACAATTTAAGATAACTACTGGGAGAGGAGGTCTTACATGGCTGTTTTCACCCCATCTGGTGGTCACACAAATCTGATGAAAGCTGTGGATTATGTTTTATCAAGATTTTATTGGCTGTGGTGACAGGTACCAGGTAGAATTAGCTTTTGCCAAAAAGGTCCGTTTAGTGATTCAAATATGCAAAATTAGAAAGGGCATGGGTGGAACTGGTCCAAGGGGTAACCGGATCAGTGGAGTGCTGTCAGCAATCTCTTATATTCTCTCTCCCTGGCTCTCATTCTCATCTCTGCTTTTTTCTGATTGACAGCTTACTTCCCTTCTATTACAGATGTGCTTTTGCCACATGGCAGAGGCATGGCTGAATCCTTACACCATCAGCTAAAGTGGGAAGTATGTTCTTTCCTCCAAATGAAGTTGGAAATGTCCCAGGGAAGGACTCTAACTGGCCCTGCTTGAGTCAGGTGCTCATCCCTCAAGTCAAGCACTGTGATCAGGATGGTGATGACTGGCTTAGCTATGCCCCCACCTCTTTGCTGGCTTTGTCATCAAAAGGGGGAATGACCTCTCTAAGAATTGTTGTAAGACAGGCCATCACCATCAAATCTACCTACAACAGATCCTTTCCTCCAAAAGTACACAGACACACATACGTGCAGTTTTTTACATAAAATTCCAGGGAGTTGTTGGACCCTTCATGCTCATTCCAGGCCTGGAGATTAACCCTGTTTACACAAAGGATTTGAATTGCCAGCAGAAGAATTCCTAATGGTTGATAATTTGCAGAAGCAGAATCCCTTTCTATAGCCCCTCAAATCCCCTCCAGCTCCATTTCCCTAATCTGCCCCTTTTAGGCCTGTCTCAGATTTTCATTCCATGTCATTTCTTTGCTCTCCCCTCACTCTCTGTTCCAATCCCCACTAGGATGATGGGAAGCCATTTCTGTGCAGGGAACAACAAGATATCAATCAACTTTGAGCATCACCAGGAGGGTGAAAACAATGGTACTGAATTGCAAATTGTAGGACTGCAGAAATAAAGTTCTGTTCACAAAAAAGTGGGTGATGGGGTCTTTAAAAAAAAAGTGTAGAGGAATATTTTCTCAACATTTCATAAACAGCCATTTGAAAACTGCCCTAGAGCAAATTGGAAGTCAGTACAATGTCCAGGCGTTCACTTGTTAGACTTGGAAGAATGTGCACACACAAACGGCATTCTTTATACATACATATTTACACACAATATACATAAAGAATGACCTTCCCCCACTCCGCCCTTCTACTGCCTGCAATGGTAACATTTACTGCAGATTTTATTACAAAAGCCACAAAATGAAATTCTAATCAATAATAGTTTGCAGGATGCTGAAAAAAAGGGGGAACTGAATACATTCATAGGTAAAAGATGTTATTATCTCAGTTCAGTAACTATGAAAGAGAAATAGATGAAAAAATCTGGGTTTTATATTAAAAACCGGCACAGCTGTAGAGTTACATAATAAAGTATTGCCTGTATCCATGGAAATGGAGAGTAATTGATGCACCACAAGTTATTTTTATAAACCCAAACAAAAAAATTCAATCAGAAATGTCTTTCCCCGTTTTGGGGGCATTGTATATTTTGTATCTGTACATAATGCACACATTTAGAGTGTGAATGCACTCATTATTGATCAGCCGTGTTGAATAGGACATGCTGCTTTCCCTGAATATTCAAGATTAGAATCCTGTGGCCTAGCTCCCACTCCTTCTTGAAAGACTTCCTCTGAATAAAGTGTGCAGTGCTTTAAAATTCAAGCAGTTCCAATCACGGGGGAATAAAGGAGCCCCATTCCTGGTTTTGGAGGTGTCAGAGAGGGCAAATTTGGAAAATGATTGTCCCACATAATGTATACATTTGAATTCCCTGACAATACCAGCATCCCATGCCTGCCCACCACACACACACACACACACACACACACAGTGCCTAGCACAGTGCTACACACGAAACAAGTCCTCCAAAACAGCCAGGATGCACGGCATATTACAATTTCCCCAATTTGCTTGCAATAAGAATTACTGAAGATACCTGTTAAAAACACAGATTCCTGGGCAGGGGTGGTGGCTCACACTTGTAATCCTAGCACTTTGGGAGGCCAAGGTGGGAGGATCACTTGAGGCCAAGAGTTCAAGACCAGCCTGTGCAACATAGCAAGACCCCTCATCTCTACAAAAAAAAAAAAAAAAAAAAAAAAAAAAAAAAAAAAAACACATTAATTAGCCAGACCTGCAGTCTCAGCTATTTGGAAGGCTAAGATGAGAAGATTGCTTGAGCCCAGGAGTTCAAGTCTGCAGTGAGCCATGATTGTGCCACGGCACTCCAGCCTGGGTGACAGAGCAAGACTCTATTTCTAATAAAAAGGAATAGATTCCAGAGCTCCACCCCAACCCCCTCTATTGGATTATCCTGGAGAAAGACATAGAAGTCTGTAAAATCAAAGCACCTTCCCAAGGTAATTCTTACCATTAGGTAAACTGGAGAAACATGGAAGCAGGGCTGGCTTCGGAGGTGTACAACCTATGCAATCACACAGGGAACTCAGAAGGTCCTAACTCTGTTTAATGCACTGATATCCCCTTGAAATTCTTCATAATCTCTTAACAAGTGGACTTACATTTTCATTTTGCACTGGGCACTACAAGTTATGTAGCTGGTCCTATGTAGATGTAATGATGAAGAGCATACATTTAGCAAACAGACTTGGGTAAAAATTCCAACTTCACCACTTAACTGGTTAGGAGATCTTGATCATGTTAGTTAAACCTCTGATTTTCTGTGTACTCATCTATAAAACTGACATAATAATGAGCTATTATGAGATTAAATGACACAATGTTTGTACCACGCTCACTGCTTGAAGAGAAGCACAGCCTCAGTCAGTGAATACCATTAGCTGTTTAGTCAAGACAAGTTGAGTGAAATAAGGACATGAAGAAGGGAGGGACATATTTTAGCCGAGAGCTGGAGGGGGATACTAATTAAACCCTGGCCTTGCTGGTGTTGAATCAATGTCCAAATTACCTTAAATAAAGCAACTGTGCTGTGCATCAACCTTCGATGTCACCGAGACTGCTTAGCTTCAGCTTTGTATCAGCTTCATATTATGATCTGCTCGGTTACTGGCTGGAGAAAAAAGCCTGCCAGAATAAAACCTACTCCACCATCACTTCTAGATCCACTCCCCACAGCTGGGGCTTGGGCTAGGTTGGTACAGGGTGGTGTGACAGTGAGTAGAAATTCCTATGAATAGCTTTCCATCATATGTCTCATTTCTCTTTATTTTCACAGTCACCCTATTTCCATGCCACCATCGTCTCTCACCAGGACTATTACATTAGACTAGCTTTTTACTGCCATTTCGTAAATGTATTTATTTATTTTTATTGATGCCTGATAGATGTACATAGTTTTGGGGTATACATAATAATGTAATACATTTATATAATTTGTAAAGCTCAAATCAGTGTACTTGGGATATCGATCACATTAAATATTTGTCTTTTCTTTATGCTAGAAACATTCAAATTATTCTCTTCTAGCTATTTTTAAATGTACAATAGATTATTGTAAACAATAGTCACCCTGTTGATCTAACACTAGGTCTTTCTTTTATCAAACCGTATATTTGTACCCACTAATAAACTCTTCATTATCCACTTCCCCCTACTACTCACAACCAAAAATTTCACAATTTCGAGCACAACTCAGCGTTTTAGTATGTTCACAGAGTTGTGAAGCCAACACCACTGTCTAATTCTAGAGTATTTTCATTACTCCAAAAAGAAACTCTATACCTATTAGCAGTTACTCTTTATTCCTCCCTCCCTCCATTCCATGACAATCACTAATTTACTTTTGTCTGTATTAATTTGCCTGTACTAGACATTTCCTGTGAATGAAAGCATATAATATGTGTCTGGCTTCTTTCAGTTACATAATGGTTCAAGGGTTATTAATGCTGTAGAATGTATCAGTACTTCCTTCCTGTTTATTGCAAATAATATTCCATTGTATGGCTATACATATTTTCTTAATCTATTCATTCAGTTGATGAGCATTTGGGTTGTTTCTACTTTTTGTCTGTTTTGAATCAGGCTGTTATAAATATTTTATGTATAAGGTTTTGTGTGGACACATACTTTCATTTTTCTTGGTTAGATACCTAGGAGTAGAGTTGCTAGATCACCTGGTAACTCTATTTTTAACTTTCTGAAGAATTGCCAAACCGTTTTCCACTGCAGCTGCACCATTTTACAATCCCACCACCAGGAAATCTGATTTCTCTACATTCTTACCAATATTTCTTATTGTCTGACTTTTAAATTTTAGCCATCCTAATGAATGTGAAGTAGTGTCTATGAGATACCACTTTTGATTTGCATTTTCCTAATCAAAAATGATGTTTAGCATCTTTTCATGGGCTTTTTGTCCATTTTTATACTTTTTTGGGGGAAATATTGGAAATATCTATTAATATCCTTCATCCATTTTTAATTTAGCACCATTTTTGGAAAAGATTATTAACAGTTAACTGACCATAATATAAGAATTTGTTGTTAGACTCTTATTGCTTGCTATTCCACTCACCTACATGTTTATCCTTATGATAGTACTACACTGCCGTGATTACTGAAGCTTGGCAGTAAGTTTTGAAATGTGGAATTGTGAGTCCTCCAACTTACTCTTTCTTTTTCAAGCTTGTTTTGGCTATTCTGGGACCCTTGAATTTCCAAACAAATTTTAAAATCAGCTTGTCAATTTCTGCAAAATAGGCAGCTGGAATATTGGTAAGATTGCATTGAATCTGTAGATCACATTGGGGGAGTGTTGCCATCTTAACAACATTAAATATTCTAATTCATAAACATGGGATATCTTTCCATCTATTTAAATGTTTTTAAATTTCTTTTGATAATATTTTGTAGTTTCCAATGTACAATTCTTATAATTTTGTTTAATTTATTCTTAAGTATTTTGTTATTTTGACGCCATTATAAATTGTATTCTTAATTTCACTTTCAAATTTTTCATTGCTAGTGTATAGAAACAAAACTGATTTTCATATCTTCATTTTATATCTTCCAATCTTCCTGAATTTGTGCATTATTTCTAACAGTTTTTTTGTGGATTCCTTAGAATTTCTATGTTGAATATAATGTCATCTGCAAATGAAGATATCTTTACTTCTTCATTTCCAAATATGATGCCTTTTATTTATTTTTCTTACTCAGTTGTTCTGGCTAGAACCAGTACAATGTTGAATAGAAATGGCAAGAACAGAGATCTTCATCTTAGTACTGATGTTAGGTCAAAAGTATTCGATGTTACATCTAATATGATGTTAGATGTGTGTTTTTTGTAGGTCCCACACTCTCCCATTCCTTGCACACTGACCACACTGACCTTCTAATTTCACTGCTTTTGTGTTTGCTGTTCCTTCTGCCTAAAACTTCTACCCACTGTCTTTTTCTGCTACATAAAGTCCTACTCATTCTTTTACTGTGGTTAGTTATCTGGAAAGGCTTCCTGGGCCCCTAGACCTGGCCAGATATCACAGCTCCATGTTCTCATAGCTCCTTTTCCTTGATAGTATTTGGCAGTTTGACACTGTGTATTCATATGGCTATTTGATTGATGTCTGTCTTCTCACAGAACATATACTCCATGAGTGCCTGGACACTGTCTGTTTTGTTAATCACTTTATCCCCAGCTCCTAGAGCTGCATCTGGCACAAGGCTTTCAGAAAATATTTAATGAATAAATTAGTGCAATCAAACCAACCAATATGTATGGATATAGAATGGGGGTGGTAACCTCCAGACACAGCTCTTGGCTACGGAAGACCCTTAATGTTTCATTCTTCTTGGATTTTTCCCCATGGCAAAAACTTTTGCCGGTGAGAGGAGGCTGCAACACCGAGCGGAGGAGGCAGGAACCGGAGCGCGAGCAGTAGCTGGGTGGGCACCACGGCTGGGATCACCACCATTGAGGCGGTGAAGCGCAAGATCCAGGTTCTGCAGCAGCAGGCAGATGATGCAGAGGAGCGAGCTGAGCGCCTCCAGCAAGAAGTTGAGGGAGAAAGGCGGGCCCGGAAACAGGCTGAGGCTGAGGTGGCCTCCTTGAACCGTAGGATCCAGCTGGTTGAAGAAGAGCTGGATCGTCCTCAGGAGCGCCTGGCCACTGCCCTGCAAAAGCTGGAAGAAGCAGAAAAAGCTGCTGGTGAGAGTGAGAGAGGTATGAAGGTTATTGAAAACCGGGCTTTAAAAGATGAAGAAAAGATGGAACTCCAAGAACTCCAACTCAAAGAAGCTAAGCACATTGCAGAAGAGGCAGATAGGAAGTATGAAGAGGTGGCTCGTAAGTTGGTGACCATTGAAGGAGACTTGGAACGCACAGAGGAACGAGCTGAGCTGACAGAGTCCCGTTGCCGAGAGATGGATGAGCAGATTAGACTGATGGACCAGAACCTGAAGTGTCTGAGTGCTGCTGAAGAAAAGTACTCTCAAAAAGAAGACAAATATGAGGAAGAAATCAAGATTTTTACTGATAAACCCAAGGAGGCAGAGACCTGTGCTGAGTTTGCTGAGCGATCGGTAGCCAAGCTGGAAAAGACAATTGATGACTTGGAAGATAAACTGAAATGCACCAAAGAGGAGCACCTCTGTACACAAAGGATGCTGGACCAGACTCTGCTTGACCTGAATGAGATGTAGAATGCCCCAGTCCCACCCTGCTGCTGCTCCTCCCTGTGACCCAGACTCCGCCTGAGGCCAGCCTGCCAGAAGCTGACCTTTAACTGAGGGCTGATCTTTAACTGGAAGGCTGCTTTCTCCTTTCACCGCCCCCTCCTTCCCTGTGTCTTTTTCGCCAAACTGTCTCTGCCTTTTCCCGGAGAATCCAGCTGGGCTAGAGGCTGAGCACCTTTGGAAACAACATTTAAGGGAATGTGAGCACAATGCATAATGTCTTTAAAAAGCGTGTTGTGATGTACACATTTTGTAATTACCTTTTTTGTTGTTTTGTAGCAAACATTTGTAAAACATTCCAAATAATTCCACAGCCCTGAAGCAGCAATCAAATCCCTTTCTCACTTTTGGAAGGTGACTTTTCACCTTAATGCATATTCCCCTCTCCATAGAGGAGAGGAAAAGGTATAGGCTTGCCTTGCTGAGAGCCAAACAGAGCCCAGGGAGACTCCACTGTGGGAAACCTCATTGCTCTGTACAAAGTACTAGCTAAACCAGAAAGGTGATTCCAGGAGGAGTTAGCCCAACAACAACAAAAACAAAAATGTGCTGTTCAAGTTTTCAGCTTTAAGATATCTTTGGATAATATTATTTCTATTTTTTATTTTTTTCATTAGAAATGATCAAATTAAGATGGTTAAGACCTCTGAGACCAAAACTTTCTCTCATCTCTACCCCCTCCCAACTGCTCACAGAACGGATCATGTCCCCCTTATGTTGAGGTGACCACTTAATTGCTTTCCTGCCTCCTTGAAAGAAAGAAGATTGTGTTTTCTCCACTGATTTAGCCATGTGAAACTCATCTCATTACCCTTTTCTGGGTTTCAAGCTGCTGTCTCTAGAAGTGCCATCTCATTGTGCTTCGTATCAGTCAGTGCTGGAGAAATCTTGAATAGCTTATGTACAAAACTTTTTAAATTTTATATTATTTTAAAACTTTGCTTCTTTGGGTTTGTGGCACCCTGGCCACCCCATGTGGCTGTGACAGCCTCTGCAGTCCGTGGGCTGGCAGTTTGCTGATCTGTTAAAATTTCTTTCCCTACCCAGTCCCCATTTTCTGGTAAGGTTTCTAGGAGGTCTGTTAGGTGTACATCCTGCAGCTTATTGGCTTAAAATGTACTCTCCTTTTATGTCGTCTCTTTGGGGCTGATTGGGAGAAAGAGAAATCAATAGTGCAACTGTTTTGATACTGAATATTGACAAGTGTCTTTTTGAAATAAAGAACCAGTCCCTCCAAAAAAAAAAAAAAAAACACTTTTGCCATGTTTTGGTAGAAAAGATCTACTTTAGATTCTAAGGTGGCAGAGGAAAGCCTCTCTTTGGAGATGACTTTTAAGCTGAATGGATGTCACACATTCTTCTTATTCTCCATGAAACATCTCTGATTCCTGCTGGTCACAGATAATCTCTTCCTTCTCATAATGTCTAGAGTGCTGAGAATGATGTCAGCAAGATGCCTGACTAAAGAGGCCTGGTGCTCATCCTCACCACAAAGAAAGACCAAAGCAACAAATAAATAGATATGGTATGGTTTGACTTGACTGTCAAACGGAGAGCATTGGAGTGCAGTGGGTGGGGGAGTAGAGATTCCCCTTTGGTGATTAGAAGTCTAGGAGGGCAGTGTGAAGACACCCAGCCTCTGCAGACACCTGGATTGGATCTGCCCAGAGTCAGGAGTGACTTCCCATGGCAGGGAAAAAGTAAGCAGAAGAACTCTACCAGCCCCCATTGCCACTGCAAACACTACAGTCCTTAACAAAGGAGAATCCCACAGTCCTCACAAGCCCTCAGCCCAGTCTGAAGAACTGCCAAGAATTGATGCGGCTGCATTGTCCCAGATTAGGAGCACAAGGTGTGCACACTCCCCACTCTCTACCCACCTTCTGTGAGCCAAGCTGCTGCAGCACATCACTCTCTTGAGACCAGAGCCCACTCTGGAGTGTGCCCGCCTCTAGGGGCCAATAGCCACTTCACCTCTCCAGTGCTGGGGTTCCATCTTTATTCGGCCAAACCCACACTGGTGGCTGAACACCACAAGCCCCGTAGCACAGAGCCTGGGCCCAGGATTGGCTGTGGCTCAGGTCCTGCACCACAGGAAAACTAACTTCTGCCATTCTCAGTTCCAGCTAGAGGAACAGTCTGACAGTGCCAGGGCTAACCTGCCCTTGAGTGGGCCAAACTGCTTTATGTCCTCTCCCAAGCTAGAGAGGCCCCCAAGCCTTCAAGCCACTGACAGGCTCCCAAGCCAGTAGAACAGCTATGTGCCCATGTCCAGAACTTCAGAAATAGCTCTGTGGTGCCCCATCCCTTGCAGACAAGCCCCTGGCCTGCCCAGTGGCCCCACAACTGCAAACAGCAGAGAACCAGCTATGTGGGCTGCCCCAGCAGACTTGCCCCAGACCAGCCAAGCAGCTCTGTGCCTGCATCCTGAGACTGAGAAACAGCCCTCACAGGCTGCCCCCAATGGGCCAGCCCCCACACTGGCTGAGCAGCTGAGAGCCCATGTCCTGTGCCTGAAAAACAGCCCTGTGGGCCACCCGCAGCAGGGACAACCCCCCAGTCAGGCTGAGCAGCTTTGCATTCATGTTCCAAGCCTGTGGAGCCCCATGGGCCACCCCAGCAGACACATCAGGTCAGCCAAGCAGTTATGCAGCCCCATCTGAGGTCTGAGAAAGAATCCCATGGACCACCCCCAGAAGACATGTACCCATGACAGCTGACAAGCCATGCAGCCATGTTCTGGGCCTGAGAAACAACCCCACAGCCCACCCTGCCAAACACACCCCTGAGCAGCTGAGCAGCTGTGTGTCCATGTCTCAGGCCTAAGAAACATACAACTGAGCAGCTGTGTGCCCGAGTCCCAGGCCTGAGAAACAGCCTCATGGGCCCCTCCTGGCAGGCATGCCCCCAGGCCTGCTGAGCAGCCATGTGCACATGCATCCTGCTGTTCAGAATAATAACCCCAGCTCCCCTACCCCAGCTCCAAGTGGGCCAACCCACTGTGTGTACACATGCACCTCCAACCTGAGAAATAGCCTGGCAAGCCTAACCCTCATGAACCCACACCATCATTGCTACAAACTCTCTCAGCCTAGGCCACTAAGACACTTGCAAATGTCAGTAGCATGAATTACAGCTGAAGAAACAACATGAGGACTACATTACTGCATCCACCTGGAACCAAAGCTGACACACCTCACCAAACTGACACCCCAAGACCTATTTACACAAATAAATCTTTCCCTATGAAACCTACTCCATAAATTGAAAGAGGTGATTTTACACCAGATGCACAGAAATCAAGGTAGCAACACATCAAACATGAAAAAACAAAGAAAAATGACACCTCCAAAGGAACACAATAATTTTCCAGTATAATTCCCTAATCATAAGGAAATATATAAAATGCCAGAAAAAGAATTTGAAATAATAATCTTAAGAAAATTTAGTGAGATACAAGTTTATCTATAATACAAATAGTCAATTCAACAAAATAAGGAAAACAATTCATGATTTGAATGAGATATTCAACAAAGAGATAATCATTTTTAAAAAGAGTCAAACAGAACTCCTAGAGCTGAAGAATTCAAAGAATGAAATAAAATATAAAATCAAGAGCTTCAACAACAGACTAGATCAAGCAGAAGAAAACATTTCTAAACTTGAAGACAGGTCTTTGAAATAACACAGGAAGATAAAAAAGAAAAGGAAAAAAAGAATACTTAGAAAAGAATAAAGAAAGAAAGCATACAGGATGTATGGGATACCATTAAGCAAACAAATATTCACATGTTGCAGAAGGAAAAGAGTGTGTTGCAGAAGGAAAAGAGGGTTTTGCAGAAGGAAAAGAGAAGAGAAAAGGGATAGAAAATATATTTAAGGAAGTATTAGCTTAAAACTAATGGGTGTTGTAGAAGGAAAAGAGAAGAGAAAAGGGATAGAAAATATATTTAAGGAAATATTAGCTTAAAACTTCCCAAGTTTGGGGAGAGAGATGGATATCCAGTTTCAGGATTCTCAAAGAACTCCAAATAGGTTAAACCAAACCAGATTCTTTCTGAGGCACATTATAGTCAAATTGTCAAAAGTGAAAGACAGCCAGGTGTGGCGGCTCATGCCTGTAATCTTAGCATTTTGGGAGGCCAAGGCAGGAAGATTGCTTGAGCTCAGGAGTTTAAGACCAGCCTGGGCAACATGGCAAAACCCTGTCTCTACAAAAAGCATGAAAAATTAGTTGGGCATTGTGGGGCAAGGCTGTAGTCCCAGACACTTGAGAGACTGAGGTGGGAAGATTGCTTGAGCCTGGGAGGTCAAAGTTGCAGTGAGCTGAGATAGCACCACTGCACTCCACCCTGGGTGACAAAGTGAGACCCTGTCTCAGAAAATTAAAAAAAAAAAAAAAAAAAAAAAAAAAAAAAAAAGGCGAAGACAAAGAATTCTCAAAGCAGCAAGAGAAAAGCATCAAGTCATATATCAGGGAATCTCCATTAGACTAATAGCAGATTTCTCAGCAGAAACCTTACAGGCCAGGAGAGAAGGGAATGATATCTTTAAAGCACTGAAGGGAGAAATAAAAGCTACCAACCAAGAATATTATAGCCAGCAAAGCTGTCCTCTAGAAATGAAAGAGAGATAAAATCTTTCACAATAAAAAAATAGAAGAATTTATCAGCATTACACTGGCCTTATTAGAAATATTCAGAAGAGTCTTACATCTGGAAGTGAAAAACTGATAACCATCATCATGAGAGAATGTAAAACCATAAAACTCCCTGGTAGATCCCATATACAAAGGAGAAAGAGAAAGGAATCAAACCTTTTCATTACAAAATCCCCACCCGATTATAAAAATAAACAATAAGAGAGGAAGTAAGGAACAAAGGATGTACAAAACAACCAGGAAAAAAATGAATAGAATGACAAGGATAAGTCTTCACCTATCGGTGATAACCTTAAATGTAAGTGAATTAAATTTCTCATTTAAAAGATATAGACTGGCTGAATGGACAAATAAACAAGACCTAACTATATGCTGCCTATCAGAAACTCAACCTAATCTGTAAAGACACAGCTAGGCTTAAAGTAAATAGATGGAAAAAGGCATGTCATGCACATGGAAACCAAAAGCAAGCAGGAGTAACTGTATCTATACAGTTTTGTGTGTATCTATATCACACAAAACAGACTTTAAGTCAAAAGCTGTAAAAATGAACAAAGAAGGACATTATATAATAATAAAGGGATTAATTTGACAAGTGACTATAAGAAATGTAAATATATATGCATCCAACATTGGAGCACCCAGATATATGAAGCAAATATTACTAGATCTAAAGGGAGATATAGACCCTAATACAATAGTAGCTGAAGACTTTGGCATCCTACTCAACAAAGCATCCTATTCTCAGCTTTGAACAGATCATCTAGACAGAAATCAACAAAGAAACATTGAATTTAAACTGTACTATTGACCAAATGTACCTAACAGATATTTATAGAAGATTTCACCCAACAGTTGCAGAATACACATTATTTTCATTAACACATAGAACATTTTCCAGAATTGGCCATATGTTAGGACACAAAACAAGTCTCAAAAAATTTTTCAAAATCAAAATTATATCAAGTATCTTATCAAACCAGAATGTAATAAAACTAGAAAGAAATCACAAGAGGAATATATATAACTACAAATACTTGAACATTAAACAACATACTTCTGAATGACTAGTGGGTGGAGGAAAAAATTAAGAATAAAATTTAAAAATTTCTAGAAACAAATGAAAATAGAAACATAACATACCAAAACCTATGGGACACAGCAAAAGCAGTAAAAAGAGGCAAGAGACCTCTTAAAAACAAATGCCTACATTTAAAAAAAAAAAAAACTAGAAAAATTTCAAATAAAAAACCTAATGATACATCTCAAGGAACTAGAGAAGCAAGAAAAATTAAACCAAAAACTAGTAGGAGTAAAGAAATAATAAAGATCAGGAGATAAATAAATGAAATTGAAACTAAAAAAATACAAAAAATCAAAACACATAAAAAACGGTTTTTGGGAAAGATAAAATTGATAAACCATAAGCTAGACTGGGAAAGAAAGAGAAGAGCTAAATAAATGAAACAAAAAAATGAAAAGAAGATGTCACAATGGATACCACAGAAATACAAAGTATTATGTAGACAACTATGATGAACTATATGCCAATAAATTTAAAAACCTAGAAGAAATGGATAAATTCCTAGGCATATACAACCTACCGAGATTGAATCAAGAAGAAATAGAAAACCTGAACTGACCAATAACAAGTCATGAGATTGAATCAGTAATAAAAAGTCTCCCAAAAAAGAAAAGTCCAGAACCAATTGTTTTGCAAAATTCTACTGAAACTTTAAAGAAAAATTAATACCAATCTTCTCAAAATATTTCAGATAACTTAAGTGGAAGGAATACTTTCCAACCACTTTACAGGGCTAACATAATCCTGATACCAAAACCAGAAAAGCCCAGGACAAAATAGAAAACTAAAGGGCAACATCCCTAATAAACATAGACACAGAAATCTTCAACACTAGCAAACCAAATCTGATAAGACATCAAAAAGATAATAGTTCAAGATCCAGCAGAATATCCTAGGAATGCAGGGATGGCTGAACATATAATAAACATCTTACATTACATGAATAGAATGAAGGACAAAACCCATATGCATCTCAATAGATGCAGAAAACGCTTATGATAAAATTCAACATCTTTTGTGATACAAATTCCCAATAAATCAGGTATAGAAATAAAGTACTTTGGCCGGGTGTGGTGGCTCACGCCTGTAATCCCAGCGCTTTGGGAGGCAGAGGCAGTCGGGTCATGAGATCAGGAGATCCAGGCCATCCTGGCTAACATGGTGAAACCCCGTCTCTACTAAAAATACAAAAAAAATTAGCCAGGCGTGGGGGCGTGCGCCTGTAGTCCCAGCTGCTGAGGAGGCTGAGGCAGGAGAATGGCATGAACCCGGGAGGCGGAGCTTGCAGTGAGACGAGATCGCGCCACTGCACTGCAGCCTGGGTGACAGAGCAAGACTCCGTCTCAAAAAAACAAAACAAACAAAAAAAAAGTAAAGTACTTCAACATAATAAAGACCATACGTGACAGATCCACTGCTAACATCATACTGAATGGGGAAAAGTTAAACGTCCTCTAAGAACTGGAACAAGACAAGGATGCCACTTCTATTCAACATAGTACTGGAAGTTCTAGCCAGGGCAGTTGGGCAAGAGAAAGAAATAAAGGGCATCCAAATTGGAAAGGAGAAGTCAAATTTTCCTTGTTTGTAGATGACATCATCTTATGTACAGAGAAAAACTAAAGACTGTACCAAAAAAGTCTTAGAACTGATAAGTTATCAGTTAACTTGCCAGATACAAAAGATAATTCAGTTAAGTTGCCAGATACAAAATCAACGTACAAAAATCAGTAGCATTTGTATACACAATGAACTAGCTGAAAAAGAAATCAAGAAGTTAATCTGATTTATAATAGCTGCAAAAAATAATAAAATACATAGGAATAAATTTAACCAAGGAGGTGAAAGACCTTTACAAGTGGAACTACAAAACACTGATGAAAGAAATTGAAAAGGATACACACAAATAGAAAAACATGGATTGGAAGAATTAATATTGTTAAAATGACCATACTACCCAAAGCAATCTACAGATTCAATGAAAGCCCTATCAAAATACCAATGACATTCTTCAGAGAAACCAAAAGAAATTCTAAAATCTGTATAGAGCCAGAAAAGACCCCAAATAGCCAAAGCAATCCTGAGCAAAAAGAAAAACGCTGGAGGCATCACACTACCAGACTTCAAAATTACCACAAAGCTGTAGTAACCAAAACAGCATGATACTAGCATAAAAACAGTAACTTATACCAATGGCACAGAATAGAGACCACCCAAAATTAATCCACCTATCTTCAGCCAACTGATTTTTGACAAAGGCACCAAGAACGTATGCCTTTGTCAAAAGGCATTTTAACAAGAAAGGATAGTCTCTTCAATAAATAGCGCTGGAAAAACTGGATATCTACATGCAGAAGAATGAAACTAGACTTCTACCTTTCACCCTATATAAAAATCAACTCAAAATGAATCAAAGACTTAAGCCTAACACCCAAAAGCATAAAAGTACTAGAATAAACCAAAAGGGAAAAGCTTCAGGACATGGTTTGGGGGAAAAATTATGACTAAGACCTCAAAAGCCCAGCCAACAAAAGCAAAAATAAACAAATGAAATTATATCAAACTAAAAAATGTCTGCACAGCAAAGGTAACAATCAATAGAGTAAAAAGACCACCTACAGAATGGGAGAAAACATTTGCAAACTATTCATCTGACCAGGGATTAATATCCAGAATATACAAGAAACTCAAACATCTCAACAGCATAAAAACAAACAATAAAATTTCAAAATGAGTAAATTATCTGAATAGGCACTTCTCAAAGAAGACATACAAATGTCCAACAAATATATGAAAAAAAATGCTCAACATAACGAATCATCAAGGAAATGCAAATCAAAACCACAATGAAGTATCATCTCATCCCAGTTAGGATGGCTATTATCAAAAAGACGAAAAATAACAAGTTCTGGAGAAAATGCCGAGAAAGGGAACTCTTATACACTGTTGGTAGAAATGTAAATTAGTTTAGCCACTATGAAGAATAGTATGGAGTTTCCTCAAAAATCTACAGATAGAATTACCATATGATCCAGCTATTCCATTATTGGGCATTTATCCAAAGGAAAGAAAATCAGTACTTAGAAGAGATACCTGTACTCCCATGTTTATTGCATCACTATTCACAATAGCCAAGATATAGAATCAACCTAGGTGTCCAACAACAGATGAATGGATAAAGAAACTGTGGCATATATACACAATGGAATACTATTCAGCCATAAAATAAGAATGCCAAAAATCTTGCCATTTTTGGCAACATGAATGGAACTAGAGGATATTACATTAATTGAAATTAGCTAGGAACAGAAAGTTGAACATTGCATGTTCTCACTCATATATAGAAGCTTTAAAAAAGTTGATCTTATACAACTAAAAAAGAATAGATGGTACTAGAGGCTGGGAAGAGTGGGGGAAGGGGAGGAATAAGGAGATTTGTTAAAGGATACACAATTACAATTGGATAGGAGGAATGTTTCAGTGTACTATAGCACTGTAGGATGACTAGAGTTAACAATAATATATTACATAGTTTCAAGTAGCTAGAAGGAGGATATTGAATGTTCTCAGCCCAAAGAAGTGATAAATGTTTGAGATTATGAATATGCTAATTTCCCTAATCTCATCACTATACATCATATGTATTGCAACATCACTGTGTACCCTGTAAGTATGTACAATTATTATGTGACAATTTAAAGAATTTAAAAAATAATGTCTGCAGTGTTTTATCCATATTCCTCTTAAAAGCATTTATGATTTTCATTGTGTTGCCATCACCCATATATTAGCTCTCTCTTCCCTACCCTTTTAAGGCAAAACCATGTATGGTTTATCTTGGTATCCTCCAACTTAGTCTTCAGAAATGTGTAAAGTGTACAAAAAATGTTGATCACGATGAAGTGCACACATTTAAGGACTTTAGATAACACAGTTTTGTTGAATCTAGTTTCATTCTCAAGTGTATGTTTTTGTGTTCTTTTAACATTTAAAATGTTATGGCATTTTAATTCTTAATAAAAATCAATGTTTTGGTGACCCTATTAACCAAAACCTGTAACTATCCAAATGTAGCCATGGTAAATCTTCCTGTACTCCAGTCAGTCGGGTACCATCCTCATCTGCCAATATCACATTAAGCATTTTTCTCATTTGTGCTTACTCAAACCATTTTCACCTACTGCCTCTTTCTACCCATCTTTTGAAGACCATATAAAATCCTACCTCATCCTTGAAGTCATTAATCCAGAGATGTGCTGCATTTCAATCCTTGCCACATACTTAACATTTTCTTCTTTTGACTCCATTATAAGATCCATTTTCCTGCATATTTAATGGCTCTTCAAGCCAGCTGCAAGCCCCTTGCAGTCATAGGTTTTACTAATGTCCTGCTCCATGGTCTCAACACACCCATGCCCACAGTCACCAGGACTGGAACAATTGTCATTCCCATGCCTACAGCTCAATACTGGAATTATCTCATTGCCCAGACTTCGGTTCTAGAATTACTGAGTCTAGCTCCCCACCTTCCCCACCAAATCTCTTCTTGCATTGACACTCCCTGATCTATACCTTACTTGATTTTACACCTTGTCTCATGCTTTTTGTTCTAGCTCTAAGAGGTGACCCTGGCCCTGACCTATCACTTCCTATGGATATTGACTCCACACATCAGGGTAACAAGATAAGAGTGGCCATACCCAGATTTTCTCAAATGCTATCATCTCTTCCTCCTGCCAGATAAGGAATATCAAACAGCATAAACTAGTTCTTAGTCATGCTAAGCATCCTTTGGTTCCTGGGAAAGTGATTTGTGTACTGTTGAGTTCCAAAATAGAATCAGAGTATTAATTACAATGAGGGATGTATCAGAGTATTAATTCTAAAGAGGAAAGAGTGTGAACAGAGTATAATATACAGTAAACTTGGAAATGCTTTCTTTGCATAGACATAGCCTATATGACAAGTATTTTTTATGTTTGGAAAATTGTGATAATTCTCTACCCTAGTCTCTTCACACATACTGTGAAATAAAGTTATTGAGGGAGAAGTGAAGTACAGAGTGAGTTCCAGGCAACAAAGGAAAAATTCTAACTAAATTGACCATTAGTTTAGGATTTCATTGTTGTTATTTCCCCAAAATGGAGGCTTCTAAATTGTAAATGAGCAAACAGTTCCTGGGTACTGGATTATATGCTTCAGTGTGTTGGTAAACCAGCTCTCAAAACAAAACAAACCAACCAAGTGCACATACAAATGCACACACACACACACACACACACACACACACAAACCCTGGTTGGTAGTGTTTACCAACTTCTATGAAGTAAATATTCCTACTATGGCTAATTTCAAACTACCAAATGTTTTGCAACTGGTTGGAAAATCACTGCATCTTTTAAATACAGATACCCAGGCAGTACCAGCACCCCATAATACAAGTGACTATGCCAAGTGCTATGAGAGATACTAAAGCCCCTCTCCCTGACCTCATTGAGCCTACATTCTAGTAGAGACACAGACATACCCATTTTGATTAATTGCTTTGCTTTTTTCCAAAAGAAATCCACATCAGCATTAGTACTTATTGTTCTTTGGAGCCCATCAAGGTAAGTACAGTGAGTTTCCCAAAGGTTCAATTCTCAAAGATTGAAAAGTTGACAATTTGTAACAATGCAGCTATAATACCATCTCTTCCGAATGTTCTACCTTATTACATTTTAAAGACCCACACTGTAATAGGATTCTTGGGTAATTTCTATTTAGCATTACGGCATTTGTGGCTAGACATAACTAGTCTCTCAAGATATTTAAAGACCATTAGCAAAAAAAAAAAAAAAGAGTAGGACTCACTTCAACAGAAATCCTTTGATGGAACAAGATAAAAATTACTTCATTTGCTCTCAGATTTTGTATTATTTATGAAAAAATCACAAATCACTGGGGAAGGGCAGCAAATAGACATAAAATCATGTCGTGGAAACCCATGCTTCACTTATGTACAGCATGTACTGAAAATATTCCCCTGCTCCTTAGCCAAATGTGTAAAATGACCTCTGTGGTAAGACAGTTCACTCAGTAGTGAGACTAGTAAAGAGCTTGCAGAGATTTCTTTCTCCAGTAATGGGGAAAGTCTTTGAGATTTGGATTTGTTTTCCAAGTAAATTTTGGGAAAAAAACCAAGACTAAAAAAGTAAGAATGAGAAAAAGTTTACTTTTATAGGTTTCATAAAGAGGGTTTCAAAGATCTAAAACAACAAAAGCAAGATAATACTAAGCAAGGTCCCACGCAGCTCACCTTGAATTTGGCCACAGATTTTCCTCTTTCAAATTGTTCTCAACTTTTCTGCTGTGGCCACCTCATATTCTCTCCATCTCAGCCATGTCATGTCTTTCTCACTGTACTGGATTTTTTTGAAAGCCTAGACTCCTGAAACCAGGAAGAGTCATACGTTTACTTTTACACAGCCTTCTTAGTGATGATTATCTGTAGATGTTTAGTTACTGATGTTGCTTCCTCACACTTCTATAACTTCTATCTGTCTTTCTCTGAGAAATTTCCCCACACCCTTTAGTATCTGGCTGTCAATGTAAACACATTCATGGGGCTTTGGTGCCTGATGGATAGGCCTGGATTTGAGTTCCTTCCCCTACCCCTCCCTTCATTTACTGTGTTCCACTAGGTAAGCTTAGACAACCTCTTTAACCTTCTGAAGAAGTTTTTTCATCTCTCAAAGGGGTATATAGTAACACTTTACAAATGTATTTAATTAATCAGTTCAAATGCATCCAGAAAGGTCTATGTACTCTCCCCAGCCAGAGTACACAGAGTTCTCTCCTCCCAAGAAGGAATCTCTCCATTTCTTGTCTTCCTAAAGACTCAATTAGATGTGCACCTGATTGTCCTCACTGCATTGAAGCCTACTTGAAGTAGCGTTCAATCCATCATATTCATATGCGTTCATTATAGTCGAGTGCCAACCAATGTCTAGCAGAATGCCTTGCACACTGGAATCTTCTTAAAGGCATGTAGCATGTGTGTTCTGTTTATTGTGTCAGTATTTCATCATAGTGCTTGATAAAAACTAGAAATGCAAGAAATACGTGTTAGATGTAGAATAGGCACACAAGTAATACATTAATATGTTTTGCAAGAAATGATGCATAAATCAATGGTGGCCAGTTGTGGGTTCTTGAAAGTTCTTGTTCACCATTGTATGCCTGGTGTTCAATATATACATGCGAAATAAATGATTCATGAGTGAATTAATCAATGAATCAATTGATAAATCCAGTGGCCTAGTGTCTCCTATTGCTCCATGGAAGGCAACTTGCAGACTAAAAGAATTGCTGGTGGAGTTTGAGTAGCATTATACCATTAGAACCAATGGAACAGGTGCCGCACAAAAACAGGCGAGTTTTCACTAAACTGGCGATTTCCAACCAGGGCAATTTTGCCCACTAGGAGATATTTAGCAATATCTGGAGGCATTTTTGGTTGTCACCACTGGTAGGCTGCTATGTGCAGGTAGAGTCCACGGTTGCTGCTATACGTCCTACAATATACAGGACAGCTCCCACAACAAATAATTATTGAGCCCCCGATATCAATAGTGCAGAGGTTGAAAAACTCCGCTTTACATGATCGGCTATGAAGAGGGGTTTTTTTCGTAACGACACATTAAAATTGGGTCAAAATGACTATAATGGCCTGCCTCATTCACAGAATCATAAAACATCATGGTTCCAACGAACAATGGAGACCATGAGATCCAAACTCCTTATTTCACAATGAGGACCCTACAAGTCCAGACCGGAAAGTGAATGCTCAAAGTTGCACAAAGTCACACAGCTGGTAAATGGCTGAGCTAAGATAAGAACCCAGGCTCCCAGTTCCCAGGCTATTCACAAGGTCTTGTCCCACTCTTTTCCCAAGTGCTAGCAATTGAGCCACCCTTTAACTCTCACCTGCAGGTTCAGCCCCAGCACAGGTATTGCAGCCAGTGTTATCCCTGGGTTCGAGCATCCTTTCCCAACTTCCATCATTCACATCCAATATCAATGACTTTTGCCATATCCATAAACCACCCATAGTATTATTTACATAAAAATTTTATTTAAATTAATGTTGACTTTTTTCTTTAATTAAAAGTTTAATAAGCAAATACTTTACCAGTACTGTAAGTAAAAGTTGGTGTCATGGCCATAATTTAAAAAGAACTAAAAATGGGCCCAATATAAACAAAAATGCTGTTCAGTGCTACTTTGTTAATGTTGCCTCTTTAAGTTTCTGAGCCTGAGCCATCCTTCTCTTGGTTAAAAGGGAGATTCCCAAATGTAGGAGGTCTTAAAAGAAATAGTGGCACCAAACTGAGGCTTTCTCCTCAATGTAATATGAGGCACAGGCAAAGAAATTAGAAGGGAATAAATTTTTCACCCTGTGCTTCAATATTATTTATTATCATGCCTATGCAACACTTAAAAATCATCTTGCATCCCCTCAGCTGCATACTTATTTGGTGGAAACATTGAATTCGAGGTATAAGAGTGACCAAAATCACATCTGCCCCCTTTGATATAAGTTCCTTCTTTTATCTCCAAGACTGAAAGAATGTGGGGCTCCTGGGTTATTCTTTGCTTATATGCCACTTTGCTTCCATGCCACATGCAATCAACGAGGAAAACTAAACGAGGAATCACTCACTACATTGCAAACTTTCACAGGATACATTTCAGGTGGTAGACAGTATGGTAGGAGAATTATAAGATCTGCAAGGGCCCTCATCCTTGTAAAATCCCTCCCCCTTAAAGTATGGGTTGAACCTGTGAATATAACTGTATCACATCTGTGACTGTTAAATTTTATGGCAAAAGGGAGATTATCCTGGGGGCCTCACCTAACCATGTGAGTGCTTTAAAATCAAATTTTCTTCAGCAGGTTGCAGAAAAGAAAGTCACAGAGATGCACTCCAGCTCTCTGGGAATAAAGCAAACATCCATGCTGTGAACTGCTTATGGGAGCCACGTGGCAAGGAACTATGGGCAGACTCTAGGAGCTGAAGGCAGTTCCTGGCCAACAACTAGCAGGAGCGTAGGAACCTTAGTCCTACAAATGCAAGGAATGAATTCAGCCAACTAGCGAATTTGGAAGAGGACTCTGAGCCCAGACTTCTGACCCACAGAAACTATGAGATAATAACTTTGTGTTGTTTTATTATTTTTTTACCTTTTATTTTTATTTTTTAGATTTACCCTTTACCTATTTCTGATATATTATATTTGTACATATGTATGGGGTACATGTGAAATTTTGTTACATGCAAAGAATGTGTAATTCTATTTGGGGTATTTGAGGTATCTATCACTCAAACATTTATCATTTCGATGTGTTAGGTACATTCAAGTCTCCTCTTCTAGCTATTTTGAAAAATGCAATACATTGTTGTTAACTATACTCACCCTACAATGCTACCAAATCTTATAACTTATTCCCTCTGCCTAATTGTATGTTTGTATTCATTAAACAACCTCTTTCTTAGTCTTGTATCTATCATTTCACTATCTCCACACAATCTCTATCTCCACACAATCTCTATCTCCACACAATCAATGTTTTTAGCTGCCATATGTGAGTGAAAACATGAAATATTCATCTTTCTGTGCCTGGCTTATTTCACTTAACATAATATCTCCCCATTCCATCCAAGTTCCTTCAAATGATGGGTTGCATTCATTTTTGTGGCTGCATAGTATTCCATTGTATACCTCTACCATATTTTCTTTATCCATTCATCTGTTGATGGATGCTTAGGTTGATTCAATATTTTTGTTATTGTGAATAGTGCTGCAATAAACATGGAAGTGCATGTATCCCTTTGATAGATTGATTTTTTTTTCCTTTGGATACATACCTAGTAGTGAGCTTGCTGGATTGTGCAATAGTTCTATTTTTACTTTCTTGAGAAATCTCCATACTGTTTTCCATAAAGGTTATACTAATTTACATTCTCATTAACCATGTGGAATTTCCTTTTCTCCACCTCCTTACTAACATCTGTTATTTTTTGTCTTTTTAGTAATAGCCGTTCTAACTGGGGTAAGATGATATCTCATTGTGGTTTTGATTTGCATTTCCCTGATGATTAGTGATGTTGAGCATTTTTTTCATATATCTGTTGGCCATTTTTATGTCTTTTGAGAAATATCTACTCATGTCCTTTGCCCATTTTTAATGAAATTTTTTTTTCTGTTGTTTGGGTTCCATGTATATTCTAGATATGTGTCTCCTGTTAGATGAGTAGTTTGCAAATGTTTTCTCTCATTCTCTGTTGTTTTAAACTGATAAAATTGTGAGAATTTCTTATGGTGCAAGAAAAAACTAATATAAAGTGATGCAGATATGGGAATATGGCAGGCTCACTGACATCAAGGAAATTATATGCAAGTCCTGGGGGGAGATGAGATACATATAAGGTAATTTTAATACTAGTCAGGGTACATAAGCTTATGTGTGAGAAAGACAAGCTAAATGGAGAAAAAAATATGGCTGAAGAAAATCAGAAAAGGCTTCATGGAGGAGGTGACATTTGTGCCTTAAAATTCTAACAGAATTTCAGAAAGTGGAGAGGTGGACCCAGTGCAAGCATCTTCAGAATTGATCAAATTCCTGCTCAGCCTTGGACACAGAGTCGTTCAGTGTACAGTCACTGGGATCAGTTTGTCTAGATTCAGTCCTGGCTCTACCACTTACCAACAGCTGCATGATTTGAGCAAGAGAATAAAGCACTCTGATCCTCAGTTTCTGCTGAGAAAGAGGGTCATAAAACCAGTGCCCACTTTTGGCAGACAAAATCACATAGTCAGAAAATGGCAGAATTTTCTTTCCTTGCTTGTGCTAACTCCACACAGGTAATCACGCATGTGAATTCAAAGCTTCTGAGACTGAACACCTTCCTTGATGCTTCCTCCAACATTTGTAGGTCCCAGGGCAGGATGACAAGTAGAGGCACACATAGCCTGTTTCTGGATGTCTGCAAGTTATAAATGTAGCTAAAAGCTGTTAAATAAAGTACACTCTATTCCTATTCTCCTACTTTGCCAAAATGTAATAACAACATATAAAAAAAATTTAAAAAGATATTGTTTCCTGCTGCCTTGCCGCAACATGGGATAACCCTGAAGGACCATCTCAGCTCCAGAGCTCCCCATAAGATTGACAGAGGCACCAGTTGTAGCCATATTGGAGATCAGTTTCCCCCTTTGCCTGACGCTGCCTTCCCTACTTCCTTACAAGAGTGTTGCCTAGGAACACGCCCCTACCAGCCTTCCACATACAAATCTGTTCCCAGGAGACCAAGTACAAGGCAACCACTTTCTCACGCCTGATTAATTGAGCACATAAGGTCTTCACCAATGAAATGTCTCCCTGCAGGTAGTCCTTCTGCATCTTTATCTTTTGTTTTTTGATTTTTCGAGACAGGGTCACTCTCGCCCAGGCTGGAGTGCAGTGGTGCAATCGTAGCTCACTGTAGCCTTGACCTCCCAGGCTCAAGCACCCTCCCACCTCGGCCTCCCGAGTAGCTGGGATTATAGGCACACACCACCACGCTCGACTTAATTTTTTCTTTTTTCTTTTCTTTTTTTATTTTGGAGAGATGCAGTCTCCCTATCTTGCCCTGGCTGGTCTCAAACTCCTAGACTCAAGGGATCCTTCTGCCTCGACCCCCCAAAATGCTACAATTACAGACATGAGCCACTGCACTCGGCCCCTTTGGGCCTTTAGCTCTTGGACCCCTCACCATCCCACATGCTGGTCTACACCTGACTCATGGCTAAGGAGGAAAATATTGTTGCTGTTACCTCTTTATTAAAGCAAAGCAGTGCATCCTCTTTTGGCAGTTTGCCATATGAACACCCCCCTTGAGAGGACCAGCTCTGTGTGCCGATCACTTTTGGCATTTAAAAAATCATTTAATTATGTGCAAAGAGAGGGTCCATGTGTCATTTGTTGGCCAGGTTTGTTGGGGACTTTATTATCATACATGTCAGTGTAGTTTCTTATTTCTCAGCAGATTGGACAAGTTTCAAGGTTAATACAAATGTTCCAACAAATTGTTATTTTGAAAGTGATTGAAGGAAATGTCCCACTCCAAGCATATGTTTGATCTTTTGGGGGAGGAAAAAGAAGAAAATGCTTGTAGATGCCTCAAACAGTTTGAATTCTTTTGACAGCTCTAAATTGTTTGGCAAGTGTTGAGTTGCTCCAAGCTCCATAGAGACCAGCATTTCCTTCTGAAGTCTCCTCTTGGATCATCACTTTAAGTAATGATGTTAATCATCATAAAGTCATAAGACATTGTATTTTTGAGTCAGGCCCAGTGCTCTGTGCTCCATGTGAGTGACTTCATAGTGTGTCCACAGCAACCCTGAGAAGTCATAACTCTTTTCACCTCCATTGTGTAGAGGAGGGAACTGAGGTTTAGAGAAATTAAATAACTTGCTCAAGGTCGAAGTGTTTAAGTGGTGGAACCCAGGTGAAAAACTAGGTCTGCTTCCTCCAAAGTATTGAAATACCATTTGTCTTCAGCCATAGCTAAAGGATACCACAGATGCTGTCAGAGAATCACCTGCCCCTAGCTGTTTGGTGGCTGACTTCCAACTGCCAGTGTTTGCCTCTCTGAAGAGCTTTTCTGGGTCTGCAGATGGCTGTATTGTCCCTGCAGAGCAGACCAGAAGTGCTAGGGATTAAACCCGGGAAGAAGACCTCAACCAATGAGTCTTGAGAGTTGACATATAAACATCCCAGCTTCCTGGCCCCTTGAGTGGGATAATTCTGAGTCCTGTGTTGTACACTGTTTATCAATATTTCCTTCTAGGGCTAGACTCTAGCCACCCACTCTGCTAGCTTACAAATAATGCACGTTTTATTGGCTGCCTTGTCTTCCTTGTACCACTTCTCCACTATCCCACTAGTGTCCTCTGCACCTCCCAAATGAACCACTTGCACTTAAATCTTTGCTCAAAGTCACTTCTGGGGTAATCTAAACTGAAACACGGTCTCCCTAAAACTCTCCCTGGGATTAATATCTTAATTAATATCTGTGCCCAGTGAGGACTGGGGAAGGATGTTTGTTGGAATGATCCCTTTTGCTCCCTAATTATAACAATGACTTCTGGTAATTCTAGTCCCAGTTACTTTGGTCCCAACATTAGTTACCCAAGGATTCCCAACCACCTTCATGTGTTGGCAGAAAATGCTATTGCAGGTAAAATCTTCCCCAAGGGAAAGTTGTTTCATGAGAACTTTTATGCCTGGAAGTTACAGACTTAGCACTTCCTGATACACTAAAGGGTACAATCAGAGAATTCAAACCAATGCCTATAGGTATGATTTCACCCCCATCCATTCAAGGTAGTGTGTTACAGTAACCTATGGCAGTCAAGTTGGAGAGGAGCAGACCTGGGTTTTCACCTGGGTTCCACCACTTAAGCACTTTGACCTTGAGCAAGTTATTTAATTTCTGTAAACCTCAGTTCCCTCCTCTGCACAATGGAGGTGAAAAGAGCTCTGACTTCTCAGGGTTGCTGTGGACACACAATAAGATCATTCACATGGAGCACAGAGCACTGGGCCTGACTCAAAAATACAATGTCTTATGACTTTATGATGATTAACATCCTTACTTAAAGTGACGACCCAAGCGGAGACTTCGGAAGGAAATGCTGGTCTCTATGGTGTTTGGAGCAACTCAAATCTGCTCTTAGACTCCTTAGGTTTGAGTCCTGGCTCCAGCACTTACAAGCTGTTTGATGTTGGACTGAGTTCTAACCCCTTATTGACTTCATTTCCTTAGTAAAATAATGATAATAGCAATGTTTACCTCATGAGGTGGTTGTAAGTACAATTTAATTCATATGAAGTATTTAGACAGTGCCTGGCACATAGTAAGTACTAAATAAGTATTACCTATTACTATTATACTAGTATTATTACTAATATAGTATTATTATTAACATATTGAAGAAGAGACAGTGGGATAAGCACCCAAAAAATGTAAGGTGTTATTTATCAAAGTTTGCCTAACTCTTCTCCTACAGGACTCATTTTGCCATTTACAGAACCACAGTGCAAATCAGTAATTTGCACAGAGTCATCAAGATGCATGAGTTTGCAGGTAGGTTAGAGTCTGTTCCTGTTGTACCTTGGTCCTTGTACACACCTGTCCAGGTGGCCCACCCCAGTAGAATCCCAGCTCTGCTGGAAAAATAAACTAAGGGAGGTACTTCCCTAGAGTGATATTTTGATTCTTCAGATGAAGACCCAGTGCTGTCTCACAAGCAAGACTCACCGTGGGCAGACTTCCTCCACTTATCCAACCTTTATTGCATACCTTTTCTGCTTTCTGGAGATGACTCACCCCAGGACCCCACGAACATAGTGCTCCGTCCAGTCTACCTTCTGTGCAGTTGCATCTGCCTTTTCCTGTCTTTCCTGAAAACTCAATTCAGCAGATCCCTTAGATTTTTTTCTTTCTACACAAGATCATTTATTCAACCTAACCCACTCCTTCATGATGACTTAACCCCTTATTAGCCTTCTCCTTCCTGATTCATCATTCATACACATTAGGCAATTCATCATAGTTTGTCTTCTAAAAAGGAAAATGCACAAGGTTTGTTGTTAAAAGGTCTAGGTACAGATCTCTTTTACCTTAGCAAAAGCACATAACCTCCCTGAGTCTCAGTTTCCATGTCTATTACCAACCATTCATTCAGAGGTTCTGGGAAACAATAGCCCCAGGAACTGCTTGCAGCCAACAAGAGAACGAAGCCAGTGGATAAAAACCCCGGCTCCCTTGCCTCTTGGTAGGACAATTCTGAGTTATGTTCCAGAGTAGGATTCAGCCAACTTTTTCTTAAAGGGCCAGAAATAAATATTTTAGACTTTGCAGGCTATATGGTTTCTGTCACAACTGTATACTCCTGGCAATATATGAACAAGTGGAAGTGCCTGTGTTCCAATACAACTTTATTTCCAAACAGGCAGGTAGCCCCTGCCCCCTGTTCTAGAGCAGCTCAGAGGGTGCCCAGGGGGAATGGACCCAGCTGCCCACACCCGTAACACACATCAACACACTACTTATTGTCTTTCCTTCCTTCCTTCACAGACTTTTTCTACCACTCCCTCTCTACATTTGCTGGGGTGCCTCACAAATCTTGATCTTGGTTCTGCTTTCTGAGAAACTCAAACTGAAACCAAGGGCTATGAAGGAGAGTCATGAAGCCATAGAATGGGAAACTCATCCAGTCTGATGAGGTCAGAGGAAGTGTTCCAGGCAATGAGAGCAGCATATGCACAACCCTGACTCAGGAGAACTCATGGCTGCTTTTAGAAACTGAAAGAAGACAAGAGTGGCTGGAGCATGGGAGAAGATGGGAAAAATGGGATCAAGTGGCCAAGAGAGGTAGGGCCAGATCCCAGGGGACCATATAGGCTGTACCAAGGCCTCAGGTATAGATCCTGAACCAGTGGGGAACCACCAAAGCATTTAAGCAGCTGGGTAGGGTGACATAATGTATGTGCACTGGCCAGGCTCAAGAGAGGATACCAGAAGCTTCACGCTCCTGTCGCCTGACCCCAGTCCCCCCTACAAGCCCAGTTCATACTAGTGACCTGTTCTTCTTGCCCCACTCACCCCTAATCACTTAGAATTCTGGGCAGGAAATCTAAAACATCACCTTAAAGCAGACCCATAAATAGTTAAGTGCCCTCCATCAACAGGAGAGAGAGGGAAAAAATAATCTATAAAAATACATAATGAAACAACTACAGAACAAACAGAGCTGCAGCACGTGGGCCCTGCCAGGATATTGCTTAGACTTGGAGAAGGATTTTGTAATAACATCATTTGATTCTTTGGGCTCCCTGCCAATTATTTCAAAACTCCTTTTACCCCTTCCTACTTTGTACCTTTGTCTTGAAGAGCCGGTGTTATGAAGTTTTCAATGAGGAACTAGGAAAATAGCCCCTTTTCCCATCCTCCAGTCCCCCACTCATTACACAGACAAGACAGAAGACAATGTCACCCAGAGTTTTTCATTTGTTTGTATTTCTTCCAAAACCCCCCTTCTTTCAGCCATGTAGACACTTTTGAGCCTAGCATCCTCTTGAGGGGTAATTCTGTACTGCTTGGGGGTCCCATTACCCTCCCCTATAAGAATCCGCCCCAATGTTTGGAACTTGAGGGTGGACTGAATACACAGGGACATGGAGAAGCTCTCAGAAGACTCTGGGCATGGTCTCTAGGTGGGTGGTGACCTTTTCCTAGGAGAGGTTTCAGGGGTAGCCATTCAGATTGTTAAAAGAAAACTTCAGACAAGTTAAATTTGATGAAGCTTAATTGAGAAAAAAATAAAAAGATTCACAAATTGGGAAGCCTCCAGAATCACAGCAGATTCAGAGAGACTCCAATGGTGGCTCATGGTCAGAATAAATTAATAGACAAAAAAGGTAAAGTGACATACAGGAATCAGAAGTGAGGTACAGAAACAGATTGGTTACAGCTCAGCATTTGCCTTATTTGAACGCAGTTTGAACTCTGAACAGTCTATGAGTGGTTGAAGTATGGCTGCTGGGATTGGCCAACACTTAGCTATTGTTACAGATGCATACTACTAAGTTAAGTTTTCAATTTTGTCTGCCTATTTAGGTTATGGTTCATCCACAAGGACTCAAATATATAAGTAGGGAGTCCTTCTCAGGCCATATTTAGTTCACTTTAACAGTGTCCATCTGGGTAGATTCAATGGGTAATAGCAATGAAGCCTTGCTGATGGAGATTTCAGGACAAATGACCGCACTTTTCTGTGATTAAAGCCACTCAGCCACAAACCACATGCTTTATAAGCATGCCAGAGGCATTCTTTCACTCTATCCGTCTTCCCTCTTGTGTTGACTGAACATGTGAACATGTGTGTTGATGCACAAGGGTTAATTAAGTTTCTCCTGGATTTTTCTGAGGAAATGATACTGCTCCTACAAGTAGCATTAGGAATGAAATATTTGTAGACCCCAAAGAAAAGTCAGCCCCTGTATCTCCACCAGAGGTATCACTTGCGTACTGAAGTTGGATAGGTCTTTCCAATTTTTTTTCTTTTCTTTTTTCTATTACTTTTTTGACAATCATGAACTGAATGCATCCCTAGGCCAAGTAGTTAGGGGAATCATAAATCACACAAAGCCAGGAGCACCTTTTTTGGCTAATATTTCAGTTAGATTTTGTTTGGTTACAACTGACAGAAAATCCATCTCATGGCTGCTTAAGCAAAAAGGAAATTATTGGGGAAACCCAACTGAGAAGACTAGTGGTAAGGCTGGCTACAGTAGCAGCATGGAGATATATATATATATATATATGAGAAATGTGTTATTTATTATCTTTTAAGTCCTTCTGATTTTTTCTGGTGAATAATTGTTTTGTATACAAGAAAAGGCTACCAAAATTAATCACTTACTAGCAGTGGCTTTGAAATATTTTTTGACCCTCAACAATACATACATTTCATTGTAACTCAGTTATTCTTCTCCATTCTGCTTCATTTGTTAAATGCTGGTGATGACCTGTTGAATGTATTTCACAAGTATAACTCACCATTTGGAAAACACTAAGATCTTCTGCTCAAACCTTTCTTCAGAAATATCCAAGCAGTAGGGGAGAGGAAAATGTGTCATGAAGACTCAGTTCCTTTCGCTTCCAACTGAGTCTTGCTGTATTGGCTTCATCCTTTGTTTCCATATAGGAGCAAGATGGTACCAGTTGTTTCAGACCCTATATCTTCTCTGCTTTAATGTTAGGGTCCCGTAACTCTCCCAAGGTTCCCAGTAAAAACTTTATCATGTCTCATTGGCTTTGATTGTTTTTTATTGACTTTGATAAAATCATCCCTGAACCAATTGCTATGACCAAAAGAATCTTATTTGTAGACTGGCCTTGGTGATGTGCTGAATTCATGACCAGGCATGGAGCTGTATCCTGGTACATGGGCTAAAAGTAGAGGAAGGAAGATCAGGGTATGCTTGCAGAAGAAAGGTTAAAGGAAACAGAACTGCAAAAACAATAGATGTCCTCTGCAGGTCTAGGCCTAATCACAGGTAAAATTGGCAATTTGCCTATGATTGGCAAGCGGGGGCAGTGCCCCCAAATGTGGCCCCCTCCTGACTCACCAGTGCCTGAGATAACTTTAGCAAAAGCTTTATTTTCACAATAGAAGATAAACCTTGAGATACAAATACCTCTAGGAGAGAGGAGTAAATGGCTGATGCAAACATTTATTTTGATTATGATAGAAAGGAAAAGGTATCTGTCTTAGTCCTTTTGGGCTGCTATAACAAAATGCCATAAACCAGGTGGCCCATAAATAACAGAAATTTATTTCTCACAGCTCCTAAGGATGGAAAGTCCAAGTTCAAGGTGCTGGCAGATTCAGTGTCTGGAGAAGACCCATTCCTCACAGAGGCTCATCTTCACTGTAACCTCACATAGTAAAAGGCAAGGGATCTCTTTTGTAAGGACATTAATCCCATTCATGAGGGCTTCCCCTTCATGACCTAAACACCTCCAAAAGACCCCACCTCCAAATACCTTTACTTTTGGGCTTAAGATTTCAACATATGAAATTTAGGAGCACACAAGTGTTCAAACCATAGCAATGTCATGGGATAATTCATGCAGTAGATTGGAAGAGAGGCATAGAACAAAATAGAAAAAAAATATCTGCCTCCATCACAATTTGACCTGCTTTGGTGTACTGGAGAAGCCATCATCTTTTAAGATAAGTCCAAAAGGAACTTCCACATTGTGCAAAGAAAGCTCGTCTTGTACTAGGAGTAGAAAGAGGAAAAGAACAATACATTCTCTGCCCTTAGGAGAACTACAATTTACTTAGAAAACAGAATACGTGGTACAAAACTAGGATCACTACTTATTGAAGGGCAGATTGCACCATGAATGATGTCCTCTAAAATTGTGCCCAGTACAGCCTGTAAAGCTATGGACCATGGCATTGTAAAGATGGCTTAAGGTAAGTCATCAGCAAATCTAAATAAACTTAGGGAAGCATTCTCCAAATTGTGTCCTGTGGAATAATTATTGTTCAGGAGAGGCAGCACCTAGAGCTGACTTTTCTGGAGTTCTTCAGAGGAACTTTGGACTCTTCTAGAGTTAAAAACACTGAGAAAGGGGAGATCTGAGCCAGTTCTTCTCCACATGACAGCTCTCTAAGTCTGTGTGCATCTAGTAAGCCTTCCGCAGAGCTGAGCAGCTCTCAAGCTCATTGGTCTTAGCCAAAGAACAATCTTGTTTCCAAGATATGTTTGCTGGCAATTCAGATTACACCTTCCACTTGAAGAAAGAAGCTGGGACAGATGCCAAGCCCACTGCAAGCCACTCTGGTTCTTATAATGGCACTTACAGGGGCTGTAGAAAATATAAACTGGATCATTCACTCAAGACAGAAGAGCAGTCATAACCATAAAATTCTCATTCAGGTCAATTCAATCAATAGAAACCAAAAGATTAATCTTTGCCGGTTCTGCCACCAACCAATTTAAAGAAAACATAATCTGATAGATAGATAGATAGATAAAGAAGGAGAGAGACAGAGGGATTTGATATGTACACATATACATACCTAAATCATATGTATACAACTCAACAACTTATTACAGCACCCAGATAAAAATAATAGACTATGACTGCGTGCATTGGCTCATGCCTGTAATCCTAGCACTTTGGGAGGCTGAGGTGGAGGGATGGCTTGAGGCCATGAGTTCCAGACCAGCCTGGACAACATTGCAAGACCCCGTCTCTGTAAAAAGAAATTAAGCCAGCCATGGTGGCACACACCTGTCCCTGCTACTTGGGAGGCTAAGGCAGGAGGATCACTGCAGCCCAGGAGTTCAAGGCTGCAGTGAGCTATGATCACACCCCTGCACCCCAGCTTGGACAACAGAGAGAGACCCTGCCACTAAAAAAAAAAAAAAAAAGTAGATCATAACCAACAACAAGAATTCCCCCTCCCCCACTTTTTGCTTCATTTTATTATATTCTATAGAAATTTGAATCAAACAGTATGTATATTTCTACGGTATCTTCTTTTCATCCTATGCTTATGAGATTCATTCATATTGTTGCATATGATTGTGGATGATTCATACTCAATGCATAGTATCCCATTGTGTGACTATACCATTTACTTATCCATTGTGAGACCATACACATTTATTTATGTATGTGGCTGTGGATGGGCATTTGAGGAGTTTCTACTTTTTGGCTCTTACAGATTGTGCTCCTGTAAACACTTTGGTACATATCTTTGGTATGAATTACATGTATGAATTTCTCCTGAATATATATGCAAGAGTGGAACTTCTGTGTTGCAGAATATATGTAAATTCAGCTTTAGTAGATATTGCCCAACTGTTCTCCAAAGTGGTTATTTCCATTTACACTCTAACTAGCAGTGTTCCAGTTGACACATGGTTTCACAAACTCTTGGCATTTTTTTGTCTTTTCCACTTGAGCCATTTGAGCCATATGATTGATGTATAGGTGATACTGCACTGTAGTTTTAATCAGCGTATCCTGGATGGCTAGGGAAATGCATCATGTTTTCATATGTTTATTGGTCATTTGGATCCCTTCTTTTGTGAATTATCTGTACAAGTGTTTTGCTCACTTTTCCATTAGTTTATCTTTCTCTTCCATATTGATTTGTAGGAGTTTTAAGTGTATTTTTGTGTAAATCTCATGGATATCCACATTTTGGAGGTGGCCTTTTCACTTTACTGTATCTTTTGATGGACTGACATTTTCCATCTTTAATAAACTCCAATTTACCAATTGTCTTTCTTTCAGGGTTAGCAATTTTTTTGTCCTGTTTAAGAAAGCTTTGCCTAGTCCAAGGTCATAAGTATTTTATCCTATTTTTCTCTAAAACTTATGTTGCCATTCACACTTAGGCTTACAATCTATCTGGGATTAATTTTTTGTATGATGTGAGATAAGGGTAAATACATTTTTTTCCCAATATCTAATTTACAACTGTCGAGTTTTAATCCTGATGTAAGACCAGCAGATTTTTTTTTTATTTAGGAAGCCAGCATGGGATAGAGAGAGAAATTCTGGTTTATCTGGAACATGCCACCAGAGCAGAAAAATATGAGTATTTATATTTATATAATTGTACTGAGGCTTTGTGTAAAGGGTCTTCAAAATGAAGCTAAGTCTGCTTTTCCAACCTAGTGACCTGTTGTTTTCCACAAAAGCATAAGACCCTGTGACTAACTGTGGCTGCCCTGTCACAGCATGCTTTGTCATGCCACGATGCTTCTGCACATGACATCCTCTGCCTGGGATGCCTTCTCTGCCTCTTGTTTATCTCCTGCTACTTTTTCAGAACTATTCTCCAACACTCCCTGTCTAGGAAGAGGTCTCTGATTCTGTCCCTATTACAGTTAGTTTCTTTCGTAACATATTTTACCTGTTCCTGCAATAGCAATTATCTCACCCACATCTAATTATTTCTATGCCTCACTTTCACTAGACCATGAACTCTTTGAAGGCAGACATTGTGATTTATCTTGGCATCTCCACCATTCAGCACAGTGACCAGCCCACATAAAAACTTAATATGTTTTTATTTGATCAATGTTAAATAAGTCAGGGTAGTGGGAATGCCATCAATAGAAGCATTGGAAGATGGAAATGTGATGGTGACATGTCTCAGAAAGTACAAAAGATGATACATATAAGGCCTTTGGCAACATCAACCTCCTTGAATAAGAAAAAAAACTAAGAGAGGAAGAGGGAAAATAGCAGAGACAATGAAGGAAGGAAAAAAAAGGAGATTCTGTTTTTGTTGATGGAGTAAACCAATATTGGGCTTGTCTGCCCACCATAAATGGCTGTAAAATTGAATAAATTATGTAAGACAACTATTTTTAAACATTGAGCAATATATAGCATAAGAATGTAAAAAATAAAGAATATAAATGAGTGAACCCCATGTTTACTGTACTTTCCTATGGGGACAGTTTCCTGATCCTAGCACAGGAAGATTCAAGCCAAACATGATGGTCTTGCCGAGATGAGGACACAAAGACTAGAATTTGAGATGAATGAAGCTTCGGGCATTTGCTGAACAGAGTTCTGGAGAGGAAGCTCCTTCACAAAGAGGGTGTTGCAGAAGTTTGTATGGGGAAACTCTGTGTGCTTGTTCAAAGGCTAGACTGTACTGAGCAAGGCACAACCTCACAAGGCCTTGCAGAGAACAATTGCTTATGGCACTGAGAGTGATGGAGATACTCAAGATCATACAGTAAGTTGATTGCCAGGACAAAACTCAACAGTCTGTAAAGGAAGGTAGCATAATTCAAACCCCTTACAATATATCAACTACTATGTTCAGCAACACAATTTTTAAAAAACAGATGTGGAAATCCCCTCAAGAAACAGGAAAATGTGACCCATAATTAAGAAGAAGGCCATCAATAGAAACAGGCAGAGATAACTCAGATGTTGGAATAACAGGTAAGGACTTTAAATCAGCAATTATAAATATGCTGAAAGACTTAAATGAAAATATGATCTTACTGAATAAACAGAAAGGGAATCTCATGGGGGTTCTGGGAAAATTGAAGCTATAAAGAGAACTAAATGGAAATTCTATAACTGAAAATGACAATATCTGAAATTCAGTGGATGGGCTGGACAACAGAGATAATAAAAGAAGCATGGTCACTGACTTTTAAAAATAGCAAATGCAATAATCCAAGAATATCACGTATTTTTAAAACTGAAAAAAATAATAGAGCCTCAGTAACCTTTGGGACAATAGCAACAGTGTGACATGACACATGTGACTGGACTACCAAAAAGAGAGGAGAGATTGAGAATGACACAGAAATATTTTTTTAAAGTAATGGCGGCTGGGTGCAGTGGCTCACACCTGTAATCCCAGCATTTTGGGAGGCCGAGGCGGGCATATCACGAGGTCAGGAGATCGCGACCATCCTGGCTAACACGGTGAAACCCCATCTCTACTAAAAAAATACAAAAAAAAAAATTAGCTGGGCATGGTGGCAGGTGCCTGTAGTTCCAGCTACTCAGGAGGCTGAGGCAGGAGAATAGCGTGAACCCAGGAGGTGGAGCTTGCAGTGAGCAGAGATCAAGCCACTGCACTCCAGCCTGGGTGACTGAGCAAGACTCTACCTCAAAAAAAAAAAAAAGTAATGGCGTAAAATTTCCTAAATTTCATGAAAAAACAGATCTAAGAAACTCAACAAATCCTACACAAGAAGAATACAGAGAAACCACAACTAGCAAATCCTACTCAAACTCCTGAAAATGAAAAGTTTTAAAAATGAACTTACTGAAACAGCTGGAGAAAAATGACACATTGTATCCAGAGAAATAGTGATATGAATGTTAGCCAACTTCTTATGAAAAACAGTGGTAGCCAGGAAACAATAGGTTAACATCTTCAGAATGCTGAAAGAAAAACACTGTCAAACCAGAATTTTATATGCAGCGAAACATACTCTTTAAAAATTACAGTGAAATAAAAACACTGTCATATAAATGAAAGCTGAGAGAGTTGGTCAAGCAACAAACCTGTACTTCAAAAAATACTGAAGGAAATTCTTCAGGCTTAATGGACATGACCCACATAAAAGCTCAGATCTATAGGAAGGCATGAAGAGTAGCAGAAATGGTGAATATGAGGATAAATATAAAAGATTAGATTTTTTTCTTCTCTTAATCTCCCTAGGAATTAAAAAAGGGAGGAAAAAAAACAGAGAAAACTGATGAAGTCACAACCATATGCAATTTGTGAAGTTTAGGATTAAATCCCAACTCTGCCACTTATAAACTATATGTTTGTGGACAAGTTGCTTAACTTCTCTGAGCCACTCCTCCATTCATTATTGCATTAATAATACTTACCTTTGGATGGTTGTTAAAAAATTAGAGAGAATGTCCATGACATGTGGATGTCAGGAGTTACATAGTCAAAAACTAATGTTCCGAACTGTCTTCACTAACTCAAAGGTGTCAAAAATTTTAATAACTTTTTCTTTCTTTCCCATGTCTCTTTCCTTCAAAAATAAAAGTCACAGATGCTCATAGTGTTCACGTTGGTTTGGTCATCTTAGACTTATATATTCAGAGACATGTAAGTTTTAGAACCATTGATCATTTCAAGTATGGCAAATCCCAGCACTATATACTTCATTATAAAATCTGCAGAAAATGTGTGCCTCTGATGCAAGTGGATTTTAAAGTATGCATGAATTTTTGTCAGTATGACTAAAATAGTAGTAGAACATTCTATACTATTTCCCAAACTTCCATTTTTTGCTTACCCCTTTTATAAGAGTTGCCATTATTTACTTTATATCTTTAAATGACCCACTTTTTTTACTTAATCTCAAAAAGCAACTTGGGGTACTATTACATATGGAGTACCAATATCATTGTCCATAAACTGAAAATAAACATTTCAAAATTGAATAAATGCAAAACAACATGGTACAAGCTGGCTACAAACTATGGGTTTTTCAGGGCTCTGAGTCTGAGGCTTGCTCTATTTTGCTGAAAGAAAGAGAAAGAGCTTGAGAGAAATTGATTAGCAAACGTTGCAGAGGTGTTAAAAACATACTAGCACCTAGCTGAGACTTTCTCCTTGGAATCATAAGGAATGAAGCAATTTAAAAGGAAATACCTTTCTCAATGTGCAATTCAATTTCATTAATGTTCTGTTTCTAAGCTTTCATTCTCTCATATATAAAAAATGGAGATAATAATAGCACCTACTTCATAGATTTGGGTGTATGATAGGCAAAATAATTTATATCAGACTCTTAGCACAGGGCCAGGCTTATAGATGACACTCAAGAAATATTAGCTAAAATTTAAAATATACACACACATTTTTCTTGTTCATGGGGAAATTACAAATAGGTTTCTTGTCATTTACCTTTTCTATACACATGTTGAAATTGCTGGAGGACTCCTTTAAAGAGGAAGTCACCATGACAAGTTAATGGTCTATAATATTAACTTGTTAGCAGACTTTTTAATTTTAAAATTTCTGGACTACATATAGAAATAGGATTAGTTACTAAAAGACATTTTAAAACTAGCACTCTCTGCTACATAGATTTCTGAATTTATTATTCTACTCTGTTACTCTCCATGTAGGGGGAGATCATGTCTCCTACTTTTTCAGCTCCCCCAGCTCTGTCCCTCTCTCTTTCTCTCTAATGTGCACACACACAGCCTGTCACCACAGTGAACACTCAATTAATACTTGCATACTATGGAAGTCTTCTTTAAAGATGTAAGCCCCAGGTCTGTCTCATCTTCAAAATACTGTTCAACAGGGAAGATATAACTGTGTAACACTCATCATTTCTCTAGCTTAATAATAAAAATTTTGATTCTACTGAAAATTTTAGCAGCAAATGAAAGAAAACTTTTTATAAATTTGAATTTAGGAAAACTTCAAAAAATAAAACCAGAAACTTCTAGAAATAATAATATATTTATTCCTGGTGGAAAAAATCTAAAGCTCTCAACATTAGCACTACACCTTTTTCTTTCATTGACATGAGCTGTTAATTAATTGCATTTTTTTGCTCTCAAAAACAATAAAGAACAAACAACATAAAAAGAAGATTTTGTCAAATCATCACCATATCTTAGACATAATGTTTTCTTCACTTTCATCAGATTGTCACCATCCATTAGATATGTTAATATTTATGGAGCATTTATAGAAGAAATCTGTTAGAATTAATAAATAATAAGGCAACATCTTTTAAAAAATAAATCAAGAATCTCATTACAAAGATGCCCATAATTTACTGCAGCAATAAAAAATAGAAAAGCAGTTAGCAGACAGGATTATATTTCATTATTCAAAATATCTAGCTACCTCCAAAGTGTTTTTTTAAACAATGGAATAAAATGTTTTGACAACTCCAACTTCTGGGAATCTTTTCATCAATATGTCTAAGGCCATAAGTAATTAGATATGTACAGCAATTCATGCTGAGAGATTTTCTTTTTCCTGATTTGAGCTCAAGATATTATATTATATTTGCTAATACATTATTCAGGATTATAGTCTATATATTTCAAATTGAGGCTGATTTTCCTATTTTGTGCTCTTTTAGCAGGTTTTAGTATTAAGATTATATGAACATCCTAAAATTGATTAAAAAGTTACTTCTATTTCTACTACTAAGAAACATGTTGACTGACTATTTTGCAAAATCTTCTACCGATTAGAAATTCCTGAGAGGAATGGGAAATAAAATGTTTAAATTTTCTTCAGCATGAAAAGATAAAGGAAATGAAAATATTAAAAATTGTAGATGCAAGCATTTTTTTTCTTTAGTAGAATAGTGATAAGAGGATAAAGGTATTATACTATATACCAGCAGATCAGAGCTCTGGTTAACTTTAGTTCTCCTCTTCTTCAGTTCAAAAATATAATTTATCTTTCATGGTATTATTGAATTCTAGTTTCAATGATAATCATGGTCTTAGGAATAAAGGAGTTAGCTTTCTATTCAAAACTCAATGTTTTCAAATCTTTGCCTTAATAACTAAACTGGATCAATTGCAGAGCTGATGTGATTGAATATGCTAAGGATTTTTAGTCACATAGGTAGAAAAAAGATCACAATTTGATCCAAAATAGTCACTTCATGAATATATTTTATCTGTAAGTTGTTGAGAAATGAACAGTAATTTTGACACTAGCCAGTGCTTACATTGATTTTGTTTTGGATTTTAGACTTTAATAAACAGCTTGTTAGATTACAAATGCTTTGAACTGATTTTTATTGACTTGAGCAAAGTATAAGTTTGGCAGGTTTTTTGGTGTTTCAAAATTTTACCAGTATTGAGTATTTCAAATAAGTTTCTTATAAACAGCATCTATTGGATGGTATTTTAAAAATTCATTCTGTGTCCTGAAGACTTTCTTATAAAAAATAAAATCTGTTCTGTCAATATCTGTCTTTTAATTGGTATATTTAGACCATTTGTATTTAAGGTAATTGTTCGTATGTCAGGGTTTAAGTCTGTTCCAAATATGTTCATGAATGTCATTTCAAGATATTAATGTGAGATTAAGGGTTAGAAGAAATGGTTTTCTGACAAATCAGATAACAATTTCAGGCTGAGTGATAAATTACTTTTTACTGCCCATCAATAGAGTAGCCCTCACCTAGTTATGCCTGGACATTAGACTCTTGACTTATGTTGTGAGATGCTTCAATAAACTGCTCAATAAATCCACTACTTAATTTATTATAGGAGGGGTTTTGAATATATCACCCACTGTATTCATTGTCCTCTTTGTAAATGGCAAATTAAAATTGTATTTTAGGAATCACAAGAAAGTTTTATGTCTTCTGAGGAATAAAAATGGATTTTTTAATGAACAAAATGATTTCAGAATGTAATATTTCACATTTTGCTTTGACTCCCAGGAGGTTCAGTGTCAATTTTTTAATTTTAAAATGATAATCTTATAATTGGCAGGGCGTGGTGATTCATGCCTGTAATCCCAGCACTTTGGGAGGCCAAGGGAGGTGGATCACCTGAGGTCAGAAGTTCAAGACCAGCCTGGCCAACATGGCAAAACCCCATCTCTACTAAAACTACAAAAATTAGCCAGGCATGGTGGCGGGCACCTGTAATCCCAGCTACTCGGGAGGCTGAGGCAGGAGAATCGCTTCAACCTGGGAGGTGGAGGTTGCAGTGAGTCATGATCGCACCACTGCACTACAGCCTGGGTGACAGAGCAAGACTCCATCTCAAAAAATATATATATTTTTTTTTTCTTAAAATTGATTTACCACCCCATACTTTAGGTATTATGGTTTTATATTTTACTTCTTATATTATTAATGCCATAAATTTGTTATTATTGTTGCTTTAAGCAGTCATAATCTTTTACATATACTTACATATGTACCCTTTTGAGAGTTCTTTGTTCCTTTTTTCAGTCCATCCTTCAACTGTAAATATTTTGCTTCAGCCTGAATGACTTGTTTATCCTTTCACCTGTTTAAGAACACTTGGATTGTTTCTAAGTTTTGGTTATTTTTAAAAAGTTGTTATGAACGTTTGTGATATCTCTTGAGATATATGTCTTCTTTTCTCTTGGGTAAATACTTGAGCATAGAATTTCTGGGTCTTCTGACAGGTAATTGCATGTTTAATATATAAGAAAGTAACAAAATGTTATTCAGAGTTGTACCATTTTACTTTCCCACTGGCAACATCTGAGAGTAGCAATTGTACAGCAACCTCATCAACCCTTGATAGTATTAGTCCTTTTAATTTTTGCCATTCTAGTGAGTGAATAGTAGTTTTGATTTGCATTTTCCTAATAACTGACAAAGTTAAGCAACTTCTCCCATGTCTATTAGCCATTTGCACATATGCTTTTATGAAGTGTTTGATCAAACATGTTACCCATTTTTTATTATATTCTTTATCTTATTATTGAATTGTCAGAGTTCTTTATATATTCTGGATCCAATATATATTATGATTATTTTCTTTCAGTCTGCGGCTTCCTTCCACTTTCATAATGGTATTTCTCAGAGAAGAGAAGCTTTTCCTTCATTTTTGAAGAATTTTTTTTTTGCTACTGTAGAATAAGTTGGAAGATTTTTTTTTCCTTTTCATGTATTAAAGATGTTATTCTATTATCTTTTGACTTCCATACCTTCAGCTGAGAAGTCAGCCATAATTCTTAATGTTGTCTCTGAAAGTGATATGTTCTTTTACTTACTCTACCTGCCTGTAAGATTTTTCTCTCTTGATCTTTGTTTGGTTTCAGCATATTGACTGTAATGTATCAAGGTGATATTTTCTTTGTAGTTATCTTGCTTGGGGTTTGCTGAGTTTCTTGAATCTGTGGATTGACATTTTGCATAAATGTTGGAAAATTCCTAGTCAATAAAGATATCATCATTATTACTTCTGTCTCATTTTCTCCCCTTTACTTCTAAATTTCCAATTACATATATGTTAGACCAGTTGACAATGGTTTATGTGTCTGTCATACTCTGTTCCTACTTTGTCTTTTTTACTCTCACCCTGTGCTTCAGTTTAGATTATTTCCTTTAACCTATTGTGAAGTTTACTAATTCTTTTTCATGTTGTTTACTGTGTGCTATTGAGTCTACCTATTACATCCCTAATTTCATATGATATATTACAGTTGACCCTTAAACAACATGAGTTTGAACAGTGCATGTCCACTTGTACACGGATTTTCTTCAACCAAATGCTGATCAAAAATACAGTATTTGTAGGATGCAAAACCTGTGTATATGGAGAGTTGACTTTTCCTATACATAGGTTCCTCAGGGCTGACTGCAGAACTTGAATGTACACAAATTTTCATATATGCAAGGGTTCCTGGAACCAATCATCTGCATATGCTGAGGGATGATTGTATTTAGTTCTAGCATGTCCTTTTGGTTCTTTTTAAGAAATTTTATTCCTCCATTGAAATTCCCTATTTTTCCAATCATTTCTCTACACTTTTCTCATTTTTCTTCAACATATCTTTAATCATTATTTTAAAGTACTTGTTTGCTAGTTCTAATATTTGAGTCATCTGTGGGTCTGTTTCCATTGCCTATTTTTTCTCTTAATTATGGATCATATTTTCCCTCTCCTTTTCATGTGTCCAATTTTTACTATATGTCAGGTGCTCATATAAAAGTATGTAGAATTAACATTAATGTATTCCCTTTCCATTGTCAAAGAGATGGGTTGAAGGCTGATCACTTTGATTCAATCAGGGATTAAGATGGGTTATGGCTGAGTTGTGGATAAATTAGTTTTAATCCACCTCTAATTTCAATTTTCTTGAGGCCAGAAGCCTCTCTCATGTTTATTTTTGGCCTCTTTCTTTAGTGGAAGTTTTACCTCTAGGCACTGTGAGACTGGGTGATTTCACTTTCCATTTTATCAGGCTCTCTTGCTGTGCCTCCACAAAAGTTACAGAGAGGAAAGTGGATGAACAGAGAAAACTGGTTCCCTGATCAGGCCCACTTTTGTTAACCATATTATCTTAATATGGTTTATTTCTATTAACTTTCCCCCCAGTTCTTATCCTCTATTATATCTACAGTTCCCAAGTCCCTGATTTATTTCTATTTTATTTTATTTCTTATATTCATTTGAGTGGTTTCAAATGTTTTTCAACTACTGCAGGGCTGAAATATGTAAATAAATGACATTAATCCAAAACTACTGTCTTGATTGTATCCTATCCAATGTGTGTTTTTAAAGTTGTTCTTTAAGGTCTTCAATATTCTCTAAGAAATCACACTTAAAGATAATTTTTTTCAATCAACTTTGATTGTTCAAGATTATCATTGGAGTCTCAAGAGTGATACAAGAACCGACACTCAATTTATATGTGGAAGCTACAGTGGATGAGCAGTTGTTGGCTAGTGAATTGAATTCATTTTTCTAAGCCAATCTCTTTAATGAGAAAAATGAAGGAAATAAAATGGGACATTTAAGAACTAATAGAAATCTTGACTATTATAACTACTGACGAAGGACAATTAAAAAATCCTTTTAAAATTTTTAATAGAAATAAATGAAAATGTTGAAATGACAGGCACCCAGAGGAAAGAAGGACATCTGTTAAGTTTAACTGTTGCATTACTCCTAATCATTTTCTCTGAATCAATGAAAAATCTTGCAACTTTTTAAAAAAGTACTATAAATAATGATCTCTAAGTTTATCGACAAATAAAAATGAATTAATACTGTTTCCAGTGTGTTCCTAATTAAGGAACTATAAGGGACTATATATCATATAGTCCCATGATGTATTCAGAATCGTCAGTCATGTTTCATTACATGAAGAAATGGTGAAAAGTCAGAGTAGAAAGTTCTTTTTAATTAATTAAGGAGGTTTGCCAAAGGGTGAAGGAACAGTAATTGAAACTGCACAACACAACCCACATCTCTAGGAAATTTCTTCAAAAAACACCATTTTTTAGTTCTAGGTTTTTCCAAGACCTATATAGTGTGATAATACTTATAAAATTTTCAAAGATCACATACAAAGAGGAAAAAAGGTACTCCAAAATCCAGTGGGATTCATTTAAGGGCAAAGAAAGTCTGCCGTATATTCCTAGCTATATTCAAGAGTCCCTATATTGTCCAAGTCAAATGTTTGCCAGATTTCCATGTAGGTAAAACTGAGGTTTTAGGGGAGGTAAAGTACAAGGGACAGTATTCTTGAAGAAGGTCTTCATGATGGTTTTCACGTTCAGTGATCTTTTTGGCCTGCTTGGGATTCAAATACAGTAACAGTAATCTGTTTCCTTTTGCCAATGTTTGCTTGAGCATTTATCTACTCATATTGAGAAGGAGTCCAGTATTTTCTTCTAAATGCTTCTACTTAGTTGTCTATGAAAACCAGGGCCTATTTGGAAGTGTTGGAGAATCAGGTAAGTCCCCTTGTCACGTGGGAATAGCGTCACTCTTGAACACCAGTTCTACAAAATCATATACCTAGTTTGTAGTCAGATTGTGATATATATATTAAAAACATATATGCAAAACACCAAGCTCATATGATCATAGGTGATCTTGCCTCATGGTGAGTTATACCTACAGAACTCATGTTGGGTTATCCCAGACTATCAGGCAGATTCTAGTAATGTTGTACCTCAAAGGGGGTTGTGTCTATGAAGTTTTCTAGAACACGACTCTCTCCCAAGAAGCCCAATGGCCCAAATACCCACCTCCCTCCCCACTACAAATTCTTTGGAGGAGCAGCCTTTGCCAGGTCAGAAGAAATCCTGCAGTATCTGTTCCAGGGAGTGCCTGCTTACCTTATGTTTACATAACTACAGCAAGCCTTCAAGAGGAGATTTTTTCCATCCATCTAAACAGGTAGTGGCTGAAAGTTTCGCTTACAAAACAGAGATGACTACTCTTAGAAAAAAGCAAAAAGAAATTTACCTTTGGTGTTCCCACTCCTCCTAGTGAAATATACCTATCCCAACAAGGCTTTGTTCTGTAGAGTTCTATCTTGGCCTCTTTTCTTCTCAGTCTATATGCTCTTCCCAGTCAGTTCTATCTGGCACTGTTCAATGTATGTGTGTGGATAACTCCCAAATCTGACTCTCCAGCCCAGAGCACTGTCCTCAGCTTCAGATGCACACACCTAGCTCTTCTAGTTACCTCCACCCAGATATTTCACAGACATCTCAAACTCACCACAAGTGAACTTGCTTTCATCCCGCTACTCCAATTACCATTGCCAAACCTGCTCCTCCTCCTGCCTTCCTCGGCATCATTTCCTGGCACCATGGTCTGCCCATGGCCTGGGCCAGAAACCTGGGAGCCATCCTTGACTGCTGCCAGTCCCTAACCACACACCAGTTCTATTTCCTATATATCTCTCAAGCCATCTTCTCATGATCAGACCCCTGCCATTACACTTTGTTTGTTTGTTTGTTTGTTTGTTTGTTTGTTATGGAGTCTTGCTCTGTCACCCAGGCTGGAGTGCAGTGGCACAGTCTCTGCTCACTGCAACTTCCGTCTCCCGGGTTCAAGCAATTCTTCTGCCTCAGCCTCCTGAGTAGCTGGGACTACAGGCGTGCACCACCACGCCTGGCTAATTTTTGTATTTTTAGTAGAGATGGGGTTCCACCATATTGGCCAGGCTGGTCCCGAACTCCTGACCTCATGATCCACCCGCCTCGGTGTCCTGAAGTGCTGGGATTACAGGCGTGAGCCACCGTGCTCGGCCTGCCATTACACTTTATAAGTTACCATTGTCTCTTGTTTGGATTACTCCAATGGCCTCTTAACCAGTTATCAAATCACCAGGTTCTTCTCTCTTTAATCCATTTTCCACCATGCAGTCAAAGTGGCCCCTCCAAAAGGAAATCTGATCTCTTAGTCACCATCCTTCTACAATACCTATGATATCTAAAACTTGTTCTGAATTCCATAAGAATGATGTTTAAACTTCATTCAGGACAAGTTTCCCACAAAGCATTTTGACCTGGCTCTTGCCTCATTCTCATTTTTTTTTCTCTCACGCTCTCTTCCCTTCCCTGTCTTCATCCTTCCCCCTCCACCACCTGACCTTTCCAGACACATTATAATCCTCTCTTTTCTGCCTGTAGGCCTCTGCACATGTGCATGTTGCTTCTTCTGTCACAGTGCTGCTTCTCACCCTTTTGGCCTGATGTTTACACATCATTCAAAGCTCATCTTAAATGTCACTTCCCATGGAAAGCCCTCTTTACTCTCTTAGATTAGATTAGGTGCCCCTTCTATAACCTTCTAGAACCAGATATTTCCCTCATCAAAGCTCTTGCCCCACTTTTAATTAATTAATTGATCTTAGATTTAGATTATTTAATCTTAGATTAGATTAGGTGCCCCTTCTAGAACCTTCTAGAACCAGGTATTTCCCTCATCAAGGCTCTTGCCCTACTTTATTAGTTATGTCAATAAATATTTGGTGGGCATCTGTTATGTACCAGGCAATGGAATGATACAAGAAAGAACTAAATGCAGTCTCTTCTTGAATGGAGAACACAGTCTACTGGGAGAGACTGGTGCTACACAATCACCAAACTATGAGGACTGGTTGATAGGTTAATTGTTTTATCCACAAGAATGTAAGCTCTGTGAAGTTAATAATGCAACTTCTGGATTTGTCTTCTGAGGCTGACAGCAGCAAATGACCACAAACTTCATAGCTTCAAGTAACAGACATTAATTATCCACAGTTCTGGATGCCAGCAATGGAGGAGGGCCACATTCCCTCTGGAGCCTGCAAGGCAGGATCCCATCCTTGCCACTTCCCTGATGGCTGCAGTGCTCCTTGGCTGCAGCTGCATCACTCCAACCTCTGCCTCCATGGTCACATCACAACCACTTCTTTTTGTTGTTGTTGTTTTCTTTTTTTTTTTTTTTTTTTTTGTGATAATGTCTCACTGTGACACCCAGGCTGGAATGCAGTAGTGCAATCATGGCTCACTGCAGCTGTGATTCCCCAGGCTCAGAGGATCCTCCCACTTCAGTCTCCCAAGAAGCTGGGACTACAGGTGCATGTCACCATGCCTGGCTAACTTTTTGTAGAGATGGGATTTCGCCATGTTGCCTAGGCTGGTCTCAAACTCCTGAGCTCAAGCTATCCTCTGCCTCAGCCTCCCATAGTGCTGGGATTATAGGCGTGAGCCACCACGCCCAGCCTGCAACCTCTTCTTCTGTCTGTCAAGACTCCCCTCTGCCTCATTCTTAGAAGGACACTTGTCATTGGATTTAGGACCACCTGGATAAGCTTCTATCAATATCCTTGATTCCATCTTTTGCCATATAAGGTAATATTCACTCTTTTACCATATAAGGCAATATTCACAGGTTCCAGAGAACACGATATAGACCTGTCTTTTTTGGGCCTACCACTCAGGCCACTACACCTGTCTTGCTTAGTATGTATTCATACTTCCTAGCTCATACCTGGTACTTGATCAATAACAGCTGAACAAAACATGAGTGTGCTATCTCCTAGGCCAGCCATCCTTGATTTTCTTTTTAGCATCCTCATTTCCTGTTGTTCTCTCCTGACATTGACAAGGAAACTCACTTGGCCCCATCTCTATTTACTCATGGCCAAGCTACTGATCCCTCCATCTAATCAAAAAGGAAAAAAAAAAAAAAAGCCAGAATAAAAACGACCCAAAGATCAGTGAGAGACAGTGGCCAATAATAATGTGTCACTGAAAAGTGTTCTCTGACCACCTCCATGATCTACAAGCAGGGATGTCCCAAGGGCAGGGCAGTGGGGATGACCCACCTTGGGTGCAGCTGTAGGGAAACATGTTGTAGAGATATTAAAAGCAACAATAAAACTGACTACAAGTTGTGGTTTTTTTTCATATCAACATGCACCATCCAGTCTGAACAGTGTCAGTGATAAATACTCCTCTCTGAAAAAAAAATTTTCTCAGTTTAAGTTCTAAATAATTGTTGCATTATCTGTTAAGTTTTAACAGCATATATGTAAGCTTCAAATTAGCACATTTTTATCACTATGCTTTAATAAATACTGCATTCTACATACAAGGTAATTTGGAGAACTCCCAGTTATGCAGTGGGACCCCGTCCCATGAGGACTCAGCAACAGAGTATGTCTCAAGGGGACAATTTTGTAAAGGTTCAAAATCCCTTGAGCTTGCTTTCAGCATAGTTTGTGTCTCTTAAGCCCTGTAGTGTGACATATTCCTGCATTTATAAGGTCGATTTAAAATAAACAATGATAGTAAATGTAAAAATGAGAAATTTGAGTTGAGTTCTGTCATCCTTGGTGATCAATGGGAGTTTTTATTGGTGTTTAAAATAATGAAACAGTACCAATGACTAGACATAATCTTTTGTTTGGTAAAAGCAAACTTTAGTTCATATGTGAAATATTTTACTGAATTGAAAAATATCTTTAAAATTGGAATGTATTTTTTAAAATTGTTTGTTGTTTGTTTTAAAGCTAAAGGAAAAAATCATAAAATAATGATTATTACTAATTATAACATAATTATCATTGAAAATAATATGGTTGTATAGAGAAGAGGGATTAAAAATGATCTGCTTCAGGTTTTTAAAGACACTGGGTACACCACTAAATACAAGACTTACACTTATAATAAACTGGAGATTATTGGCTGCAATATCCCTGCACTAAGTGCTTTGCATGCATTAAATTATTTAATTCACATAATAACTTTACAAAGTAGAAACTTTGTTATTACTGTTATCCCCATTTTGAAAGATGAGGCCTAAAGATGCTATGTGAGAAGTGAAGATGAGATGAGAACCAGGTGGTCTGACTCTGGAAGCTGTGTCATGAGCTATAATGATGTACCTCCTCTTAGTCACTCATACAAAAACTAACCGTCACAAGCTGCCTTGTGGTGAGTTCCAGATTTAATCCTTTAATCCTCAAAACAACCCTCCAGAGTAGTTATGATCATTCTCATATTACAGATTTAGGAAACTGAGATTCAGAGAAGTTCAGCAACTCATCTAAGATCAAAGAGCTATTACATGACAGAAAGGGCATTCTGATTCTGCCCTGCCTGGCTCCAGAAACTTCCCACAGCCACATTACCTCCTTCCTTTTTTTTTTTTTTTTTTTTTTTCAGTAAAAAAATATCCATAGACTTCAAAGTGCTGGAAAGAGCTTCCAGACCAAACAATAGCAATTTCTGATTGGGGGGCAGTGGCCTATTCTTCCTTCCACAATAACCATGAGAGAGAGAAAGAGGAGACACAGCTGCTTGTGAATGCAAGGACCTTGCAGGATTACTGGCTTGAGGCTTGTAGGCAATGGCAGAAGCCCAGGTTAGGGAAGTCCAGGAGTTATTGCAGCAGAAGGAAAACTGAGGCACATGTATTGAGCTTCAAAATGCAACAGTAGGCCAGGCACGTAGCTCACGCCTGTAATCCCAGCACTTTGGGAGCCCAAGGCAGGCCAATCATGAGGTCAGGAGTTCGAGACCAGCCTGGCCAACATAGTGAAACCCCATCTCTACTAAAAAAAATACGAAAAATTAGCCAGGTGTAGTGGCAGGCACCTGTAATCCCAGCTGCTCAGGAGGCTGAGGCAGGAGAATCACTTGAACCCAGGAGGCAGAGGTTGCAGTGAGCTGAGACCACGCCATTGCACTCCAGCCCAGGTGACAGTTTTTGAGACTTCGAAAAAAAAAAAAAAAAATAAAGCAACAGTAGAAAAGTAAGCAGAAAAGTAAGCATTTTCTTGATTCATCAGAGACAAAGTTCTCTTCCAGCAGGATAATGCAGTGCCCAGTCAAATTGCGGGGTGTTCAATTTTTGGCTTCCCTGGGCCACATTGGAAGAAGAATTGTCTTGGGTCACACATAAAATACACTAACACTAACCACAGCTGATGATCTAAAAAAAAAAGAAATTCTTCAAAAATCTCATAGTGTTTCTAAGAAAGTTTACGAATTTGTGTTGAGCCACATTCAATGCCATCCTAGGCTGGATGCGGCCCATGGGCAATGGGTTGGAGAAGCTTGAACTAAAGCAGAGTAGCGTAGTGCCAAAGGAGAGAAACAATGACTATAGCTGTCTGGTTTAGGCATGGCTGGAGCAAGGTAGCATAAACAGGACCCATCTCTCCTTTCATCTATTGGCATTAGGGTTGGGCAGAGCCTCCTCCAGTGGCCAGAAGAATGACATTTTGCACTCCAGGCTGAGGTCTTACCAGCTGCATGACCCCAGTAGAACGAACACTTCTCTCCTGGTAGCATTAGCAACATCCCCAAGGCTGACTTTTTAATGTCTCAGCTTGGGCACATGTCCATCCCTGAAACTATTAGGAAAGAAGACACAGAAGTTCTCATTTGGCGATTCTGAATTACACGCCCATCCTTGGTGCAATGGGGGCAAAGTCAGCCCACCTGAACCACATGAATTGAGTGAGAAAAGCCATCCTACTGTTTCCAGAAGAAAAGTGAATGCATGTCAAACACACACACAAAAAACAGATGTTCACTTTGTGGCTATCTTAATTGCCAAATGTAACAATTATTTCGCAGTCTTCCTCTGACCTGTCCTTCCCGGCACATGTCCCGCAGCTGACCATCTTCTACTTGATTTTTCGACAAGGGCTTGATCTTGGGATCATACCAATCATCAGAAAACAGGCCAGGCGTGGTGGCTCACGCCTGCAATCCCAGCACTTTGGGAGGCCAAGGTGGGTGGATGACTTGAGGCCAGGAGTTCGAGAACAACCTGGCCAACATGATGAAATCTTGTCTCTACTAAAAATACAAAAATTAGTTGGGTGTGGTGGCACATGCCTGTACTCCCAATTACTTGGGAGGTTGAGGCAGGAGAATCACTTGAACCCAGGAGGCGGAGGTTGAAGTGAGCGAAGATCGCACCAGTGTACTCCAGCCTGGGTGACATAGTGAAACCCCGTCTCAAAAAAAAAAAAAGAAAAAAAGAAAAAAAAGAAAAAGAAAAGAAAGAAAACAATCTAGGTATCTGTTCCATGGCTATCCCTGGGTCATCTTCCAGGCCTCACAGATACTAAATGCTGCAAAGACCTCAGCCTCTCCGTCTATATTACATGACAGGAGTCATACATGTAGTGACTCGTTTCCCACAGTATTACTACCAAATTAGCAATAGCTGTAATGCCACCCTCTCTTCTCTTACAAAAGCATACAGGAATAGCCACAGAGAACAATATTATTAAAGAGACAGCATTAATTCTCTCTCTTTTTTCAAGGCCTTTGAAAATTTCAGTTCCTAATTATTAGCCATTTTGCAAGACACCTCCCAAACCAGTCATGACCAACAGAAACTTCCAAGTAAACAAGTTCACATAATTCAATCATCTTAACATCCCACCCACAGTCTTTATCTGTACCATTCATTTGATCATGGAATCATATACTTCGTTGCATTTTTGTTTCTGTGTCTTTCTTAGATAACTATTTCAAGGATTGTAAATACAGATGCCTGCTAATGCAAGGCAGGTAATATAATGAGTGAGCCAGACTGGAGTAAGACAACAGGGTGTGGTAGGGACTGTGGTGAACTAGACAGTATATTTCACAGCACATAAAAGTGGCCACTACTCAGGTCCAGCTGGTCGTTGCCATGAGAGAATTCAGAATGAGTGTTTCTTCATCATCTGATATTTTTTAAGACTAGCCTTACTCTTGATTTTCTTGGGACTCTTGAAACATCCCAAATTCTAAATATCGGCAACAAAAAAAATACAGTTTTTATTTTATATATTTACTTATTTTTGGTCAGAGACTAAACACACCAAAGAAAATACATCTGCAGAGCACATCCACCATTTTGCAGCCTTTGGTCTCTGTGCCTTGCTCTTCATCAAGAGTATACACTTCTGAAAATGTAGGGGAACTAGATATTTTTCTGCAAAACCTAAAGCACTTTTCACAGGGTGGAACTTAAGGCAAGCAGTCAATAAAAAAGAGAAATAAAGTAAGTCTTGCTGACAAATGTTAGAAACACAACAAATGCTGCAACAGCAATTGCACAGGGCATTGCATCAATTTGGATTAGTTTTCAAGGATGTCAAATGACTTCGCCAAAATCATTTGACTTAACCAAAGTTTGTGGTTCTGAAGAGGCTGACTTTCTAAGCCTTGTGAGTTCACTTAAATAAAGGTCACCCAAACAGTAACTGCGATGCAGGGTCCTACTGCCTGGGGAATGTAGCAGGACTGGAGGCTCTGATTAAAAACCCTCACCCCATAAAATCTTCTCATGGCACGCACCACATTTTTCCCTCAGTCTTGTCTCATTTTCTAAAAAGGGTCCCAAATCTGCACATAGTACATAATCTCCACATACTCATACAAATGATATTTAATATGATTTTAGCAACTCTGAAGCTATTCTGCTACTGAGTTTCTCAATACCAGAATAAAGAACTGATTTTATGTGTCAAAAACACGTTTAAGGAGATAAGTGTCTTCAGCCAAGCACAGATAAGGCAGCCCAACATGATCTTGGTCTTTGAGTCCACCTTTGAAAAGATCTAGCTGACGATTTGTTTAAGCAGTAAAGATTTTGAATGTACAGTGACCAAACATTATTTGAGAATCATGTCAATAGAAATGGCACATCAAATCAATATTTAACTGATTAATTCACTTTACGAGTCAGTGACTGGGAGGAACAGAGACTGATATGAACTGAAGTCAGAAACCAAACTTGTGCCAACTGGCTGCTCCATGTCCAACTCCAGCTTTAGAACTAAAATTGGCACAACTATTTTTTTGTGTGTGTTTTGTGGTGTTTTTTTTTTTTTTTTTATTTGGAGGGCACAAAGGCATTTTTGCTACATGCATGTATTGCTTAGTGGTGAATGAAGTCTGGGCTTTTAGTGTACCCATTACCCAAATAGTGAATATATTGTACCCAGTATGTGATATCTTCAGTCCTCACTTCCTTCCCACTCTCCTGTTTTGGAGTCTCCATGTCTATTTTTCCATCTGTATGTCCACGTGTAACCATTGTTTAAGCTCCCACTTATGAGAACATGGGAGTGAGAATCTGATGTTCTATTATTTCACTTAGGATAATGGCCTCAAGTTTTACCAGTGTTGCTGCAAAATACATGATTTCATGCTTTTTTATAACTGGGTAGTATTCCATGGTGTACATATCACATTTTCTTTATCCAATCATCCATTGATGGACATTTAAGTTGATTCTGTATCTTTGCTATTGTGAATAGTGCTGCAATCAACATACAAGTGTGGATATCTTTCTCGTATAATTTCTTTCCCTTTGGGTAGATACCCAGTAGTGGGAATGCTGGATCAAATGGTAGTTCTATTTTTTAGTTCTTTGAGAAATCTCCATACTGTTTTCCATAAAGGCTGTATTAATTTACATTCCTACCAGCAGTGTAAAAATGTTCATTTTTCTCCACGTGTTGTTTTCTGACTTTTTAACAGTAGCCATTCTGACTGATGAAAGATATCTCCTTGTGATTTTAATTTGCATTTCTCAGATGATTAATGATATCGAGCATTTTTTCATATGTTTGTGGACAACCCTGTAGTGTGTTTGAGAGTGGCTAGGGGAGTGGCAACAAGACCTCTGGCTGAGAGAAAACCATCCACCCTCCTCCTCCCCTGTTCCAATTCACCACTCACTGATCTGCTGAACAAGAGGACCCTCCTGCTTCTGCATCTTGCATTTCATGAAGTGCTCTGTCTCTCTGGTTTCCATATCCAGAAGAGATGAGCAAACTGACTAAAAGAAATTAGGGGGTTGGGGGTGGAACTGGTGAAAGCTCCTGGTGAAAGCTCCAGTCTTACCTAATGGGAAATGTTATTAAGAAGTCTATGGAGCCGGGCGCAGTGGCTCACACCTGTAATCCCAGCACTTTGGGAGGCCAAGGTGAGCAGATCACTTGAGGTCCAGAGTTCCAGACCAGCATGGCCAACATGGTGAAACCCTGTCTCTACTAAAAATGCAAAAATTAGGTGGGCATGGTGGCTGGCGCCTGTAATCCCAGCTACCTGGGAGGCAGAGGTTGCAGTGAGCCAAGATCGTGCCACTGCACTCCAACCTGGGCAACAGAGCAAGACTCCATCTCAAAAAAAAAAAAAAAAAAAAAGTCCATGAGTAAGGAAGGAGAAAAGACAGTGAGCATGTCCCAAGGAGAGGGTAAAGGAGTGCATTCTTAGCCTATGACAGCAGCAGAGATGAGATAATTCCCCTGATTGACTTTTTTCTTACTTAATGCTTATATTATATATTATACTCTGCCCTTTATTTGCTGTATTATCGGATTATCAAAACAACATGAGGATTACTATATATTTTTTACTGATGAGAAATTGTCTCAGAGAAGATAATAAATGGCCATAATGGAATTGTTGGGTTGAAAGAGTCTTCAGATACCATCAATCTTATTCTACTGTATAAATGTGGAAACTGATGCCCCAGAGAGAATAAAAGGTCTGCTGAAATCCAATGGGTAATTATTGGCAGACCAGACTAGAATTCAGGCTTTCTAACCTGTGGCACCCTATTCTTGCTAAGTGGCTATGAAGTAAAAGCTGCCCAAACAAGCTTTTCTTACTTGTCCTGGTGCCAAAACTATTCAGGACTGTGTTTTACAAGTTGGTCTTTCTATCATCTCAACTCTAACAGAAAGAGGGGACAGACGGCATCTAAAGAAGGGTTGTCAATAGTTGTTTAAGGTCTTATAAATCTGAAGTAAGTTATGACATAAAAGGCAATGTAAATCAACCAAATCATGCCTTAAATAATAAGAACTTTCAAGAACTCCCTCCCCACCTTGTTCAATTTCATCCCTCTAATGCTCACAAAATTCTGCTAAGTTTGGATACCCAGCAGACCAAGATTAATGAATAGACCGGATTACTTATAATTGACCTATTCATTGCTCCTATGCAGATGGTTCTACGAAGTATGTGAAAACAATTTGTTCTCTTAAATAGGTTATATATTCCCTACCCTCAATCTTGTTTACACTATTAATTTGCTTAGCAAACCCTTTTTTCCATATCTAGTACAAAGGTAAACTTCAGCCCAGCCAGAGGGTCTGAATTATTCCTACATTCCAAATTAGCAGGGTCCAGATTAATGAGGTTTAACTCTACTTTTTATCCTCAACTACCTTCCCTTGAGGCATAGATCCCTTGCTTTCCTCTCTCTCCTTCCCTATTATCATAAGCTATGTCCTCCAAGTGATACTTCCGTAAGGGGGCACCTGGTTACAGTCTCACCAGGGCTGTTCTGAAGGCACAATGCAAAGAAAGACAAGTGGCTGTGGGGCTGCAGGTTTCCTGTTACCTCATTCTTGGTTCAAATTCTTTCCAGTAAGTAGCTGTTGGATGGTGACAACTGGCTTCATTTTCTTTTACATATAATATTCTTTTTTTTTTTTTTTTTTTGAGACAGGGTATCACTCTGTCACCCAGGCTGGAGTGCAATGGCGCCATCTTGGTTCACTACAACCTCTGCCTCCCGGGTTGAAGCGATTCTCATGCCTCAGCCTCCCAAGTGGCTGGGATTACAGGCGCCTACCACCATGCCCAGCTAATTTTTGTATTTTTAGTAGAGACGGGATTTCACCATGTTGGCCAGGATGGTCTCGATCTCCTGAGCTCAGGTGATCTGCCCACCTCGGCCTCCCGAAGTGCTGGGATTACAGGCATGAGCCACCATGCCCAGACTACATATAATATTCTTTAAAGAACTTGAGCACCATGACACCATTAGCTGGGGAGGACTTCAAGGGACACCTTGTGGGCCATGAATTTAGTGAAAATTAGAACTCCAGCTCCAGGAGACAGTACACAGGCCTGTCTGGTTTATGATCAAACTGTGATCTTTGGTGCTAGATAGAGATATACATTGTAAATGTTATTTTTCATGCATGATTCATGAACACCACCACCTTCCTTCCAAAAATAAAATAACTGCAGGAAAGGCTCTGTCTCTCTCTCCCTTTCTCTCTCTCTCTCTCTCTCTCTCTCTCTCTCTCTCTCTCCCCTTCTCTGCCAACGTCATCTTTATGATGTGAAAATATCCATTTGGAGATTGGTGCAATCTGTGAAAACTAAAAGCAAAGAAATTATGTGTGTTTATCCAAGGTAAGTATGTAAGCACCAGGAACATAAGAACATGGACATGGTTGAGGATTAGCTGAAAGCCAGTTGCCGTATGCATGCTCATTTCCTCTTTTACTGCTTAATTCCCCCGTGATGCCATCTGATCAGTCCTCGAATGTCCCCTGTGTCTTTGCCTTAACAATCGAGTCTGGTAGGCCATTCCACACATTTGTGATTCTCTGCATGAAAAAAAATGCTTCCTGACATCTGTTCTGAATTTGTTTCTCTTTAATTTCCATTTATGCTCCCTTATCCTAACATCTGTGTCATTCTGAAAACAGTAACTCAGACTGACGTTATCTGTGCCATTTACAATTTTATATTCCCCAGCTAGAAGTTCCTCTTAACCATGTAGTGGATGTGGAATTCTGGTTGATGTTCAATCCAGCTAGTGGGGCTCAGCTGTGATTTCAGAGGGTTCAGCAGATGTGTCAGCCCTCAATCCTTTCTCAATATCTTTTTCAAAAGAGAAGCCAAGGGGGTCAAACCTGGCTAAACACAGTCTTTCGGCTGGGAACCTTTCTACTGAGGCCTCTTCCTGGCCCTTCAATACAGAGGTGTACTTCACTCTCAGTATCTTGAGGCTTACTCACTGCCTTTTTAATAGTCACTTTCCAGCAAGATCCTGGGATGTTTCATGCCCTCAAGGAATATTTGATGAATGAATGGATGAACAAAAGAAGGTAGGTAGGTGGGAGAAAGAATTGAAGGAGGGAAGGTTGGTTGTTTCTTAGAAAACAAATCAAGACAGAATCTAAAACTCAAAACTGATTCTAAATTAATCATGTCCTTCTGAAATTCACATGCTTGTTATAGTAGTTATTTGGATGATTAGAATTTCTCAGCTATCCTATAGTCCCCCTCTTCAGGTAAACCTCTCTCTAATGGGCTTGTCAAATTTATCCTGTGCCCAAGTCATTCTGTCATTCATATACATTCTAATCATTGCTATAGAAGGCCACTTTCGAGACAATGCCACATTTTTGGGCTTGTGGTTTCCATTTCTGCACCCCTGGTTTTCATTTCTTCCTCTAAGCTTAAAAGTGCACACATTTGAAATGTGTGCTGAGATTCAAGTGCTCCCCTTCAAGAGTTAAAGGGCCTTCAATTTTAGAAAACTAATACCGTGTTTCAATCAAGAAATGTTAGTTTGTTGCACGACTATTATGTGCCAGGCAGACTCTGTGCTACGTGCTTAGAATACAATGAGGAAAAACAGACACGGTCTCTGCCCTGATGGGATCAGTCTAGCAGATGAGGCAGAAGAAAAGCATAAAGAGCAAAGCAAAACAAATTATAACCTCTAATTGCGCATTGTGGTCAATGCTATGAAGGAGAGGAACAGGGGAGATCTGAGAGAGAATGAGAGACAGCTGTTTTTAGATTGAGTGGCCAAGGAGCAAGCACAAAATATAATCTCACAATAAATATGTAGCAAAAGTATCCATGGGCATCATGAGCAATGAGTTGCTCAAATGCAAAAGCCATGTGTCCATGGAGGAGAGATAGGGCAGAGAAGTTATTAGGCAACCTTAAACATCATGGCAGAGATAGATGCACCTGTACCAGTGTTCAAGGGAATGGAGAAGCAAGCTGAGATTCTGAAATTAAATCCTTTCTAAAACATTGCTAGCAAAGTTCAAAAAATAAAGATCTTGGAGAAGACTGGAGATGTCAGGAAAGGCTTTGAGAAAGAGAAGAAGAAATTTAGGTAAGGCTGAGAAGGATAAGAAGATGAAAAAGGTCCTGTCTCTCTTCTGGTCCAAGACACCACCATCTCTAGCTATGACCACAGCTCCAGCCTGCTACCTGCTATCCTATGCGAAGCCAGAATGAAGCTCCTACAATATAAATCTGGCAATGTCACCTCAATGCTTAAACTCTTCCGTGACCCCTACTGTCCTCAGGATGAAAGCTGAACTCCTTCATATAGTTCACAGAGACCCTCAGAATCTGGCCTCTGCACACTTATCCAGCCACATCTCTTGAAAGTCCCCACAACCCCCCTCTCCACACTAGATTATGTCCACTTACACCAGCTTCCTTCAGTTCCATGAACATATGATATGCTATTTGAAGATGCTGTTGCTTCTACCTGGGTTACTCTTTAGCCTTCTACTTGACTACCTACCTCCTGCTCCTCCTTCAGAGGCAAGTGATGAGATTACTGCTCTGGGAAGCATTCTCTGAGCCTCTGCCCAGGTTTGGATTGAGGTCCTTTGCATGTGTTCTAACAGCCATAGTTCCCTCATCATGCTTCATTATAACTGCCTGTAACAGATCTTAAGCTCTGTGAAGTCAAAGCCCACATGCGGCTTGTCCACACCAGCTCCCAAGAACTAGCACAGGTCTACTTAGAAACAAATAAAGAGTGAGTGCCAACTAAATTGTTGAATTACATTGCTGAACTGAAAGTATCTCTGGCCAGTGGAACTAGATCTTCCCCAGAAAGATGATATTGGCATCCCATTGGCTGATCACAAGCTTTATCATTGAAATCATCTCCATTTGGAGATAAGTCAGCCTCCCAGATGTAAAGATGGCCCAAACTAAAGAGCCTCCAAGAGATGAAGCCCAGAGTTCTATTCACATCCAGGAAGAAGTTTAAAGAAGGCAAGAAAATGGAGAAAGCAGGAAGGGGTCTTTAAGCACTTCCCCCAGTAATGCCAGCCTTCACATCAGAATGTCCGAGAAGAGCACAGCTGCCTTCCTTCCCCTCCCCCCAAGTTATGATGAACTCCCTGGGTCAGGATTCCATTTCTCTCTCTTGGAATTATTTATGGGGCACTGGGCTTAAATAAAGAATCCCCTCTTTTGGAGGAAACCATTGCATGTTCCCTCAAATTTTTTTTAAACATTTGGTGTATGGATCCTGTTTTTAACTAAGCTCCAGTCTGCAAGTAATAGGTGGGTTTTCTTTCATGGTTATATCATCCTAAAGCTTATTCAGATGTGATAACGTTTTGCTGCTGTATCTTGGCAACATGATTTATTCTGCAAATGCTCAGTGTTACCGTCTCACAAAGCTGTACCATCTGGGTTGAATTAATAGGCTACCCAGAGAAATAAATGAGAATGGTCTCACATAATTAACATGTAGGTAAAGTATATTTAACAGATTATTATAATTAATATGTCAGTTACTGATTTCATGCTAAATAGAATTGTGAACACAAGATATTAAGATTAGTTACCCTTTCTGTGTGTGCTTCAAACAAAATGCAATGGGGAAAAAATGAGGGCATGGAGTTCAGTATCAATAAAATTGACCTTAACATTAAGAACATCAGATACCAAAACTCTAAGCAAACAGTGACAATGTCAGACATTATAAGCTGGGAGCAGCAAATTACTGGTTTCATAAATTTAGGGTTTATACCAGAGATGTCCAGAATATCCCAGATGTGACCTGCAAAGGCAGAAGAATGTGCTTAATTTATACACAGCTGAAGGCGCCTATCTAAAGGAAGGGGGTGGTGGGGTGGGGGGAAGGGAGTGGAGGAATAAAGACAAAGAAAGAAACCAGATTTGCTCCTAATGCCAGCCTGAGTTCCCTGCTGCTCTCCACTGTATGCAAAATGCCAGTTTGAGTGAGAAAAACCACAAAGGAGACCTAGAGGCAATGGAAATTTAGGGGGCAAAGGCATCCAGGCTGAATCCTCAAGGGGAGTAGAGAGAGGGGGTTTGTGTTGTCAACTGGCATGGGCAAAGGACAAGGCAGTCGGGGTTGGGGAGACAAGAGAAGATGCTTCCCTGTCCTTTAACAGGTCTTTTGAGTCAAATTCGTCTATTAAGATTATTAAGTTTTTGTTTCTTTCAAAGCTTCTGGGAAAAGGAGAGATTCATCTTGGCAGAGATTCTCATGGGGATACTGAACCTAACTGTTAACTCACCCAGCCACACAAGCCACTCTTTTTAATCCAGGTTCTTCCAGCTTTCCTATGATAAGTGTGTATCTGTTTCACTCCACAGTGATCCAGCAATAAAATTTTTTACATGTGTGTTTGTGTATGCGTACATTTGTGTGTAATTAAAGCAAAAATAGGAATTTGTTTTCATCTCTCTGGGGTTCCCTAGTCAGGGAAGTATTTTTCTGGACAGTCCTGTGTTCCCTGCTCTCCACCACCACCCAGTGATCAGAAACTCTTTGGGAATTTGCTTATTTCCTCACTGACTTTGAGTCTCTAGGCTTGGATTTACATTATAATTCTGGTTACACAGGCTTGTCCATGTTGTCAGTTTCTCCAGGGGAAAATAGCAGAGGCTTCATTGGCCTCCACAGTGAGCCACATTTCTGGGGAAGCTTCTCTAGGGGATGTGCCTGGTCTCCCATCTCCACCCAGCAGAGAGCAGTGAGGAGCCTCTCGCCCAGTGTGTCTGCTTCCAGGGCTCCCTAATTGATGAACAAATGGATTCATGAATTCTCCAAGCTGAGCCTTCGTTAGGGAGTCCCTGAGGACAGAGTTCATCATGTCTCCAAAACAATCAGGCCATTCGAAAAATGGCAGATAGAGTCAGAAAGAATATATCTCCCAAGAACATATCAAGTTCAGCCTTGAGGAACAGGATGAAAAGAAGCTTCTCTATTGCTCTTTTTCTCAATAGTACAAAGAAGGAGGCAAATACTGTCTTATCCCAGAGGATGAGGGTGGTTATCAGAAAGAGGAGCCATCAGGTTAGCTCAAGAAAAAATGGGGATTTGTTGGAATGGTTGGAAGGCTCAGGGAATCCAAGAATAAGAAGTGCTCTGGATCTCTGGAGATAATTCTGACATAAAGGGAGATACTCGCTCCAGCTCTGTTTCTTTCAGAAGCTTCATGGTTTGCTTCCCTGCTTCTTTCCTTTTACCAGTTTAATTCTCGCTTTCTCTGCAGTGTGGTCCTCTCTGCTCCATCTCACCATGGGTTCCACCTTTGTAATGCTTTCCAATTAGGCTGCCCTAAAAAACCTGTCCTGGGTCATGACGTTACAAAATCAGCACCCCAAGAGAGGATCTGATTGACTGAGCCTGAATCAGGGCTTCAGTCCTGGTCCAATCAGCTGTGCTGGGAGTAAAGTGGTCACATAGTTCACTCAGCCGGGGTGGAGGAAACAACGCTACAGGAGGGAGGAGAAGGAGATGGAGGCAAAATGATTAACAGCATTTGATTTATTTTTTTATCCCAGTGTCCTGCCAACTCTCTGCTGCAGTTTTTAAGGAAGTTTTGTCGTCACCCAGCTTGGGTTGATTCGTTCTGGCTTCTAAAATACCTTTTCAAATCTACTTTTCATTTAAAGTGTTTCCCAGACATAAAACCAGACGTGTACAGGAGAAGAGAATATACCTAACTGGCATGTTTTAGAGTCACCACGAGAGAAGGGTCGCCGTATGTGTTTTTGGTGACCTCTGGTATCTCTAACTCTGGCCACAGTGCTTGGCTCATAGTAAAGGCTCAAAAAATAGTTGTTAAAGGAATGAACCAATTAATGAGATTTTGTCAAAGGCTGTAAGCCTTCAGCCTCTCCATTTCAGGCAACCATTCTTCTGGATCCCATGTACTCTTAACAGACAGTGGTTTCAGACTTTGGCTGTGGGTATCGCTGAGGATACAACCAGTCACTGCTTGTTGGGCAGTGGCTCCCAAGCCCCAGCTGATGTCTGCAGGTAGCCAGCATGTGTTCAGAGGGCAGATGTGCACGGCTTGGGAAGCTGGCTCCAAATCTGCCACAATAAACCTAAGCCCTGGACCGCTCAAGGGAAGACGGGACTCAGAGGAGCTCTTGAATATAAAGGAGGCTCCAGCGGGAGTGTGACAACCAGTACAACCAAGAAGGCACGTTGTCTCCGTGCCCAAATGATCCTAAGCACAGGAAAAACAGACAAACTTAACAAGCTCTAGGATATTTCACTGGAATCCCTTTAATGGTGCTAAAAATGGTCTTTCATGCATTTACTTTAAAATAGAGAAGTGTGCTAGCCCCTGCAATTCTACTTCTAGAGATCTGTTTTATAGAAATATTTAGCCTTGTGGCAAAGATATATACACAAGTGTATTCACTGCAGCAGAATTTAAAATAATAGTTTTTTTTTTAAATGGAGGCAACTGAAATGTCCATCAGTCAGGGAATGACAATACTAAATACATATGCTCATATTTGTGGATTAAATGTAGTTATCAAAAGCGCAATAGTAGATCTATATGTACCCTGACATGGAAAGATGCCAAAATATGATTCTATTTTTGTTTTAAAATAAACTGTATAAGCAATGTGACTATAGTTAGCAATACTGTATTGTATACTTGAGATTTACTGAGAGTAGATCTTAAGTGTTGTCACAAGGAAAGAAGAAAGAAAGAAAGAAAGAAAGAAAAAGAAAGAAAGAAAGAAAGAAAGAAAGAAAGAAAGAAGGAGAAAGAAAGAGAAAGAAAGAAAGAGAAAGAAAGAAAGAAAGAAAGAAAGAAAGAAAGAAAGAAAGAAAAAGAAAGAAAGGGAAAGACAGAAAAAGAAAGAAAAAGGAAAGAAAGAAAGAAAGAAAAAATTGAAGAGAAGAGAAAGGAAGGAAGGAATGAAGGAAGGAAGGAAATGGTAATTATGTGAGGTACTGGATATGTTAATTAATTTTATTATGGTGATTATTTTACAATGTATATGTATATCAAAACATCAAGTTACACACTTTCAGTATATACAATTTTTACTTGTCAATAATACCTCAATAAAACTGGAAAAAGTAAAAGAAACTCTTTACACATGTTGTAAGAAGACTGTATAAATCCATGGACACAGTTTGGCAGATTATACACCCAAGTTTAAAACTAATCCATAGCAGAAGCCACTGAGGGGAATTTTCATGCTGCTCCTACTCACTGCTCTCTATTTCTGTGTCAAGTTTTTATAAGCATGTTTTTCTTTTGTAATTTTCAAAAATTTGACAAAGTAAAGAAAATGAAAAAATAAAATAATAATTTACTAACCATGATTCCCATATAAAGAACCTGAGTCTCAGATACTAATTTACTGTAAATCACTTGCCTGTTTTGAGATTGGCACAATCTAATACCATGTGACTTACAAGAAGCAATGGGTTTACACTACATCGTGATGGATTTAAGTTAGATGTAAGGATCCAAATTATTATGGACTGGTAGTCACTGTGATCCATTAGTAATTTCTAAAGTCACTAAAGTGATTTAGAATGTGGTCTCTTGTGTCTTCTAGACTGAGATTTAAATTTTACTCACTTATAAGCTGGGTGACCTTGAGCAAGATACCTAACTTTTTCATCTTTTAAATTATTCATTTGTAAAGTTAGGATAATGATAACATCTACCCAATAGGGTCATTGTAAAAATATAGGTAAATACTACATGTTAAGTGTAGTGGCTGAGACCTGGTGAGTACTCAAAAATCTTAGCCAGCATATTTGTAGCATCCATGAGAGACCCTGTAAGATGTAAAAAGCAAGTCACCTGTCCAGGTTCCTACTGTATAACCTGGAATCCCCAAGGGGCCCATGGCTGGCTTTCTGCAATTCAGAGAATCACCTAAAATTACGTGGAAAACTTGGTGGGAAAAGGCATGTGTAAATCTCTCTAGGGAGAAGAATACAGCCTCCTCACATCCTTAAAGGTACTCAGAAGGCCAAGGATCCCTGATGGGAGGCCACTTCTCTCTAGAAACACAGCCTCCAGCTGAAACTCACCAGCTGCCATACCCAGCTTTTCAGGGCCACTCTTTGTCTCTGCTGGGGATCCTATGGCCACACTATTTACCTAGAGCTGAGCCGGCCCTGGGCTGCCCTACCATCAATCTCACTAAGTTAGAATAAATCTAATCTAACAACAAGTTGATAAATCCATAAATACCTTTTGTCACAGAATTGACCAGTTGGCTGAATTCACCAGCTGGACCACTGAATTAATCAGGACTATTTCAATTTCAGGTAACGGAAAGCCAGCTCATTCTCAATGGAAAAGAATAGAATCTAATCATGCAAACAAGTCCAGGAGGGCTTCTAATTTCAAGCAGGGCTTTATTCAGGTGCTCCAACAATATCATCAGGAATCTGTCTCTGTCTCTCATCTCTGCTTTACTCTGAGTGGGCATCAATCTCAGGTGATCAGGTCACAGTGATGAATTTCGGCAGTGCTAAGCTAGCCACCCCAGCAAAAGAGGAGCTTCCCTTTCTCAGGAGTTCCAGCCAAGGGTCAAAATTCACACCATCATCCCACTTTGGACATTGCCTCACCTTGGAACCAATTTCGATGGCCAAGGAAGGAGGTGGATGGCTCTGATTGGTTAGCCCAGAGCCCAGCCTTAGGGGCTGGGGATGGAGTCCCCCACACAGAACCTCATGGAATAAGAGTGGTTGAAGGATGATGGTTACTCAGAGTAAATTAGGGTGCTGTTACCCAAAGAAAGGAGAATAGTAAATCAGGATGCTGTTACCCAAAGAAAGGAGAATAGTAAATCAGGGTGCTGTTACCCAAAGAAAGGAGAATAGGTGTTGAACTGGACGGCTGTCTGCTAACCTGTTATTACTCTTCTCAAAGACACAACCTCTGCATTGTTTTAGCCAAAACACAATAGCCAAGTCTTTTCTGATAAAAACAGTCCAGTCTGAACCTGATTCTGCAGACCCAAGCCACAAGTCCAGGCAGAAAACTTCCAAATCAAGGGATGGCCGCAGACTTCTCCAACAGATAAGCCGTGCAGACACGGCTTCTGCTACTTAACGTCCTCTAGGTAGCTCTCCACTGTGATTTGCAAGGCTCATATTAGCCTGTCAGAAGGGAAGGATTAACATGTATTTTGATTTCTGTTGAAAACACGTTGTTTCAGAAATAAAGTTGGCATGGCAGGCATCTTGGTTGATTTAATCTCTGACACAGGAAGTTTATTTATAGCATCACAGTCCTCTGAATGTTTAAAAACTCAAGCATTATAAGCCTGCTGTGCTTTTCCTGCGAAGTATGGAACGGCACTAAATGAATAATGCCACCAGAGCCAGCAGCAGAGCCAGGATCCAGAATCAAACACCGCTTTCATCTGCTCCTGATAGGTGTGAACTCCCCTCTGCCGGGGCTTGGATCCCTCCTGCAGGATGGGTTTCCTGGGCTCCCAGTCTGCATCTTAGCTCTCCAACCCCCTTTCCCAATCTGCCCTCTTTCTCTTTTTGAACTCTCTTCTGGATGGCCAGAGAAGTTCTAAATCAGATGAGCTTCCCTGCACGGCATCTTCCACCGAGATAACCCTTTCTCACGACAGTCCTATTCCATTCAACATGTGTCAAGAATATTGTTGAGAAATGGCGTGAAAGCAGTCTAAGCCGCCCTCCTCATTTTCCAGGTCAGATCGAGTCTCAAACAACACATTTTCCCCCAATAACTAACTCTTACTAAAAATAGATATTGACGGTAAGGATGTGGGGTAATTTAGGCATTTAAGACTGCCTTCCTGTCGCGGAAAAATTGATTATACTCAAGTTGAAAAGGTAAGTTGCTCTGGGTGTATGTGAAAGAGCTACCCGGGAAGGGGGAATGGGTGGAGGGGGGATGAACAGAGATTGGTCGATGCTTGCAAACATACAGTTGGATAAAAGGAATAAGTTCTCATGTTTGATAACAGAGTAGGGTGACTATGGTTAAGAACAATATGTTGTATTTTTCAAAATTGCCAGAAGAGAGGAAATGTTACCAACACATAGAAAAGATAAATACTCAGGTGATAGATACCCTAAATGCCCTAACTTGATCATCACACATTCTATGCATGTAGCAAAATTTCACATGTATCCCATAAATATATACAAATATATCGTATCCAAAAAAATTAAATAAAGAACCAGACAATGACGTCCTTTTAAGCAGAGGATCCCAAATGATGGCTGCAAGCTTAAATATTTTATATTAATTTACAAGAAAGAACCAACAGCCTCAACACTATAATCTGAAAGCAGTGTACTTTTACAGGTCAAAGGATCAGGTAAATCTTTTTTCTTGAATTTTAATGTCAGAGGCTATGGTTTTGACGTTTAGACACAAAACAGATGGCATGCACTTTAAATCAAGCTGACGCCACCTCATTCTAGAACCTGGCAACAAAGAAATTTCATCCCAGCATTTTTCTGTAAGAAAAAGAATGGAAAACAGACAGAAATTTGCTCTCCCTTCCTAAGCATACGCTTCATTACAGGGAAGTTCTCATCAAGGGAAGGAAGATCTCAGAACCAGATCAGGGATCTCTGGAAGAGGCATGTGACAAGCCTGTGAGTTACTAATGTTGGATTTTATGATGATGTCCACTCAAAAATCAGAACAAGAGTTATTTTGGAGATAAATATTGACCTGACAACCAAAAACTGTACCACTGTGATGAGCGGACATAGGATAATACCTTGATCCTGGAGTTAAAACTGAGTTTGAATTCCAAATGCACCAATTACATGACTATGAGCAACTTATTCTTTCTCATTAAGCCTCAGCTTCCTTATCTGTGTAATGGCAATAATATCTACTTCATAAGGCTCTCATAAAAATTAAATGAGATAAACTGAATATTAAATAAGAGTTCTCGGCCGGGCGCAGTGGCTCACATCCGTAATCCCAGCACTTTGGGAGGCCGAGGCAGGTGGATCACCTGAGGCCAGGAGCTCGAGAACAGCCTGGCCAACATGGTGAAACCTCGTCTCTACTGAAAATACAAAAATTAGCCGGGCTTGGTGGCAGATGCCTGTAATCCCAGCTACCCGGGAGGCTAAGGCAGGAGAATCGCTTGAACCTGGGAGGCGGAGGTTGCAGTAAGCCGAGACGGCGCCATTGCACTCCAGCCTGGGTGACAAGTGTGAAACTCCATCTCAAAAACAAAACAAAACAACAACAAAAGAGTTATTTGTATTACTAAAACTCTAAAAGCCAAAGACAAGACAGCAGAGGCCAAATTGCCCCAGTAGGACATACAAAAAAAAAAGATTGTTTTTGACTCGTAGTCATCAATAACTTTGTGGGAAGGCAAGAAGTTTGATGGACAAGGCCAGTATTGATTGAGGATTTAAAAAGAAATTTCTGGGGCACCCTGACAGATGTTCTGTTGTCACCAAAGCTCGAGCTCCCAAGGGCGTCGTCCCCTGGATCCTCATCCTCTACTTGGAGGTAATTACCTGCTGTGCCCCATCCACCCAAAACCGCTGTGCTCCATGGAAATACTGTTTGTCTTCAGCAAACACCCCCATGTCTTCCATTTCTTCCCTGAACATCTCCTTCAAAGTGACAAAGATTTTTCTTATGACAACAATTCTCTCCTTGCGACAAATGTTCTCTTCTTGATCAAACTTTAGTCAGGCTTCCAACTAGATCCCACCCTTAAGCATATCCCCCAAGAGCTCAATTTTAGCAAGAATCCTGCGGAGTCAGTTTAGCCAGAACCCCCTCCCCTCAATATCTGATCACTCTCTATATCTGTTCAGGTTTCTCATCCTCCATCATCGTCCAGGTGATGTCTGGCCTGCCTTCAGCAGGAAGCCAGTTAGGCAGATTTGGCCAGAATCCCCCATTTACCCTTGAAGTTTCGTTATAGTAATTTTCATCCATCAACACCCACCTCACCCTACCCCTCTTGACTATGAATTTCCACTTTTCCTTGTTGTATTTGAAGGTGAGCCTGATCTCTTTCACTTACTACAAAATCCCAATTGTAGGAGGCCCCTGGAATAAAGTCTTTCGTAGCATATTTAACAAGTATAACGAATAATTTTTTTCTTTAACACTTGTCTTTAGCAAATCCTGGTTATCCTTGAGTGTCGTAAGTTGGGTTCCCTGCAGGCAGATGCTGAAATGGAATTTGGTGTGCAGGATATTTATCAGGGATCACAACCCCCGTGTCAGAGGTGGGAAGAGGCAGAAATGGACAGAAGGAGACGCTGAGCATGCCTTCTGTGTCTTCGAGAGAAGCAGCTCTCCTGCAGCCCTGCAGAAACCAATTGCTGGGGGTGATCTACTGACAGCACCTCCTGCAGCAAGGCAACAAGTCTTTCCTTGGTGGGGGATGTAGGTGGCACTTCTCTGTGTTCACCACCCCAGGCACCCCCAATTATCCTGCAGCCACTCAGGTGGGGCTTTGCTTTTTCTTCTCACACTGTGCATACTTCAAGGCCTGAAGTGGTGGCCAGTGTGATCCTTGTGTGTCTCTTGGCCTCTTTCATTCCAATCCTTCTCCTTCCTCCAAGGGCACCAGTGCGATGAAGCTCATGCTGTCATGATCTGATCGTCAGCCAACCCTCCTTAAGTCATTTATAGATCCACAGCCACCCCTAAACACCCAGCCCCCAGCTAACTCCCTCCATCACTGATGACTCCAACAGGGTTTACTGTCTTCCTCCCCTCCACATCCTGTACCTTTCTTGGTAACTTCCACATCCACTGGGTATGACTTCACTATCCATTAACTTGGCCTCTCGGTTGCTCCATCTCCTCACTTCCAATTGTATCGTTGGACATGGAGCTCAAGCCAGCCTGCCTTTTGCACCTCACCCTATGTTCATTCTTTTATACCTTCTGTTGTTATTGTTAACACCCTACTTGCTACCTTCCCCCCGACCTTACTGAATACAAGCTCCATGAGAGCAAGGCCCTTTTCTGTGCAGTTCACTGCCTCAACCCCATTAGAATGTGCTTGCCACACACTAGGCATTCTCAATATATGTGTTGAATGAATGAATGAATCACACTCAGCTCTTCTTCTTGGGGTAATGAGAAGAACTGACATGAAATATAAAGTGAATTGTCTTTTCCCCCCGAGTGAATTGATGTTAGTTAATGATCTGGCTTCTTAAAGCCCTCCTGTAGGCCCACACTCCACATGCTGGAAAACACTGATCTGAGTCAACCCTTTCCTCCCTGCAGTACAGACACTGAGACCAGAGCAGGGCAGGGACCTGTGTGCGGTCAGGAAAGGAGGCCTCAGCTGAGCCACGGTGAGCCTGCAGGTGTCCTGACTCCCTGTTCAGCCATCTCCAGAGCCCACTGTCTGCTGCCTCTTATTGTCAAGACAACGGCCATTTCACCAAGTGATGTTGCAAAAAGAGCTGGTCTTGTGAAGGGCTGGCCTCAAATTCTGGCTTTGCTCCTTATCAGTTGAGTGGCTCTGGGCAGCTGTCCACCCTCAAAAATGAGGACGTTAACCCCTCCTCTCTGCAGTGTTGGGAAGCTTAACAGATTATGAGTCTCCAGCAGCACTGACATGTCACTGATACTCAATCAATGTATTGAGGTATTCATTCTACATTTAATTAATTTTAGTGAGCTGCCTTATAGGTGTTGGGTGCTACCCAGGCCCCACTCATTCAGCTCATGGACTAGTTCAAAGGATGGGATGACAGTGAGGCTGGGGAAGTTTGGGTCACATTTGGATAATGAAGACACTTTGCATTTGCTCAATCAATGGAAGGCAAGCAGATAAAGTGCTGAGTACGAAGAGGAATCATAGAAAAGTCCTCCACTGTTGGGGTTGGGGGAGCGCTTACCAAATTTACACATGTCCTAGACTCATGAGACACTCCCACCTGTAAGAGAGAAAGCTTAAGAGAGAAAATAAAGAGAAAGGAAAGGAAAAGGAGGACGCTGAAACTCTGTGGCTGTGGCCATTGGGGGATGGCACAGAACACATAATAGTGGTGAAGTTTTTCAGAGAACAAGTTTGGAAGTTGACCGATTCAGGTTCAAATCCTGGCTCTACAACATTCTCACCATGTGATACTTCAGGTGACAAAGTAGTTCTCTCTCAGAGCTTTGGGTTTCCCACATCTAGAATAAGGATCCTGTAGGACTTTGCTTGTAAACTTGCTGTGAGAAATAAAATGATGCATGAAAATCATCTAGTGCTGGTCCTGGAACAGTAAACGCCAATAAACACTTGTTCTTGTTGTTGATGATTATTGTCATTGGAATACCACTTTCTTTCATCAAGCTCAGGTTGGGGACAGAGTCAGTCACAGACTTGTCAGCAAGTCAGTTCTCCGCTCCAGACACTTGAAATCCTCCTCTTCTTCCTCTCCTTCACTGCTCACCCTCTTACTCAAATCACTGATAGACTCTGGTTTTGTTTTGTTTCGTTGTTTTTTAAGAGACAGAGTCTCACTCTGCTCCCCAGGCTGGAATGCAGTAGTGCAACAATAGCTCATTGCAGTCTTGAACTCCCAGGCTCAAATGATTTTCCCGCCTCAGCCTCCTGTCACCTGAGTAGCTGGGACTACAGGTTTGCGCCACCATGCCTGGCTAATTTTTTTATTGTTGTTGTAGAGACAGTGTCTCACTATGTTGCCCAGCCTGGCCTTGAACTTCCAGCCTACAGTGATCCTCCTGCCTTGGCCTCCCAAAGCATAGACCGTGGCTTTAATGATCTCTAAAAAAGGACACAGTGTTTTGGTCACTGAGCTGGACCAGGAATCAAAGATTAGAAAGGGAGTCCTGGCTCTTTTGCTTATTGGACATCGAGGCTCAGGCAAACACATTTTCTCTCTGATCCTCAGTTTCCTCCTCCGCAGAATGAAGGTAACGATCATCCTTGGGAGGAAGTGATGTGTGTCCCTAACAGAACAAAGGCTCTGGAGTCACACAGATCTTGTTTGTGGCTCTGATGAGCAGCACCCTGATGACCTTGGGAAATGGGCACCTTTTTCCATACCTCAGTTTTCTCATCTGTAAAACAGAAATAATGGTAACTCTCTCTCAGGTAATTGTGAAGATTAATTGAGCTAGCTAACATTTTTTGAATACTTATTATATGCCAGATGTGCTTCTAAGAGCTTTACAAGTGTAAAGGCATTTACATATGAGAAACTGAGGCCAAGAGAGTTTAAGTGACTTGCCCAAGGTCACCCAGCTAGGGTTCAACTCCCAACCATCTGGATCCAGAGCCTGAGTGCACATTCTCTTGCTGGCTTCCATGGTGCCTGCCAGGCCCTTAGGACAGTGTCTAGCACATAATACACATTCAATAAACCATGGCTGTTATTAGTACTTCACAGTTTCTGTGAAGGTAAATGAAAGATATACTTTAAAATACTAGGAAAATTGTAGATAGAATATAAACAGAGGTCAGCAATGCAAATAATAGAATTATACTCAGGACACTTGAGAGACAAGGTTTCACCATGTTGGTCAGACTGGTCTCAAACTCCTGACCTCGTGATCTGCCCACCTCGGCCTCCCAAAATGCTGGGATTACAGGCGTGAGCCACTGCGCCCAGCCTCATGTGTGTATTTTGATTTTTGTTTTTTTGGTTTTTGTTTTTGAGACAGGGTCTCTGTCTGTGACCCAGGCTGGAGTGCAGTGGCACAATCATGGCTTGCTGCAGCCTTGACCTCCTGGGCTCAAGCGATCCTCCTGCCTCAACCTCTCTAGTAACTGGGACCATAGGCGCATGCTACCATGCTTGGCTGATTTTTAAATTTTTTGTAGAGAAGAGAGGTGGGGGTTCTCCCTATGTTGCCGAGGCTGGTCTCAAACTCCTGGGCTCAAGTGATCCTCCCACTACAGCCTTCCAATAAAGCATGTATTTTAAATAAAGTTCCTTGACACTCAGAATGTAAGAAGTAATACAATGAAAAAATATATATATTAACTTGGGAGTCAGAATAAAACAACAGCTAAGACAATTGCCTCCTCCTGAGTGTTTGTCCTATGATTGGAAGTAGCTAAGTGTCTGGTGTGTATAATATCACTCACTCTTCACACCAAGCCTGTGCAATAAGATTATTCCCATTTTGTAGATGAAGAGGCTCAAAGAGGTTAAGTAACATTCTTAAGGCCACACAGCTGAATAGCCAGAGAACCAGAACTCAAGCCCAGATCGGAAGCTCCTGCTCCTAACCCCTTCCTCTGGCTACCTCCAAGTTCTGAAGACAGCTTTGCTCCTTCCCAGCGAAGCAGGCAGAGTAATTCAAGTTCTTGCTCTAGCTCAAGGTAATTTTAAGAGAAAGCAAGTACTAATGGACTAATGGACGTCTTTGTCAACACCAAAGCACTCCCTGTTATCATTTTCCCTTCCTTTGTTCCCATCACTTTATTTCTTTCCAACTTAAAAGGGCAGGCCTGTGCCTCTCAACACACACACATACACACACACAGATATATACACACACACACAACCTTCAGTGTTGTTTGACAAGCAGAGGTGGTTGAAAACAATGGAACAGAGAGTAAATCAATATGTAGATAGGTGGGTTTTTGTGTGTTTTTTTTTTTTTTTCCAAGCTTGCACTTCAAAGTCGCTTTGGCCAATTGTCAAAATGTCCACTGTGGGTTTTCTCTTCCCTTTTCTCTCCTGCCTCCTTCTCAGCTTCCTCACATTTCATGGTGTGCACTCTGTTTGTGTTGGCCCTGCTACTGAGGAGGGAGAAATCCATCGGTTTCATTAGCTCTTTGAAAAACGAGGTGGGACCGTGTTGTAGAGGTGATGAGGTCACCAAGAGTCATTTATCATTTTCGATGAGGCATAATGAACTCCTCGAAGCTGAACTCTAATTTAATTGTCTTCTACTTAATTGAGAAGAAGGAAGCCAGTTCCAAGGTTCTGACTGAAGGTGTTTTTATTGAAACATAGACAGTTCTTATTTGTAACTCTGTAGGTGACAGAAAAACTGCTTCTGGTTAAACTGTCTCACTTTCTTTCATTCAACACAGTCTTTATTTTGTGCCTCATGGAGTCTAGATTTTTTTCTCCAAACTGATTAACTCCTTTCAAGAAATGGGACCACTGTTCACCAACTTGCTCAGACCAAAAAGGAAGGAGTCAACCTTAATTCCTTGAACCCCAAAGCCTCATCAGTGAATCCATCAGCAGATCACATCAGCTCCACGAAAGCTGACTGTTTCTTACCACCCCTGGAGATACCCCCTGATATGGTTTGGCTGTGCCCCCACCCACATCTCATCTTGAATCGTAGCTCCCATAATCCCCACATGTCGTGGGAGGGACCCAGTGGAAGGTAATTGAATCATGGGGTTAGCTCTTTCCCCTGTTGTTCTCATAATAGTAATAAGTCTCATGAGATCTGATGTTTTCATAAAGGGCAGTTCCCCTGCACATGCTCTCTTGTCTGCCACCTTATAAGACGTGCCTTTGCTCCTCTTTTGCCTTCTGCCATGATTGTGGGACCTCCCCAGCCATGTAGAACTGTGAGTCCGTTAAACCTCTTTTTCTTTATAACTTACCCAGTCTCGGGTATGTTTTTATTACCAGCATGAGAACAGACAAATACACCACCCTTGGTTCAAGCCACCGCCATCATTCATCTGAATACCTACCAAGCCTTGCCAATGTTCTCTTTGCTTCTACTCTTTACCCCTCCAAAGTTCTTTGTCCATCCAGCAGGCCAAGGATAGAAAATCACAATCAGATGATACCACTTGAATTATTTATTGCTGCAGAACAAATTACTCCAAAATTTAGCAGCTTAAGACAAAAAAAAAATAGTATCTCACATAGTTTCTGAAGACCAGGAACTTGAGTAGCTTAGTTAGGTGGTTCTGATTTCAGGTGTCTCCTGAGGTTGCAGTCAAAATGTTAGCTGAAGCTGCAATCATTTGAAGCCTCAACTGAGGCAGGAAGATCCATTTCCAAGGTGGCTCACTCACACGACTGTTGGCAGGAGGCCTGAGTTCCTCACCAAACAGACCCCTTCTAAAGCTGCTTGAATGTCTTCATGGCACAGCAACTGTCTTCTTCCAGAATGAATGAATGAGAGAGAGCAAGACAGAAGCCCAGCATCTTTTACAGCTTCGCCTCCGAAGTCACTTGCTGCTTTTTCCACAATAGTCTGTTAATTACAGGTTAGTCTTATTCAATGTGGGAGAGTCTGAATAATAGGAAGCAAAGATTCTTGGCGGCCACCTTGAACACTGGCTATCAGATGACTCCTTTGCTAAAACCTTCCAATGGCTTCTTACTGAAATTGGAATAAAATTCCAACTCATTGTTAAGGTTTAACAAGCCTGGTGCAATCTGAGCTCTGCTTACCTCCCCAAATTCACTAAGCTCCAGCTGGTGTGGCCTTCCTTCTATGCCTCAAGCGTAGTCTTCCCTCCTCAGGGCCTTCTCACTTGTAGTTCCCTCTGTCTGGAATGTTATTCTTCCAGACTTTCACATGGCTGATTCTCTGTCACTCAGGTCTAGAGGCAAGTGTCACCTCCTGAGAAGCCTTCCCATCAACCCTATCTACAGGAATCATCCTCCCTTTCCCATTCCCCACACTGAGGGTTCGATAAGGAAATTAACAAAATGTCTTATAATGCAATGACATATAATAACTACCTGTCAAATTTGGTTGAAAACTTATCCTTTTCTAATAATTTAATTGGAATGTACTCTTTTTTATTTTGAAATAGGGTTTCACTCCCATTGCCCAGGTTGGAGTGCAATGGCACAATCTTGGCTCACTGCAACATCCACCTACTGGGTGCAAGTGACTCTCCTGCCTCAGCCTACTGAGTAGCTGGGACTAGAGACACCTGCCACCACACCCAGCTAACTTTTGTATTTTTTGTAGAGATAGGGTTTCACCATGTTGCCCAGGCTTGTCTCAAACTCCTGAGCTCAAGTGATCTGCCCACCTCAGCCTCCCAAATTGCTGGGATTACAACCATGAGCCACCACACCTGGCCTGGAATGTGTTTCTTTAGGTAGAGATCATATGCTCGGGTAACCTCCCCTATACCTACTTACCACTTACTGTGCCCGGCAATGCATCAGGTACTAGGCTAAGCACTTCATAAAGTGCATCTCAGGCAATTCTCACAACAGAAATCTCTATGAATAGAAAGTCCTGTAGCCACTTCACAAATGAAGGAACTGAGGCTTACCTAGAATTCTACAACAATTAAAACATAAGCCGGAATTCAAACCCTGCTTTAACTGCAACGTCTGAACTCTTAACACTACATTATACTACCTTTTTAATTTTTTTTAACTTTTATTTTAGGTTCAGGGGTACATGTGTAGGTTTGTTATATAAGTAAACTGTGTGTTACGGGGGCTTGGTGTGCAAATTATTTCATCACCCAGGTAATAAGCATAGTACTTGATAGGTAGTTTTTGGATCCTTACCCTCCTCCCACCCTCCATGCTCAAGTAGGCCCCGGTGTCTGTTGTTTTCCTCTTTGTGTCCATGTATACTTAATGTTTAGCTACCATTTATAAGTAAGAATATATGGTATTTGAATTTCTATTCCTGTGTTAATTTTCTTAGGATAATGACCTCCAGTTCCATCCATGTTGCTGCAAAGGACATGATCTCATTCTTTTTATGGCTGCATAGTATCCCATGGTGTATATGAACCACATTTTCTTTATCCAATCCATTATTGATGGGCATTTAGGTTGGTTCCATGTCTTTGCTGTTGTGAATAGTGTTGCAATGAACATACACATGCATGTGTGTTTAGGGCAAAACAATTTATATTCCTTTAGTTATATACCCAATAATGCAATTGCTGGGTTGAATAGTAGCTGTGGTTTGAAAATCACCAAGCTGCTTTCCATATTGGTTCAACTAATTTGCATTCTTACCAGAATATACTACCTTCTTTAATGTTTACAAAGGCATTGTTGGTAGTCTATAGAAATCCAGTGCATTTATTTAAATAATATTAATATATGAGTATTTCTTATCTTAACAAACAATACTAATTCAACACCTGCTATGCATCTAGCACTGCAGTAGTTGCTATGGGGATCCTGAAAAGCGTGACACCATTCTAGCCCTCCAGAAGCTTGCAATTATATGTTGGCTTGAGAGGCTAACCAAAACCAAGTAATTTCCCCAATACTGTATTTAGAGAAAAGAGAACATCATTGACATTGGTAGATCAGGGTGGGGAGGGGCATTTGAGGTCAGAGAGGAAATAGAGTTTGAATCAAGCTTTAAAGAATAAGCAGAATTTTACAGCCGCAGAGGGAAGGAAGGAGGTATTGTAAGCAGAAGAAATGGCACCTGCGAACATGAGGCAGAAAAAGTCAGAAAATAGTGAGATAACCAGTTTGAATGAAACTGAGGCCATATGCATGAATGCAAATGGTGTAAAAACATAAAATATAAAAAGAAAATGGTGTATGACGTAATTAACTGATTTACATGGAAGGTGTCAATAAATATTTGTTGAGTGAGACATGATAAGAACTAGTCCTGTTCCCAAGGAAATACAACTGGATAATTATCCTTCTACCCTATCTGCCTGCTTTTAAGTAACCTAAATGTAAAATCAAGAAAATTGAGTAGTCATATGTTTTCAATCAACCATGTGTTTTGGATCATATAAATAAGGTATCCAGGTACTTTAGAATTTTCTTTTTTAGCATAGTTCAAGAGAACTAAATCCCTCCTACATGCTCAAAACTATGAACAGAGTCCAACAGAGCTGGTTTCTAAACCTGGCTCAGCCATTTACTGGTTGAATGACCTAACCAAGGTAAATAGCTTTTCTAAGCTCACCTGTAAAATATGGACAATAGTCCCATTTTTACTGGGCATCTGTGGGGATTACTTTAGATAATATCCATGTTTTATAGGATTTATTTTATAGATTTATCTCCCTAACCTTGACCTTTCATTCTCTAAGGTAGATTGTCAGATTGAGATAGGAGGGAGGGAAGGGCAACCTCATAAACCGCATTGTGGTAGCATCAGTGATTTTGGCAGCCCAGAGTACCAGAATAGCCTCCTTTCCTGGGCTCTGCTCCACACCCCTATTCTTTTTTTTTTTTTTTTTTTTTTTTTTTTTGCTTCCTGAGATAAAGTCTCACTCTGTCATCCAAGCTGGAGTGCAGTGGCATGATCGTGGCTCACTGCAACCTCTGCCCGCCGCCAGGATTCAAGTGATTCTCTCACCTCAGCCTCCTGAATAGCTGGGATTACAGGCACATGCCTGACTAATTTTTGTATTTTTAGTAGAGAGAGGGTTTCACCATGTTGGCCAGGCTGGTCTTGAACTCCTAACCTCAAGTGATCCACCTACCTCAGCCTCCCAAAGTGCTGAGATTACAAGCGTGAGCCACTGTGCCTGGCCCCTATTCAAATCATGTTACAGATCCCACCTTCCTGGGCAGAATTATTGTGGGTGGAGCTTATCTTAAACTAAGTTAGGCCAATGACAGGGCCCAATCTCTTTGCCATTGCCACCATACCAGAGACAAACCCCTGACACAAAATGGGCCAATCAAAGCTCTTCCTTAGAATTTTTGAACCTAAAACCATGGAGACTGATAGTTTCACATCCTCTCCTCTGATAGCCCCTCTCCTATGGAAGTAGTTTGACAATAAAGAAAATCCGAATTTTCATGTCGAGGTAGCAGCAAAGACTAAGAGAGACCACCCAAGAAGCATTTTGGTTCCTAGTTCCATCTATGCCAAGGATCCAGCTACCCTGCCTCCCTCATGTATAATCTCATAAACTTCCCCTTCTGCCTAAACAGATTTGAGTTGGATTTTTGTCACTCAAAACCTAAAGTGCCCAACACCAAAAAGAATAAAGAAATGAATTTGTCATGTTTGAAGAACAATGAAAAGACCAACTTCTCTGGAATAACAGATTTATTTTAAGGAATTGTTAGATCAGAGCTGAATTAGGAAGGGTGTGAATACCAGGCAATGGGGAGTTACTGAGGCTTTTGAGCATGAAACAACATGGTGAAAGCAGTCACTTAGAAAGAGTAAGGAGAGGCAATCTATGATGAATAACAGAAGGTAGAGCTAGAAGCAGGAAGACCATTTGGGAGGCTGTTGACATGGAACAGGGTAGATATCATTACACCAAACTTCAGTTAGCAATGGGGAGTCAGGGGGCTTCACCTGTTGACACATGAGCACTGAAGGAACCTCCCGGACCTTCAGCATTCCACTTGACAATGGCTTCATTAGGAAAAGCTCTATCCACAGTCACACCAATAACTAGATGTGTAATTAACTTGCTTTCCCACACCATCCCCCTAAGGGGTGGCAGTAAGGATGGCTGAAAATATAAGGACTCAATATCATAGTAAATGTTTTCACTGATGTGTCTTTCTCCAATGGGTGCCACACTGACAGCATGGCTAAATGAGGCTTAATTTGACAATCCCAACAATCCATTGTTAATGATGTGCCATCATTGTGATTTGCATTTGGTAAATGCAATTTTTTGGCTGTTTCCCCTTGCTGCCTCCTCTGGGTTCCTGGACCCCTGTGTTCTTTGGCGGGCAAGTTTCCTTTTCAACATCACAAATACCATCTCTGCTATTGGGACACAACAGTTAAATAATGTGAAATTGCACTGATGCCAGTGAAATAAAAGTGAGTTTTACAAAACCAAGTTCCTTCCCTGAACATAATAACAGTAAATTTCTAGGGTCCTATAGTGTAATATCCATTAGATTTATTATGTTGCAATTCCCAGTCCCACTAGTTCTGCCTGAGGGTGAGTATATTACATTTCATCACAGTTTCATTTTCTCCTACAGATGAGAAATGGGAATGCGATTGCAGTTATGTAGCATGCATGTGTTAAATCTGATCTCTAATAAAATCAAACACATCACAACTCAAAGCACTTTAGCACAGTGTCGGCAAAATGAAACACCATCTGTCATCATGTAGAGATTGCCTTATTATAAAACAAAATCAAACTGCTCAGTGTGAACATTGTTACTTAATAAATGGGTAAATGAAAACTGATAATTATGATCTTATTTATTTTAAATGATTACTTAAAGCCTCCAAAAGCACAACATAATTTGTCAATTAGACACTCTGGACCTCATAACAGCGTATAGAGCAAACACCCCTCAGAAAAAATGGTAAACAGACTTGAAAGAAACAAAGCGGGGGGATTAAGAGGAACTTTTAAACTGCCAGAAGTGCAGATGAGGAAGAGAGCTCGAGGCTTGAGAAATCATGGTCAGTTCTGATTCAATGTTTGCAGCTTTGACACCAAAATTACCCAATATTTTCACTTGGAAAGAAATCAACAGTTTCCAGTGTGCTGGAAGATGCAGTGACAGGCTGGAGGCACCAAGGAAAGCTGGTGGCACTGCCTAGGTCCCTGTGAGGTACACCTCAAGCCGGGACATTGCTTCCAACTCTTGAGGGCAGGTTTTTGACTTGGTTTTAGTCTTTCATTTAAACAGAACACCATTCATCTAGAGTTAGTCCTTTCTGAAAATGGATATTAAAGTAGATAGAAAATACACTATTTGGGAGAGAGGAGTGCAAAAGTTGAAGCAAAGATAAAGGCAGTGACTATTGTGAGTCCACCATAAGATGGAGGAGTGCTTTGCTCTTTCCTGGGGGAAAAAAAATGGAAACATTGAAATCAGTGATTCCCAACCTTTTTGACACCAGGGACCAGTTTTATGAAAGACAGTTTTTTCACAGACCAGGGAGGGGCAGGGGAGATGGTTTCAGGATGATTCAAGCCTATTACATTTATTGTGCACTTTATTTCTATTACTATTACATTGTGATATATAATGAAATACTTATATGACTCACCATAATGTAGAATCAGTGGCAGCCCTGAGCTTGTTTTCCTGCAACTAGACATCCCATCTGGGGGCAATGGGAGATAGGGACAGATCATCAGGCATTAGATTCTCATAAGGAGCAAACAACCTAGATCTTTCGCATGTTCACAGTAGGGTTCACGCTCCTATGAGAATATAATGCCACCGCTGATCTGACAGGAGGCAGAGCTGAGGCAGGTGGTAATGTGAGTGATGAGGAATGGCTATAAATACAGATGAACCTTTGCTCACCTGCCACTCACCTCCTGCTTTGTGGTCCAGTACCAGTCCGTGGCCCAGGAGTTCAGGACCCCCGATCTCAATGACCCACTGTAATGTCTCTTGCTAATGCTTTCACCTATAATACTAGTTATCTGCCCTCATGAAATCACAATTATGCCTGTGATCTTACAAGACATGTCAAGAGTTTTCAAGCTGAAAAAGCTGTAAAGATGCTTCCTGTCTTCATGGTAAGTGTTTCATGTGGGTGTAATACACAGGGATTAACAATCCTAGGCTCTTCTTTTGCCATGATACCCAGTTTTTCAGTCTTGCAAATACTGCATATTTTCTTAGTCCCCAAGAAACTAATGGAAGAGTTTACACATTTTTCCTAGGTGTCCCAGACCTCCCCCTAAGATGTGGATATCATATATTAAATGGCAGAAAAATAAATTGAGTCTGAAAAAAATATAGTATACTGTCATCTTCCCACACACCTCCTTCAACACCATAAAGGGTGCTTTTGTGGAGGGGTTGTCTCCATCTCAAATGATTTAGTTATCTAATTTCAAGAACACTTTATTACAAGGCAGTTTCACCTGTAATATTCAATTTGATTAGGTAAATATTTTTGGAGCTCTTGCTGTATTTAAATCAAAGAAGTCATTTATATAAATAAGCAGTTTGTGTTTGCATGTAATTTGCAGTCTAGTTACAGGGAGAAAACTTGTAACAAGGATTAGAATTTGTGGTAATAAAGGAAAAGTTAGAGTAAAAAAAAAACACACTTTTATAGGAGTTTAAAGATGGGAAAGAGCATATCCAGTTGAGGTGATGGGGAAAGGCTCCCAAAGGAGAGGGCATCTCCGATGGCCTTTGAAGGACTTGGTTAAGGATGATGTGACAGGATAGGTGTAGTAGGCAGAATTCCAAGACAACCCTGGGGTAAAATAAAGAATTTGTCTGGTCTTTGTCCTGGGTTTTAGGCTTAGAGTTCTTAAAAGCCTTGGGATTTCCTGAGTGAGGGGAATGTCTTTGCTATGCTAATGAAGTGACTCATTGTGGGCCACTAGATAGCTTCAGAATGGGGTCTGGTCACCAGAAAGACCAACCACAGGCTGAGCGTGATACGCTTGTAATCCCAGCACTTTGGGAGGCCGAGGCGGGTAGATCACGAGATCAGGAGATCAAGATCATCCTGGCTAACACACTGAAACCCCGTCTCTACCAAAAATACAAAAAATTAGCCAGGCATGGTGGCCAGCACCTGTAGCCTCAGCTACTTGGGAGGCTGAGGCAGAAGAATGGCGTGAGCATGGGAGGCGGAGTTTGCAGTGCACCAGTGCACTCCAGCGTGGGAGACAGAGCAAGATTCCGTCTTAAAAAAAAAAAAAAAAAAAAAAAGACCAACTACATGATTAGAGGGTTGGAATTTTGGACCTCCAGAGAGGAGAGAGGGAATGGAGACTGAGTTCAATTACATGCCCAATGACTTATGTAATCAATCATGAACACATAATGAAACTCCAGTAAAAACTCTGGACACCAAGGATGGTTGGAAATTTGTGGTTGGTGACCATTTGGATGTGCCTGGAGAGTGATGAACCTTTGACTCCATGAGGACAAGTGTGTAGAAGCTCTATGTTCCCTATAGCCCCCACTCTACGCATCTTTTATAATAAAACTATAATCATAAGTATTGCTTTTCTGAGTTTTGTGTCATCGTAGTGAATTATCAAACTTGAGAAGGTTATAGGAACCCACAAATTTATAGCCAGTCAATCAGAAGGGTGGCCTTGGATCTCACTTGCATCTAAAGTGGGGTCAGTCCTATGGAGGGCTTTGTCCTCAACTTGCAGAGATTCTCTTCAGTGGGCCTGACCAAGTCAGGTGATCCATTAAAAGGAGTAGGGCTCTTCCTAGCAAGACAACTGGAAGCATCAGAAGGATTCAACAGGAGAAACATTATCCATTGCTGGCTTTGAATACTGAGTGGGCCATACAGCAAGGAATATGCCAGCCTCTAGGAGAGTGGAGCCGTGGCTGACAGCTAAGGAAATAGGTACCTCAGTCCTGCAACCTCAAGAGACTGAATTCTGCCACAACCATATGAACTTGGAAGAGGATCCTGATCTCAAGATGAGAGCCTGGCTGACACTTTGACAAGCTTTCACCTCAACCTTGTGAAACTCTGAGAACCAATCCATGCTACACCCAGACTTCTGAGCTACAGAACTGAGGTCATAAACAGGTTTTTCTTTAAGCTATTAAGTTTGTAGAAATTTGTTTCACAGCAGTAGGAAACTGATAAAGAGGACCTGGTGATGAATGTCATGAACCATATCATCATCCTGTGTGGCCATACTGAGAGGTGACAGTGTACTGGCAGCCTTGGCAGCCCTGGCTCACTCTCAGCACCACCTCAGCCTCGGCGCCCACTCTGGCCACACTTGAGGAGCCCTTCAGCCGGCCACTGCACTGTGGGAGTCCCTCTCTGGGTTGGCCAAGGCCGGAGCCGGCTCCCTCTGCTTGCAGGGAGGTGTGGAGGGAGAGGCACAGGAGGGAACGGAGGCTGCGCACGCTGCTCGCTGGCCAGCACGAGTGCCAGGTGGGCATGGGCTCAGCGGGCCCGCACTCTGAGCAGCCAGCTGGCACTGCCAGCTGAGGGACTTAGCACCCGGGCCAGCAGCTGCAGAGGGTGCACCAGTTCCCCGAGCAGTGACGGCCCACCAACACCGCACTCAAATTCTCGCCAGGCCTCAGCTGCCTCCCCATGGGGCAGGGCTCGGACCTGCAGCCAGTCATGCCTGAGCCTCCACATCATGCCGTGGGCTCCTGCGTGGCCCAAGCCTCCCCGACGAGAGCCGCCCCCTGCTCCATGGCACCCGGTCTCATCAACTGCCCAAGGGCTGAGGAGTGCAGGTGCATGGTGCAGAACTGGCAGGCAGCTCCACCTGCCACCCTGGTGCAGGATCTGCTAGGTGAAGCCAGCTGGGCTCCTGAGTCTAGTGGGGACTTGGAGAACTTTTATGTCTAGCTAAGGGATTGTAGATACACCAACCAGCACTCTGTGTCTAGCTCAAGGTTTGTAAACGCACCAATCAGTGCTCTGTGTCTATCTAATCTAGTGGGTACTTGGAGAACTTCTGTGTCTAGCTCAGGGATTGTAAATGCACCAATCATCACCCTGTCAAAATGGACCAATCAGCTATCTGTAAAACAGACCAATCAGCTCTCTGTAAAATGGACCAATCAGCAGGATGTGGGTGGGGCCAGATAAGGGAATAAAAGCAGACTGCCGGAGCCAGCAGTGGCAACCCCCTCGGGTCCCCTTCCACAGTGTGGAAGGTTTGTTCTTTTGCTCTTTGCAATAAATCTTGCTGCTGCTCACTCTTTGGGTCCACACTGCCTTTATGAGCTGTAACACCAAGAAGGTCTGCAGCTTCACTCCTGAGGCCATCGAGACCACGAACCCACCGCGAGGAATGAACAACTCCAGATGTGCCACCTTAAGAGCTGTAACACTAACTGCCAAGGTCTGCAGCTTCACTCCTGAAGCCAGCGAGACCATGAGCCCACCAGAAGGAAGAAACTCTGCACACGTCTGAACATCAGAAGGAACAAACTCTGGACACACCACCTTTAGAACTCTAACACTCACCGCGAGGGTCTGCGGCTTCATTCCTGAAGTCGGACCCCGAACCCACCAATTTTGGACACAATACTTTTTGTCCACCCAGCTTCTCTGGTTATTTAGGAGCTTCCCCACATTACTGCCTGCATCACTCTAATCCTCGTGGTCATCATGGGAGTAGCCATTTTGGACATGTGACCTGCCCCTGGACACAGCTGATTGGTTAAAAAGTGAGATCTGCATGGACCAATTAAAGCTCTTCTCTGGACCTCTTAGACTTGAGACCCAGAGGGTGGCTGAAATGATAAGATGCAAAATTCAGGCATTAGCAGTGACCATGTATTCCACTATGTAGGAGAAGCTCTTGCTGTGAGTGAAAATAATGAAGTTAACACCCAAAAAGAAACTAGGACAAGAAATGTTGCAGCTGTTTTTGAGCCCCTGATTCCAGTTGTTTCACAGGCCCAAACACAATCTACCTGTAGGTTTTGAGAGACACTCAACTATATTTTACAATACATTCCTTTTTTGCGTCTGCCAAATCAAGTTGGGTTTCTGTCTGCTGTAGGGAAAACAGTCCTAACTAATACAATCATAGTTGTTAAAATGCATGGTCTTCATGCCTGTAATCTCAGCACTTTGGGAGGCTGAGGTGGGTAGATCACCTGAGGTCAGGAGTTCGAGACCAGCCTGGCCAACAATGTGAAACCCTGTCTCTCCTAAAAAAACAAAAAAATTAGTTGGGCGTGGGGGCAGGCGCCTGTAATCCCAGCTACTCAGGAGGCTGAGGCACGAAAATTACTTGAACTGGGGAGGCAGAGGTTAAGTCAGCTAAGATCGCACCACTGCACTCCAGTCTGGGTGACAGACCGAGACACTGTCTAAAAGTAATTTTTAAAAAAGCATGGTCTTCTGATTTCTGTTAGGCCTAACTTCTGCCTTTCCTAGGGCACTGTTCCTCCTCCAGGGAATATTTTCAGGAGCACTCCACAGGCAGTACACCAGATTCCCCAGACACTAATTTAAAGAAGGCCTTTACTTTTGTCTTTTAGGCCTTTCAACAGGATGCCAAAATTATTGATTCAGTCGATTGATTCAGCAAACAACTTGTTAATTAGGTTAAAAAGTAAGAATTTAGCCAAAGCTGATGCGTCAAACTGGCATGGCAGATAAACTTCCAACATGTGGTTGAAAGAAAAATTTGCCTGAGTTAGGACACATCCATGGCTTCCTAGGATGAAAAGTGGAGGAACATCATCATTCCAGACACTGTTCTTCCTCCACATTTCCCTGCTTCATCCAAAACACTGATGCAGCCACTTCTCCGGGACTCTCTCCAGTAAGTAGGGGCATTCGCCAGCATCCCCATTTCGTACACGATCATGTCTACCAAAGCCCAGAAGAAATTCAAGACAATTTTAGAGAGTCAAAGAAAACACTGGGCATTTGAAGCCTTCTATCGGTTTTTTCACGTGAAAATCAAATGGCAGTGCAGCAAAAATGAAAGGATGAATGTAATAGGACTCTTTCTGTTGTAATTAAGTGAAAAACGAAACTCAAACTGCCTTCAGGAAAAGGTTAGAAAAAGGAATTCAAGTAACTGGAAATCTGGAAGGTTTGGTTCCCTTAAGTCATAGCTACCCAAACCCCAGGCTTCAGCTGGGCTTTAGGACGTAGTTCCTCCCTCTCCTCCTTTCCTGGCTGTGGTTTTCTCTGTGCTGGCTTTCCTCTTGCTCTGGCTCTCTTCATGTGGTGACCCCATACAGGTCCAGATTAATACCTTTAGAACTCTAAATCTGGCAGAGAGATTCTCTTTTTCTCCAAATGCTCCACAAAAGTGCACACCTCCAAAACCGCTAGATGAATTTGGGCCACATGTCCATCCCAAATCCCTGAGGCCAGGGGTGGACTGGGTTAGCTGACTTAGGCCTGAGTCTTATGGCAATTTCTGGAACAGGGGCTGGGGTCAGTTTTTCTACAAGGACTGAGGTCTGAGGTGAGAGGCGTAGTGCCCCCCAAAAAAATCAGTGGTTACCAAAAGTAAAAATAACTTCTAGGTCGGCAAAACAACAAGCGTCTACTACCATAGCCTTGCCTGGTTCTGGCCCCATACTAGAGTCACTTGACCTACAACTGTCAGCAAAATTGGCCAAAGTGCTGACTTCAGGCATAGGGCATTTAAGGAGCTACATCTATTATCCCAAAATTCAGCCTCAAGCCCCTCCTGCTGGTTATGCTGCTCTGGCCCCGTTGTATATCCCAGGATCCTGTTCTTGTTCCCAAGGTCTTTTTGTTTTGGCCAACTGCCTTGTGTATGTCCATTTGCTAATTTTGTCCTAGAGGCTGGCTTGGAACCTCAGTCCCATATCTGACCACATGTGAACAGACTTCAATGATGTGAGCATATGTTCCTGAATTCTCAGCCACCATGCTCCGCTTGCCTATTGCCTGTTCCCAAACCTATCCCTAATCCAGATTACCACCTGTCCACCACAAGCTAAGATCTGCTTGCTGGGAAGGATTTTGCTCAATTACTTATAGCTCTGTCTGACATTTTAAATGCTTGTCTGACTTTTTAAATGCTTGTCTGTAGGGGACATTTTTATATTTGCAGCCCTCCCCCTTTTCATAGAACCCTAATTTTCCTCCTGGGAACCCTTCCTGTGCCAATTCTTAGCTTGTTTGCCCCCAGATCCACTCCTCACCTTTCCTTTGCCTTATTTTACATTTCAGGAGAGCTGAATTTTCCTCCAAGCTGCATTTCCCAGGCTCCCGTGTTAGCTGGTTTTCTGAGTGGATTAAGCTAATGAAGGGTAATGGCAGGAGACTGGAACACAGAGGAAGACAGAAGCTGGGGTATTTCTCCCCTTTCCTTTCTGCCTTGAGTGATGTCTCTAGCATCTTCTCCATGCTGTCAGCTCCTGCTAGACAAGCTCTGCTGCAGCTCCTGTTTCCACCGGGTAGACCTAGCCCCTGGATTCCAGAAACACTGTCTCCATCCTCCCTTTATCCCACCAGCAAGTGGAGGTAGCAATATCCTGCTGCTGTTAATCTCAAGGTTATTCCACCATCCCCTCTTGGCTTCTCTATCCCACCATCACCTGTGTGACCAATTTCTTACATTAAACTACCTCTGTTTTAAAGACTCAAAGTGGTTTCAGTACTCCTGGTTGAACCTGACCGATACGACCCTTTTCTCCATTCTCAGCCCATCCGCTACAAGGGAAGTTGACTCCACCTGCAGCTGCAATAGTGGGCATGTGACTTACACTCGGCCAATCAGAACATCTTACACCCCTGGCTGTGGTGACTGGTTCAGGAATTTGCACATAGCACAATCAGCTCCACTGGTAACCACCACCAGGATACTGGGTGTGTTGGGAGAGAGACAGATTCTTCTTTTTCTGGTCTTGTATCTGTAAAGATGCAAACCTGGAAGTACTGGCACCCATCTTGCTGCCTCATGGAGAGAGCCCTGCCTGAGAATGAAGTCAACGTACATGGTAGCAGAGTTGAGAGGCAGAAGGAAGAAAACTGGGTCTTCATAATATCTAGAGTCTGATACCTTGAGCCACTGGCATCTGAAGACAAAAAGAACTACCTTAATGAGGGTAAGAGTAGATCTATCTATCTTCTTAAATATCTGAGATCTTCTTAAATATCTGAAAAGTTCAGTCAAAGCTAGATGCAGGGGCTCAAATAATGTGATCAAGGCAACGTATCCCCACCCCCACCCCACCCTTTTCTTGGCTTTCATTGGCTTGGTTTGACTTATGAGCACAACTCTAAACCTCTGTGACTAAGGATATATTATACTTCATTGCTCTGTCCTTGTCATGGGTCTACCCATAAGAGGACTGGAGAAGAAGGTGTCAGCCCTACCCAAACCACATGGAGAGTCTGGGTAGAAGTGATTCCTGAAAGTGTTTGAAGTACTCTTACCAAAAGAAGAGGGAAGGGGGGCTAATGAGGCAGTAAGAGTCCCTGACCTAGTCCAATACTTTCAGCTGGTAGACAGGAAAACTGAATACTGGAAAAAGGACATGGCTTGTCCCAGGCCACAAAGCTCAAAACCACTTGTGTCATGTGTAGTATCATGGTAGCTGGAGACCTTGTTAGCTGCTTTCCATGAACATTCACCTGAAGCACCCTCTGGGATATTTAAAGAAGACCCAAAATGTTCCCAAACTCTCTCAGTTCACAGCATCCTTGGAATCTCACTGATTGTTCATGATGTCTGTAGGGAATCTCAGTCATTGTTCATGGCGTCTGGAGGCCAAAGCAATATGTAAAAGGTCTATCTATTTAGTAGTTAGGTCCAATCAACTGCATATTTATATAATAAGAACTTAGCAATCATTTGAAAAAATAATAGAAATAAATTTGTATTTCATTCTTTAATACCCACACAACATGTATTTATTTATTTATTTATTTAATTTTTTTTTTTTTTTTTTTGAGGCAGGGTCTGGCTCTGTCACCCAGGCTGAAGTGCAATGGCATCATCATGACTCACTGCAGCCTCAACTTCCCAGACTCAAGCAATCCTTCCACCTTAGCCTCCCAAGTAGCTAGGGCTACAGGCATGCACCACCATGCCCAGCCAATTTTTGTACATTTTGTGGAGACGGGTTCTCACTATGTTGCCAAGGTTGGTCTCAAATTTCTGGCCTAAGCAATCCTCCCACCTTGATCTCCCAAAGTGTGGGATTATAGTCATGATTACTGCTCCTGGTCCCACACTACTTATTAATGGGAAGCAGGCATTCACTGGACTTGGCACTCAAACTTTGGAATCAGATTAGATATCAACATCCTTATTTCCTATTACACATTAATGTTCACACACTGCTTGTTTTTGATCACAACAGTTATTTTGGGGGAAAAATTTCATGAAGATAAGACATCACAGAAAGGAATGTAGCATCCTCTAATATTAACTATCTCAAGCTAGCTGTCTATACAGTGTCCAACAGATGCTATCACTGGTTTCCTTCAAAAATGTTGAAAGATCCCATGGTGCCCCCTGTGAGTTAGCTGTGGTGCCCTGGTGTGCCTTAACACACAGTTTAGGAACTGCAGCCTTAAGATAAAAGCCCATGGACTTCCCTACCCCGCTTTATCCTACCTATAGGGTGATAATCAGTGACCTTGAGCAGCAGAAGGGAGCTATGGGGAAGAATGAAGATGCTGCTACCAATTGGCCAGATTTGGAGAAATCCCAATGCCATCTGAGCAGAGGAGACATCCTCCCTGAGACCCTTGTTTGTCCAAGAAAAAGCAAAATGCCACCCCCAATTCTAAGGAATTAGGGTAACCACTGTTGGCCTCTTTCTAAAGACAATGGGCCCAGATGTCTGCTGCCCTCAAGGACCATTTGTGGTGCTATTTATTGCACTTTAGATATTTGTTTCTCCCTGATTTATTAATAGTTTATATTTCATTTTGCATCTCTGGCCTATAATTGCATTGCAAACAAAGCACTTGGATTATAAATTTCTTCAGAAATTGAAGCAAAGTCCCATTTAAAAATTTTACATCTTTTACCTAAAATAAAAACTGACGCTGCTTATTTTCCCTCCACTGTGATCACTGACCTGGAAGTACAAAGACCTGTGCTTTCAACCTGGCCGTGCCGTTCCCTTGCTATTGGATGCTTGCTGACATACAGCCCCACCAGACCCCATTTTTCTTATTTGTTAAAAAAAATAGCAAGCTGAGGAAAGACGTTGAGATTTTACCAACCAGTAAAATTTTTCATGCTTTGGAGATCAACCTATGATTGCCTATGTGCAATTTTGCCAAAAGCATACAAAAAGCAACTACAATCTACTATCACCATTATTTTACAAAGATTATTTTAATAAATGGTGCTGGGAAAACTGGATATCCATATGCAGAAGAATGAAACCAGACTCCTGTCTCTCATCCTATGCAAAAATCAAATCAAAATGGGTTAAAGACTTAAATATAAGGCCTTAAATAATGAAACTACTAAAAAAAAAATCTTAAACAATGAAACCACTAAAAGAAAACATTGGGGAAACTCTCCAGGACACCAGAAGGGACAAAGATTTCTTGAGCAATGCCCCACAGGCTCAGGCAACCAAAGCAAACGTGGACAAATTGGGATGGCATCGAGTTTAAAAGTTTCTGTACAGCAAATGAAATGATCAACAAGGTGAAGAGACAACCCACAAAAAGGGAGAAAATATTCGCAAACTACCCATCTGACAAGGGGTTAAAAACCACAGCTATAAGGAGCTCAAACAACTTTATAGGAAAAAAATCTAATAACTTGATTAAAAATTGAACAAAAGATCTGAATAGACATTTCTCAAAAGAAGACACACAAATTGCAAACAGGCATATGAAAAGGTGCTCAACATCAGAGAAATGCAAAACTACAATGAGATATCATCTCACCCCAGTTAAAATGGCTTTTATCCAAAAGTCAGGCAATCCTATTCACAATAGCAAAGATGTGGAATTAAACTAAATGTCCATCAAAGATAAACTGGATTAAGAAAATATGGTACATACACCATGGAATACTATGCAGCCATAAAAAAGAACTCGATCATGTCCTTTGCAGGGACATGGATGGAGCTGGAGGCCATTATCCTTAGCAAACTAATGCAGGAATTGAAAACCAGATGCCACATGGCCTTACTTATAGGTGGGATGTAAATGGATGAGAACACATGGACACATACAGGGGAATAACACATTGGGGCCTATTGGAGGGTGAGGGTGGGAGAAGGGAGAGGATCAGGAAAAATAACTAATGGGTACTAGGCTTAATACCTGGGTGATGAACTAATCTGTACAACAAATCCCCATGACATAAGTTTACCTATATAACAAACCTGCACGTGTACCCTTGAACTTAAAGTTAAAACAGAAAAGAAAAGAAAAAAAGAGCAAAAATCAGGCCATCATAAATGCTGGTGAGGATGTGCAGAAAAGAGATCCCTCATCCACTGTTGGCAGGAATGTAAATTAGTACAACTACTAGGTAGAACAATTTGGAGGTTCCTCAAAAAACTAAAAATAAAGCTACCATATGATCCAGCAATCCCACTGTTAGGTATAAACACAAAAGAAAATAAATCAGTATATCGAACAGGTATCTGCACCCTCATGTTTACTGCAGCACTATTCACAATAGCCAAGATTTGGAAGCAACCAAAATGTCCATCAACAGGTAAATGAAAAAAGAAAATGTAGTACGTATACATAATGGAGTACTATTCAGCCACTAAAAAGAATGAGATCCTATTATTTGCAAAAGTATGCATGGAACTAGAGGTTATTATGTTAAGTGAAATAAAGCCAGGAACAGAAAGACAAACATCACATGTTCTCACTTATCCTTGGGAGCTAAAAATTAAAACAACTGAACTTATGGAGACAGAGGGTAGAGGACATAGGAGGGTACCAGAGGCTGGGAAGGGTATTCGGGGTTGGGCGAGGGTGGTGGGGGAGTGGTAAATGGGCACAAAAAATAGTCAGAAAGAATGAATAAGACCTAGTATTTGCTAGCACAACAGGGTCCCCATAGTATAAAATAATTTAATTATACATTTTAAAATAACTAAGAGTATAATTGGTTTATTAGAAACACAAAGGATAAATGCTTGAGGAGATGATCACTCCATTTACCCTATTGTCATTATTGTACATTGTATGCCTATATCAAAATATCTCATGTATGTAACCTATAAACATATACACCTACTATGTACCCACAAAAATTAAAAATTAAATTAAATTAAATCAAAAATAAAGGTCATTTTACTGTCAAAATGCAGAAAGAAAATATCCCAAAGAATCTCCCTTTTATTTCCTTACTTTAACAGAAAAACTCATTGTTGTCATTTTTTCCATTTTGCTTCAGACTGGTGAAAACCTCATCATAATTAGCACAAATTACAAAGGAACATTTGCATGATTGTAGCATCCCTCTCAGCCCTGACTTTGCAGATGTATTCACCACAGTGACTTAACTTTATGAGCCTCAGTATCTTCATCTGAAAAATGGGCACAGTAAAACCTGCTCTCTTTACTTCTCAAGGTGATTATGAGTGTGAAATGAAAAAGTGGACGTGACGGTGCTTTGGAAAAAAAAGAAAAGAAAGAAAGAAAGATGAAGGTATCACCCCAAGTGGTATCTTCTGGACCCTTTACATTGTACCTAGAATCAAGGCTACAATTATGAATCTCCAACTTTTTCTCTAACTCTCCAGCCTTGACTGGTTTAATTTAGGCCCTGAACATTAGTTTAACAAAGTGCTTTCATGTTTATTATATTGGATTAGCAAATTATAAGCTATCATATGAGGCTTTTGAGAACACCCAGACAAATGGCTTGCACGCAGGGAACCCTCATATACTCGCCATATGGGCTTCATTTATTAAAGCTTTGGACCGTGAGCTTGGGGAGAGCCAACCTCTTTACAGAGAGACTCCTGAGGATTGGTTGCTAGGAAGCTACAAAAGCTAGTGTTTTTAATGAGATTTAAAGTATCATAAATTATATATTATTTTCTGCACTTAGGACATTCACAGCTCTTTGGTTTATTTTGTATTTCATTTCGCATTGGTGACACATAATCCCTTTACATACAAAATGCCTTGCATAAGAATTCCCTCAGAAATCAGACCAAAATTACATTTCAAAATTATTTTTTTCTCCCTAAAATAAAAGTTCACATTGCTTTGTCTCCTCCTGCATGTCCAAGGCAGGCAATGGCTAAGAATTTATTTTCTCCAGCTTAAAAAAAAACTTAATCCCAGCCTTTCCCAGTGATAATTACTCCAGTGAATACTGTGAGTTGAGTCTGGAGCTGCTGTTAATAAGAATTCTCATAATTCCATTTTCTGATGAGAGTTAATGTGGGTTCTGTGGGTTTAATTCCACAGATAATTACGGAGGCAGTATTTAAAAAGCCTGTTTAGTCAGTACCCTTCCTCAACTCCCTTCAGTTTTCAACATTAAATAAAGAGGCAGCCATTCCACAAAAGAAATTCAAAAACTATTTGGTTTAACTGCCCATCTTTAAGAAGGCGAGTCATTATGCAAATGCAGTGCCCAGAATTGGCTCGTGGAGGCTGCTCCATCCAATCTGCATAATAAAAAGCAGCCGCTGGCCAGGCACAGAGAGCCACAGGCACATTTCTGCTGAAAGTGGCCACCGATAAGACAAATTAAGACGGTGGTTTTCGATTAAGAAATTGTTTTGATCAGAGATCCTTTTTGAAATGAGATTCTAACATCTTTGGAAAACAACGGTGCCTGAGCAGCACACGTCCTCTTTTTTGCTTCTCTTTGTAACTTCTCTTCCTCTTTCTTGTGCTTGTCACTCATGGCCCAAAGTGTGTTTTAGAGGCATTAGGCTGCTTTCAGGAACATCTCAGCCATTTCATTTAATAGGCTCTATTTTCCACTTTTAACAAAAATCAAGTGCTCTAACAAGGTGCAATTAATCAATTCTAGCAAAAGTTGTACGGACATTTATAAGTCGCAATGCGGAGAAATCGTGAGGCAACAATGTGTACAGGCTTATCAATGATTGTATACAAAACTACAGGGCCCATGCCTTCTTTAAATGTTGAAAGTCAGCTTTGTCTTTCCTTAACACTAGCTGATTTACCAAACTCTCCCCCATTGCCTTCCTAAGAGCTCTACGGGCTTCAGGTTTCTGATCTCCACTTCTGATTGCTTGATATGTGGATTGAGTTTACCCCTCGCTTGGCTCATAGCTGACCAATCAAAAATCCAGGCCTCACTCAGCATCCAGGTCCCACATTCATTCTCCCCTGCTCCGTACCAAAACGCCTTTTCCAATCGCATATTGTTTCAATGGGCTGCGTTGAAGCGGGACTGTTCGTAGACTTGTCAACTTATGAACTATGTCCTTTAGCTGTAATTTCAAGAAAGCCACGAGAGGATGGAAGGATGACATGGGTTAGCTGGAACAGGTGGCAAAGTGGAAAAAATAAGAACTTGCTGGTAGACTGTAAAGAGCACTCGAAAGGGGGAAATGGAAAGTCTGAAAAAAATACTCATACACCAGAATCATTATAGAGGCTACATGTGAGCTTCAATCGTTGATTTATATTATCTTTTTTGGCCTCTTGTCTTTTCTGCATTTCCAACAATGATCATGCATTATAATTATATTATTTTAAAGTTTTTTTTTTTTTTTAAGCATGTCCCAATTTCACTTTTAGTATGGCGGAGTGAAACCATCCAGGTCTGTCTGTCTGCATGACCTTGGACACATTCTACCCTTTTGGACTTCCGTTTTCTGATTTGTAAATAAAGAAGCTGATTCTGAAATCTCTTTTAAGGCTCATATGTTGAGTCATCTAAGAATATCTGTTTCATCCTAGGGATAAAACAAGAATAAGAAAACATAAGGATAAGGAAGCAAAATAAATCTTAATCCTACAACTAACTCAGCAATACTAAAGCTTTTAGAGGGCTTGGAGATCTTCCAAAATCTTCTTGTGTAAGAATTATTTGAAAGAAATATTCCACTGAGTAGGAAAATGACAGGGAATTTCTGTTCTATCTCAGTGCCTTAGATGAGAAGTAGGTGGCACCAGGGTGGCAAGCTGGAGGGGTGCAGAGTGAATATTAGAACTTCGATGGCTTAGATCCATCCAGAGCCTTTTCTACCAAATTATGTACTACCTTGAATTTGTGATGTTTTCCTATTGGATCCTTAAGTAGAATGATCATTGATTGGCATTTGCCTGGGATCATCCAGAAGTATAGCTGCTGACCCAGTGTAATTCCTCATAGCATCTCTTTTGCTCTTGAACATGTCCTGAATTAGACAACTACTTTTATGGTCATATCACCCACCCCTTAACCCAGTCCTTGCCCCTCTTTCAGCTTCACAACATTTCACCTTGCAACACAGCTTGACCCAGGCTTCTTCCTTGACCTCTGCCTTCACCAGAGAGAGGACTAACCCTAATGTCTCAGAGTCCATATTCGCTCATGGGTCAACTTTGTCTCTCATTCTCACTCGTGGTCTGGAAGCATAAGCTGGGGTTTAATCTCCAAGCTCAGGACCAAACTTTTCAAAACATTATAAAATACAACTGAGGGAAAGGCCAGACCTGCTTAACAGGAGCCCATCACACCTATGTGGTATAACACCCTCTTTCTTCCTTAAAGGCAGGATGTTGTACATGCAAAATGGCAGATATCACTACTAGGCAACCTTCTTTCATTCATTTATTTGACAATTATTATGTGTCAGCTTCCACGTTAAGTTTTTGAGAAAACACAAAGATCACCCAGGCATCATCTGTGTTCCCAAGTTCGCACAGTCTAGTTGGGGGATAGAGGGTGGGAATGCAGACTTTATAAATCACTGACTCATCATTTTTTATCTCCTCCAGGAAACATGCCATATAGTAGGCACTCAAAAAGATTTGTTGAATCCATGCCTATATGAGGTAATGCATTAATTCATATTGCTTTGCCCTCTGATTGCATTGTGCATCTATCTCTCATCTCCCAAAAGACAGAACTGTATCATTATAGTATGGTAGATCAGAGAGGCAGAAACCTGCGGCAGTTAAGAGTACGTGTCTAGAGACAGAGTTCCTGGGTTTGAACCCTGGCTCTGTCACTTGTTAGCTGCATGATTTAGAGCAATTTATTTTACCTTTCTGTGCTTTACCTTTCAGTTTCCTGTTCTGAAAATGAGGATACCAATAGTAGCTACCATAGGGTTGTTGAGAGGACTAATGAGTTCATACCCTCAGAGTGCCTAAAACAGTTTAACAATT